>NC_000016.10:21819819-22122849 GCF_000001405.40 Homo sapiens
GTGCTATGGGGGTTAGGGATTTTAAAAGTGGAGCAAAATAAAGACTGCGAAACAAATACGTGTGTCGAAACAAATTTCAAACAAAAAAGATGTAATATTCAATTTGCCATGAGTGACAACGTTCGGCTGATAACCCACATAGCCCAGGGAAATCCCTTCCAAATTTGGACGAAGAAGAGGGAAGGAAGAGGGGTCAAGGCGCAGAAGGCAGTACCCAGGCCTGGGAAATCACGAAGAGACACAGTCGGGAAAGTGGGCCTCCAGAACAGAGAACATACTCACTTTTCCAGGCCCCACCCATGTCTATTACCCAGTTAGGAGGAATGAGCTCATTTCTGTGAACGTGAGATGACCCTCGACCCCGTGCTCCTATCACACGCCATTAGCTTTGTCCCACATCCTTTCAATCCGCTCCTCTAAGCGCGGTCCTGAGCTTTGGTCCCAGACGCGCAGAAGGAAGCGGCCTGAATCTTACCCAGTCCTCGACGCGCCCAGCGTCTTGACTGCAGAGGACGAAGCGGCCGCATCTCCCGACAAACAACGTGTGAAGCAGCGGTGCCGCCATTGGGCCGAACTAACGCGACCGCTGCGCCTCAGGCCGGATGCCCAGCTCCTTCCAGCCACAGCCTCTGTCCCGGAAGTTGCGCGTGCCAGCGCAACCTTCAGACAATCAGGGGCCCCGTGTGGGGAGGGCGTATGCTCTCGGCGGGCTAGAGCGCCGCTAAAACGCGCTCTTCGTTCTACTTGGAGGACTTGTTCCAGCCAGCGTGAGTGCGCGAGTGTAAGGAGAGACGGGAAGGATCGGCTCCATCCAGCCCTGAGGATCCCAAAGAAAGGGTGGAAACACCCTGGATGTGCTAAGCTGTGGCCAGGTACACTCAAGTGTTAATTTTTTGGAGTCAAAGCCTCCCTCAGTCAGATCGAAGAAACTGAAGCACTTGTGACTGACCCAGATCTTCACGGAGGAAAGGGGATTCGAACCCGGCTGACCCAGGAGCCTGGGCTCTATACTCAGTGCAGCATTCTCACAGACACCCAAGATAACGTTATCCTCATGGAAACGAGCTCGACGAAGTGACCTACCCCAGAGCCTCAAGGCTGTGATGATGCTGGCATGAGAAACAACAGGAGAGTTACCAAGAGGTGTTACCCCCTTGACTTTATTTATTTATTTATTTATTTATTTATTTATTTATTTATTTTCTTTTGAGACCGAGTCTTGCCCTGTTGCCCAGGTGGAGTGCAGTGGCGTGATCTCAGCTCACTGCAACCTCCGCCTCCCCAGTTCAAGCAATTCTCTTGCCTCAGCCTCCCAAGTAGCTGGGATTACAGGCGCATGCCACCACACCCGGCTAATTTTCGTATTTTTAGTGGAGACGGGGTTGCACTGTGTTGGCCAGGCTGGTCTTGAACTCATGACCTCAGGTCATCCACCCGCCTCGGACTCCCAAAGTGCTGGGATTACAAGCGTGAGCCACCGCACCCGGCCAAACTTAAATTTTTAAAAGAGGAACAGAAGTCAGCCAGACCAACAAAAGAGCGACTGGTGTTCCAAGCATAGGAAACAGAGGAAACAGAGGCCAAAACCTCGGGACTGTGGAGGATGTAGAGGGAGAGCCGGGGCTGCCCCTACTCTCAGGGAGGGGGAAAGGTTGCAACTTTGGAAACTGTACAGGCCTATCAAAAATACAAAAATATCCAGCCTGGGTGACACGGTGAAACTCCATCTCTACAAAAAATTTAAAAAATAAAAATAATAAAAATTATCTGGGTGTGATGGCACACACCTGTAGTCCCAGCTACTCGGGAGGCTGAGGATTGCTTGAGCCTGGGAGATAGCACCACTGCACTCCTGCTTGGGCAACAGAGTGAGACCCTGTCTCGAAATAAATAAATAAATTTTTTAAAATGCATATGTATGGGCCCGGCGCAGTGGCTCATGCCTGTTATCCCAACACTTTGGGAGGCCGAGGCAAGTGGATCACCTGAGGCCAGAAGTTTGAGACCAGCCTGGCCAACATGACAAAACCCTGTCTCTACTAAAAATACAAAATTAGCCAGGCATGGTGGCAGTGCCTTACTAATCCCAGCTACTTGGGAGGCCGAGGCAGGATAATAGCTTGAACCCAGGAGGCAGAGGTTGCAATGAGCCAAGATTGTGCCATTGCACTCCAGCCTGGGTGACGAGCGAAACTGTGTCTCAAAAAAAAAAAAAAAGTGTGTGTGTGTGTGTGTGTGTGTGTGTGTGTGTGTGTGTGTATGTATCTCTCTCCAGGAGTTCAAGACCAGCCTGGGCAGCATATGGTGGTGCATACCTGTAGTCTCAGCTACTTGAAAACTGAGGAGGGAGGATCGATTGAGCCCTGGAGGTCAAGGCTGCAGTGAGCTGTGATTGCACCCCTGCACTCCAGCCTGGACAACAGAGCTAGACCCTATTTCACAAAATAAAATACAGCAATTTGGTTTTTTTGTTTTTTGTGTTTTTTTTGAGACAGTCTCGCTCCGTCACCCAGGATGGAGTACAGTGTCGTGATCTCGGCTCACTGCATCCTCCGATTCCCAGGTTCAAGCGATTCTTGTGCCTCACCCTCCCCAGTAGCTAGGATTACAGGCATGCACCACCATGCCCTGCTAATTTTTGTATTTTTAGTAGAGACAGGGTTTCACCATGTTGGCCAGGCTGGTCTCGAACTCTTGACCTCAAGTGATCCACCCACCTTGGCATCCCAAAGTGCTGGGATTACAGACATGAGCCACCACGCCCCACCAGCAGTTTGTTAAACATAAACCATAGCTCTGTTTTGCAACAGTGTAAAATCAGTAACTGTCTTTCCTGAGTCTCTATTTGGTCCTTACTGAGTTCCTTGGGAATGTTGGACAGGAATCATCTGTGTCTCAAGGACAGAGGAAATAATTGCACCCTAGTTCACAAAGATACTTCAAGATAACTGTTTAAATGAGAATCTCTTCTTCACTTCCAAGGCAAAGCGAAGCAAAAACAAAAAGCAACAATAGCAAAACAGCAATTTGACAATTATCTGTTTTGTTTTGTTTTGGTTTGAGACAGGATCTCATTGTCTAGCCCAAGTTAGAGCGCAATGGCGCGATCACAGCTCGTTGCAGCCTCGGGCTCCTACAGCTTATGCAATCCTCTCACCTCAGCCTCCCAAACCCACACCACCAAGCCCAGCTAATTTTTTGTATTTTTGGTAAATACGAGGTCTCACTTTGTTGCCCAGACTGGTCTTGAACCCCCGGCCCAAGTGATCCTCCCACCTTGGCCTCCCAAAGTGTGTCTCCCCACCTACACTCCCATTCTTTCCCTTAAAAAAAGTCTGAGTCTGGGTGCAGTGGCTCACACCTGTAATGCCAGAGCTTTGGGAGGCTGAGGCAGGAGGATACCTTGAAGCCAGGAGTTTGAGACCAGCCCAGGCAACACAGCCAGACTCCGTCTCTACAAATAACACTTTTAAAAAACTTACCCAGGATACCCAAAGGACTATAAATCATGCTGTTTTAAAGACACATGCACACATATGTTTATTGCGGCATTATTCACAATAGCAAAGACTTGGAACCAACCCAAATGTCCAACAATGATAGACTGGATTAAGAAAATGTGGCACATATATGCCATGGAATACTATGCAGCCATAAAAAATGATGAGTTCACATCCTTTGTAGGGACATGGATGAAATTGGAAATCATCATTCTCAGTAAACTATCGCAAGAACAAAAAACCAAACACTGCATATTCTCACTCATAGGTGGGAATTGAACAATGAGAACACATGGACACAGGAAGGGGAACATCACACTCTGGGGACTGTTGTGGGGTGGGGGGAGGGGGGAGGGATAGCATTCGGAGATATACCTAATGCTAGATGACGAGTTAGTGGGTGCAGCGCACCAGCATGGCACATGTATACATATGTAACTAACCTGCACATTGTGCACATGTACCCTAAATCTTAAAGTATAATAATAAATAAAAAATTAAAAAAAAAAACTTACCCAGGCATGGTGGCACATGCCTGTAGTTCCAATTATTTGGCAGACAGAGGTGGGAGAATCACTTGAACCCAGGAGTTGGAGGCTGCTGTGAGCTATGACTGCACCACGACACTCTCTGGCCTGGGTGACAAAGCAAAATCTCATCTCTTAAAAAAAAAAAAGGGAAAAAAAGCTTGACATATATAAAATAATATGTTAATGTAAGTTATAAGAACATAATGGGCTGGGCGCAGCGGCTCCCGCCTGTAATCCCAGCACTTTGGGAGGCCGAGGCAGGTGGATCACGAGGTCAGGAGATCGAGACCATCCTGGCTAACACGGTGAAACCCCGTCTCTACTAAAAATACAAAAAAAAAAAAAATTAGCCGGGTGTGGTGGCGGGCACCTGTAGTCCCAGCTACTTGGGAAGCTGAGGCAGGAGAATGGCATGAACCCAAGAGGTGGAGCTTGCAGTGAGCCGAGATCGCACCACTGCACCCCAGCCTGGGCAACAGAGTCAGACTCCGTCTCAAAAAAAAAAAAAAAAAAAAGAACATAATGAACACCTGTGAACATATCACCCAATTTAAGAAGCCGAACATTAACTAGGACAATTGACACTTACTGTGTGCTGCTCTCAGATCCCACCTTCTACCTGCTTTCCTCCCAAAAATAGTCACCATCATGATTTTTAAAAGTCATTTTAGTTTTCTTTGCATAATTACCATATTTATACTCCTAAACAATGCACTATATTTACTTTTATTTGTCTTTGCATTTTATAAAGTTATCTCCATGCTGTATTATACTGCTGTTTGTTTTCAACATTATGCTTTTTTTTTTTTTTTTTTTTGAGACGGAGTCTCCCTCTGTTGCCCAGGCTGGAGCGCAGTGGCATGATCTCTCGCCGTCCTCCCACCTCGGCCTCCCAAAATGCTGAGATTATAGGCAAGCCACCGCGACCAGCCTGAATATTCTTGTATCGTTTCCTGATGTATGTGTACAAGTGTTTTTCTAGGGTGGAACTGTTGGGTTGGAGGGGGCACAAAAAGCTTTTAGGAAAGGAGAAAGGAACAAATTGGATATCTACGATTTTTTTTTTTTTTTTTTGAGACAGAGTCTCTCTCTGTTGCCCAGGCTGGAGTACAGTGGCACAAGCTCAGCTCACTGCAACCTCTGCCTCCCGGGTTTAAGTGATTCTCCTGCCTCAGCCTCCTGAGTAGCTGGGACTACACATGCCCGCCACCACACCTGGCTAATTTTTGTATTTTTAGTAGACATGGGGTTTCTCCGTGTTGCCCAGGCTGGTCTCAAATGCCTGACATCAGGTGATCTGCCTGCCTCGACCTCCTAAAATGCTGGGATTACAGGTGTGAGCCATCGTGTCTGGCTATTAGTTTTCCTATTTAGAAATTGTTCATCTGGATCCTCCCTACCTTTCAGCCATTTGCAATACATTTGTTGAGCATAAAGAGTGACCTTCTTGGCTGGGCGTGGTGGCTCACGCCTGTAATCCCAGCACTTTTGGAGGCCAACATGGGTGGATCACCTGAGGTCGGGAGTTCGAGACCAGCCTGACCAACATGGAAAAACCCTGTCTCTACTAAAAATACAAAATTAGCCTGGCATGGTGGCACATTCCTGTAATCCCAGCTACTCGGGAGGCTGAGGCAGGAGAATCACTTGAACCTGGGAGGCAGAGGTTGCAGTGAGCCGACATCACTGCCATTGCACTCCAGCCTAGGCATCAAAACTCCCTCTCAAAGAAAAAGAGCAACTTTCTCAAAGAAAAAGAGCAACTTTCTTGTCCACAGCAAAGAATCACTGGAAGCCATTTGATGCAATATGACCTCATCTCTCTAGCCAGTGTCGATTGGGTTACAGGAGGGCACCAAGAAGCTTCGAAGGCTGTGCCAATGTACACTTCCAGCAATATCTTCTTAAGCTTGAGTGCAGCTCCTTATTTTCCCAAAGCACAGCTAAGACTAAGGCTGCCAAGTTTTTAAAAAGATTTAAAGGAAACTCTGAGCATTATACAAGAAAAATACTGGCCAGGCCCTGTGGCTCATGCCTGTAATCCCTGTACTTTGGGAGGCTGAGGCGGGTGGATCACTTGAGACCAGGAGTTCAAGACCAGCCGGGCCAACATGGTGAAACCCCATCTCTACCAAAAATACGAATTAGCCAGGTGTGGTGGCAGGTACCTGTAATCCCAGCTACTCGGGAGGCTGAGGCTGGAGAATCGCTTGGACCCGGGAGGCAGAGGTTGCAGTGAGCTGAGATCGCAACACTGCACTCCAGCCTGGGCAACAGAGCAAGACTCGGTCTCAAAAAAAAAAAAAAAAAAAGGAGAAAAAGGAAGCCTTAAAACTAAATGCATAATTTCCTGTTGTAATTCTTTGGCCATGTCCGTTCTTTGTGGAGCCTCTATTCAGTCAAATTGTCCTGTGGGCCAACTCATCTTGGCAGGATAAAAGCCTCCTTATCCAGTCTTGCCTTCCCCAGAGAAAATAAAGGGGGTGGGGGAGGGCCAAAGAAAATTAAGACCCTCCCCCTCCAAAAAGAGAAACAACAAAAAGCATGCAAGGATTAACATGCTATCTGCAAAGTCACCACCCTGCCCACAGTGTGGCCTTTCACTTCACTGAGTAATATATTGTTTGTAATACAACAATGTAATCAGCTTCTTCATTCCAGAACAAAATTTTGCTTTACTATCGTCATATACCCAGAAGACCCATTAAACTGTGTTTTCAAAAGAGCAGCCTTTCCTTAGAGATAAATTTTACAGCTACCCCTAGAGTAGTTCTGTTGGCCAAAGCCTCTTAGCTTGCTAGTGAAAGAAATGAAGTCAAGCCAGCTTAAGCAGAAAGGAGAATTTGTTCTGAGGATACAAATATATAGTAAGGTACCAAAAAAGAATTTATCATTGGCCAATTTGGATAAGGTGCCCTCCTGTAACCCTCCTGTAATCTAATCAACACTGGTAGAGAGATGAGGTGACAGTATACCAAATGGCTTTTGATGAATCTTTGCTGTGAACTAGAAGGGATTAAGTTATGCTCAACTAATGGTTTGCAAATGGCTGAATGGTAGGGAGGATCCACACGAACAATTTCTAAATAACAAAACCAATAGCATGTATCTCATTTGTCCTTTTTCCTTTCCAAAGAGTCAACAATTAATGTATGAGTCAATTATCTTTATAAAAACTACATTCATTAACACAAATGCAAGATCTCAACTATATATCTTTAGTTATATACATGTATACACATATATGTGTATGTATGCATACATTATCCTCAAAGACAACTAATTTAGAGCGTTCCTCATCCCAGTATCTCAGAGAAATACAAAGCAGTTTCTTAGACTTGGCATCATTGAGATTTTGGGCCAACCAGATACTTCTCTGTTGGGTGGGGAGGAGGCTGTTCTGTGCATTGTGGGATGTTCAGCAGCATCCCTTGCCTCTACGCAGTAGGTGACAGTAGCATTCCCCTCCTCCCCACTGTAACATTCAAAAACATCTCCAGATGTTGCCAAATGTCCCCGGGGTACAAAACTCTTCCAATTAAGAACCACTGGTATAAACAAGTCAGCTGGGAGTGGTGGCACACACCTGCGGTCCCAGCTATATGGGAGGGTGAGGCAGGAGAATTGCTTGAGCCCAGGAGTTTGAGACCAGCCTAGCCAGAATCTCTGCCTAGCCTAGGCAGACCTCTACAGAAAAATACAAGAATTAGCCATAGTGTTGGTGTGCACCTGTAGTCCCGGCTACTCAGGAGGCTGAGACGTGAGGATCAGTTGAGCCCAGGAGGTCGAGACTGCAGTGAGCTATGATCTCCCCACTGCATCCCACAACAGGGACCCTATCTCAAATAATTAATTAATTAATGGAAGAAAGAAAGAAATCCTAGCTTTGTCATTTACTCTATTACTTTGGGCAATTGCCTTATGTTTCCAGAACTTCAATTTTCTTATGTACAAAATGGGAATAACTTTTTGAGCTATTTTAGAGCTATCGTAAGGATCAGAGCACATAATCACAAACCACAAAATATGTCACAGTGTACAGGACAGGGCAGGTTCTCTGTAAATGACAGTATTTGCCCATTTATTTTTCTGTAAATATGAAATATACTAGGATACTTGATGTGGTTACAATCAGGTGGAAACTGACCTATGAGGGAGACAGACAGAAAAGCACGGTCTTTTTTGTTTGTTTGTTTGTTTGTTTGTTTTTTGAGACGGAGTCTCGCTCTTTCGCCCAGGACGGACTGCAGTGGCATGATCTCGGCTCACTGCAAGCTCCGCCTCCCGGGTTCATGCCATTCTCGTGCCTCAGCCTCCTGAGTAGCTGGGACTACAGGCGCCCGCCACCGAGCCCAGCTAAATTTTTTGTATTTTTAGTAGAGACGGGGTTTCACCATATTAGCCAGGATGGTCTCGATCTCCTCACCTCGTGATCCACCTGTCTAAGCCTCCCGAAGTGCTGGGATTACAGACGTGAGCCACTGCGCCCAGTCAACAGATAGGTACAGTCTTTATCTGTTCGTGCGGCTATAAGAAAGTACCAGAGACTGGGTTATTTATAAAAAACGGAAATTTTGGCCAGGCACAGTGGCTCACGCCTTTAATCCCAGCATGCTGGGAGGCCAGGGCAGGTGGATCGTGTGACCTTAGGAGTTCGAGATCAGCCTGGGCAACATGACGAAACCCTATCTGTACAACGCTATGAAAAAAAAAAAAAGCTGGGTGTGGTGGTGCATACCTGTAATCCCAGCTACTCGGGAGGCTGAGGTGGGAGAATCACTTGAACCCAGGAGGCAGAGGTTGCAGTGAGCCGAGATCGTGCCACTGCACTCCAGCCTAGGTGACAGAGACCCTGTCTCATACAAACAAACAAAACCCAGAAATTTCTTTCTCACAGTTCTGGAGGCTAGGAAGGCCAAGATTAAGTTACCAGCAGGTTGGTATCTGGTGAGGGCATGGTGGCCATTTCCAATACGGCACCTTGCTGCTATGTCCTCCCGGGGGGACCAGTGCTGTGTCTTCAAGTGACAGAGGGATGTAAGGGCAATGAAAGGGCCTAGCTCGTTCCCGCCAACCTTTTTATGAGGTTACTAATCCCATGCCCTCATGACTTAATGATGCCCCACCTCTTAATACTACCAGACTGGTGGTTAAGTTTTAACATATGAATCTTGGGGAACACATTCAGACCACAGCAGATATATTGTAGAAAAGAATAGTCCGTAAATTCCCCAGCAGTAACACTTCACATATTTTGCCTCTTATTACTTGGAGTATACTGTGTTTCATATGGCTTTTTAAACTTTGTAAAAACTGCAGCAAGTGCCTGATTACTTAGGGCTTCTTTATCTAGTGACAGACTATTTAGTCCATTAATTTTGTGCTGTACAACAGGAAAGAGAAAGAAAATGACTTCTGCAGAGACTGAATCATCTTTATGTCCTCTATGGTAGTTGGCACTTAGTAGATATTAAATAAAAAACAGGCTGGGCAAGATGGCTCATGCCTGTAATCCCAGTAATTTGGGAGGCTGAAGCAGGTGGATCACTTGAGCTCAGGAGTTCAAGACCAGCCTGGGCAACATGGTAAAATCCTATCTCTACAAAAACTATAAAAAGTAGCGGGATGTGGTGGCATGTGCCCATAGACCCAGCTACTTGGAAGGCTGAAGTGGGAGGATTGCTTGAGCCCGGGGGGTGGAAGTTGGACTGAGCCAAGGTCCAGCTCCAGCCTGGGCCACAGAGGGAGACCCTGTCTCAAAACAAACAAACAAACAAATCTCTTTAACTCCCAAAATGGAAAGTTCTCCAAGATATATGTTAAGTGATTAAAAAAAAAAAAAAAAGGGCCAGCCTGGCATGCTGGCTCATGCCTGTAATCCCAGCACTTTGGGAGGCCAAGGAAGGCAGATCACCTGACATCAGGAGTTCGAGACTAGCCTGACCAACATGGGGAAACCCCGTCTCTACTAAAAATACAAAATTAGCCAGGTGCGGTGGCACATGCCTGTAATCCCAGCTACTCGGGAGGCTGAGGAGGAGAATCGCTTGAACCCAGGAGGCGGAGGCTGTGGTGAACCGAGATAGCACCACTGCACTCCAGCCTAGGCAACAAGAGCGAAACTCCATCTCAAAAAAAAAAAAAAAAAAGGAAACCGCATCTCTACTAACAATACAAAAATTAGCTGGGCAAGGAGCTAAGTGATTATAGTACCAGCTACTCAAGAGGCTGATGCAGGAGAATCACTAAACCGCATCTCTACTAAAAATACAAAACTTAGCCAGGCAAGGAGCCCGGTGACTATAGTACCAGCTACTCAAGAGGCTGATGCAGGAGAAACACTTGAACCCGGGAGGCGGAGTTTGCAGTGAGTTGAGATTGCACCACTGCATTCCAACCTCGGCAACAGTGCGAGACCCTGTCTCAAAAGAAAAAAATAATATAAAGTGACCAGGTGTGGTGACTCACACCTGTTATCCCACCACTTTGGGTGGAAGCAGGAGGATCACTGGAGCCCAGGAGTTTGAAACCAGCCTAGGCAACATAGTGAGACCCTGTCTCTATATTAAACACACACACACATGCACACACACACACACACACACAAAGGCAGCCAGACTATGCACTAGGAACTGCCCTGGGAATCCCTTTGCATTCTCACAACAATCCCATTTCACAGATGAAGAAACCAAGGCACAGAAATATTAAGTAATGTGTCCAGGTGCGGTGGCTCACGCCTATAATCCCAGTACTTTGGGAGGCTGAGGCAGGCAGATCACGAGGTCAGGAGTTCGAGACCATCCTGGCCAATATGGTGAAACCCTGTCTCTACTAAAAATACAAAAATTAGCTGGATGTGGTGGCAGGTGCCTGTAATTCCAGCTACTCAGGAAGCTGAGGCAGGAGAATTGCTTGAACCCGGGAGGCGGAGGTTGCAGTGAGCCGAGATCACACCACTGCACTCCAGCCTGGGTGACAGAGCAAAACTCCGTCTGAAAAAAAAAAAAAAAGAAGAAGAAGAAATACTAAGTAACTTGTCTGAGGCCACTTAGTTACCAAGACGTGGGAGCTGGGACTTGAACCCAGGCAGTCTGCAGTCTGACTGGATTCATGCCTGCAGCCTCTGCACTCCTGCTACTTACTGTGTGAGAAGCGCCTGTTCTGTGGAAGGTTGTGGGCTGAGATCTTTCCATTAGTTCCACTCATTTACCCCCAAGGCTGTTCTTAAAGACAGGCATGACAGTTATGCCCATTTTACAGATGCGGCCCTGAGGCTCACAAGGGCACGCCACTCGCCCATTTCCACAAAGCTATAGCTCGTTAGCGGAGGGCAGAATTCGGCCGCCTCTCCCCTAGCTCGAAGGCTGTGATTGACACAGAGGTTTTTTTGTTGTTGTTGCTGTTGTTTGTTCTTTTTTCTTTTTTTTTTTTTTTTTTTTTTTTTGAGACGGAGTCTCGCTCTGTCGCCCAGGCTGGAGTGCAGTGGCGCGATCTCGGCTCACTGCAAGCTCCGCCTCCCAGGTTCACGCCATTCTCCTGCCTCAGCCTCCCGAGTAGCTGGGACTACAGGCGCCCGCCACCACGCCCGGCTAATTTTTTGTATTTTTAGTAGAGACGGGGTTTCACCGTGTTAGCCAGGATGGTCTCGATCTCCTGACCTCGTGATCCGCCCGCCTCGGCCTCCCAAAGTGCTGGGATTACAGGCGTGAGCCACCGCGCCCGGCCCTTTTTTTTTTTTTGAGACAGGGTCTTGCTCTGTCATCCCGGCTGGAGTGCAGTGGTGCGATCTCAGCTCACTGCAAACTCTGCCTCCAAGATGCAAATGATTCTCGTGCCTCAGCCTCCCAAGTAGCTGGAATTACAGGTGTGCACTACCACGCCCAGCTGTTTTTTGTAGAGATGGGGTTAGTAGAGATTTGTTTAATAGAGATGGGGTTTCACCATGGTCTCTACTAAACCCTGTCTCTACTAAAAATACAAAAATTACCCAGACGTGGTGGCACATGCCTGTAGTCCCAGCTACTCAAGAGGCTGAGGCAGGAGAATCACTTGAACCTGGGAGGTGGAGGTTGCAGTGACCCAAAATCATGCACTCTAGCCTGGGGTCTCGCTTTTGCCCAGGTTAGAGTGCAGTGGCACAATCACAGTGGCTCACTGCAGCCTCAAACTCCTGGGCTGAAGGGAATCCTCCCACCTCAGCCTCCCAAGTAGTTAGGACTATAGGCATGTGCCATCCTGGCGAGTTAATTTTTTGTGTGTTTTTATTCTCTCGAGACAGAGTCTTGCTCTGTTGCTCAGGCTGGACTGCAATGGCGTGATCTTGGCTCACCGCAACCTCCACCTCCGGGGTTCAAGCAATTCTCCTACCTCAGCCTCCCGAGTAGCTGGGATTACAGGTGCGTGCCACCATGCCTGGCTAATTTTGTATGTTTAGTAGAGACAGGGTTTCGCCGTGTTGGTCAGGCTGCTCTCGAACTCCTGACCTCGTGATCCACCTGCCTCGGCCTCTCAAAGTGTTGGGATTACAGGCATGAGCCACTGAGCCTGGCCTGGTGAGCTAATTTTTAAATTTGTTATAGAGACAAGAGAGACAAGAGTCTCTCTTATGTTGCCCAGGCTGGTCTCGACCCCCTGGCCTCAAGTGATCCTCCCACCTCAGCCTCCCAAAGTGCTGGGATTACAGATGGGTGTCACCGCACCTGGCCTCTGAGGAGGATTTCATTATAAACCTGCCCTGAAGGGAGGGAATCCAATTTTACGAGAGGGTGTAGCCTGGTGAGGCCTGGATGACCTCCGGAGGCAGGGGCTTGTGCCTGGGCTGAGGCCTAAGGGACAATGGGCAGACATGAAGTTGCCCCAGGCAGAGGGTACAGTGTGGGCAAAGTCAGGAAGTGGCAGGGCTTGGATCACTCCAGGAAGAGAGAGGAGTCATGTGTCACAGGAGCTCGAGACCCAGAGAGTGAGGCAGGCAGGCAGGGACCAAGCTTGGGCACAGCCAGGAAGGCAGGACAGGGCATGGTGGGGCCAATGGAATCATTACCCAAGACGGGCATTTTCAGGGAAACAGCTTAGATAAGGCCAGGCGTACAGTAGCTCCCACCTGTAATCCCAGCATTTGGGGAGGCTGAGGTAGGACTGCTTGAGCCTGGGAGTTCAAGACCAGCCTAGGCAACATAGTGAGACCCCATATCCACAAAAAATTTAAAAAAGGAGTTTGTGTTCCTGTAGTAGCATACTTGGGAAGTTGAGGTGGCAGTATCACTTGAGCCCGGGAGTTCAAGGCTAAAGTGAGCTGATTGAGCCATTGCACCCCAGCCTGAGCGACAGAGAGATATGCTGTCTCAAAGGAAATACAAACTAAAAAACCAGCCGGACATGCTGGCGTGTGCCTGTAGTCTCAGCTACTTGGGACACTGAAGTGGGAGGATCGCTTGAGCCCAGGAGTTCAAGGCTGCCGTGAGCTATGATTGTGCCTCTGCAGTCCAGCCTGGGCGACTGCAGACTGCAGGACTTTTTTAAAGACCCTGTCTCTTAAAAAAAAAAAAATCTTAGATAAGAGGATGCTGTGCCTCCCTGGGGGTCTTCAGTCACCCATGGTCCTGGCAAGAGAGGAGGGCCAGGAGAGAGCTTCACCCACCTGCTGTCCTGCCCATGTGACATCCGCAGGTGCTGCCATGGCCACGACTGATGTTACACTCGAGCTGAGGAGGCCGGCTGCAGCCCCAAGACAGAGCGCTACTCCTGGCAGTGCGTCAATCAGAGCGTCCTGTGCGATGAGTCCCCAGCAGCACCATGCCACCCACCCCGAGTATCCCCTGGGCACCCTGGCATAGCCAGATGACTTCCGTGCCCCTGTTGCAATAACCACTGCTTCCAAGTCTCTGTAGACCACCCCTTGGGTATATCTCATGTAAGTGATATTTATTTTATTTATTTTTTGAGTCAGAGTCTCACTCTGTCACCCAGGCTAGAGTGTGCTGACGTGATCTTGGCTCACTACAACCTCTGCCTCCTGGGTTCAAGCGATTCTCATGCCTCAGCCTCCCAAGTGGCTAGGACTACAGACATGCACCATCACGCCCAGCTAATTTTTGTATTTTTTTCAGTAGAGGTGGGGTTTCCCCAAGTTGGCCGGGCTGGTCTCAAACTCCCCACCTCAAGTGCTCTGCCCGCCTCGGCCTCCCAAAGTGCTGGGATTACAGGCATGAGCCATGGTGTCTGGCCCTAATGTGAGTGATCTTTAACACTGAGCACTTGAAAAAGAAAACCCTGAAGAAACCTAATTATTCGATGTCTGGACGACAAGGAAGAAGATAGAAATGGCATCAGATAATAAACAGTGTAAATGTTTGTTTATCAGAAAGGGGCTGGTGGTCGGGACAAGTAGGAGGATCGCTTGAGTCCAGGAGTGCATCTCTACAAAAAAGTTAAAGGATTTTTTAACATTGGCCAGGCGTGGTGGCACATATCTGTGATCCCAGCTACTTGGGAGGCTGAGGCAGGAGGATTGCTTGAAGCCCAGGAGGTTGAGGCTGCAGTGAGCTGTGATCGAGCCACTGCACTCCAGCCTGGGTGACACAGCAAAATCCAGTCTCAAAAAAAAAAATAATAATATTTTACATAACCAACCACTTCTAAAGATTAAAAAAAAACCCCTATGATTAAAAACCTCAGGTCCCTCAGGCAATCATACCAGATATCGAAACAAAGCAATAACATAAGGACTGCAGTATTTATTTTATTTTTATATTATTTATTTATTCTTTGTTAGTTTTTGGAGTGTGGGTTTTGTTTTGTTTTTTGAATTTTTTATTTTGTTCTACTCGGTTTTATTCTTATTGCTCAGGCTTGAGTGCACTGGCCTCTTCTCAGCTCAACCTCCGCCTCTTGGGTTCGGGTAATGATGGTTCCACGTCAGCGGCCCTCCGCCTCTTGGGTTTGCGTGACGGTTCCACGTCACCGACCCTCCGCCTCTTGGGTTCGGGTGATGATGGTTCCACGTCAGCGGCCCTCCGCCTCTTGGGTTTGCGTGACGGTTCCACATCACCGACCCTCCGCCTCTTGGGTTCGGGTGATGATGGTTCCACGTCAGCGGCCCTCCGCCTCTTGGGTTTGCGTGACGGTTCCACGTCACCGACCCTCCGCCTCTTGGGTTCGGGAGGTGGTTCCATCTCAGCCGCCCTCTGCCTCTTGGGTTTGCGTGGTTTTTCTGCCTCAGCCTCCTGAGTAGCTAAGGGAGGTGTCTTGAGATTATCATCGGCTGAGGGTGGAAGCGGCCCCCGCAGACGCTCGGCAGGTGTCTTGATATTATCATCTGCTGAGGGTGGAGCTGAGGGTGGAAGGGGAGTGAGCTGACGCTCGGAAGGTGTCTTGAGATTATCATCCGCTGAGGGTGGAAGCGGCCCCCGCAGACGCTCGGCAGGTGTCTTGATATTATCATCTGCTGAGGGTGGAGCTGAGGGTGGAAGGGGAGTGAGCTGACGCTCGGAAGGTGTCTTGAGATTATCATCCGCTGAGGGTGGAAGCGGCCCCCGCAGACGCTCGGCAGGTGTCTTGATATTATCATCTGCTGAGGGTGGAGCTGAGGGTGGAAGGGGAGTGAGCTGACGCTCGGAAGGTGTCTTGAGATTATCATCCGCTGAGGGTGGAAGCGGCCCCCGCAGACGCTCGGCAGGTGTCTTGATATTATCATCTGCTGAGGGTGGAGCTGAGGGTGGAAGGGGAGTGAGCTGACGCTCGGAAGGTGTCTTGAGATTATCATCCGCTGAGGGTGGAAGCGGCCCCCGCAGACGCTCGGCAGGTGTCTTGATATTATCATCTGCTGAGGGTGGAGCTGAGGGTGGAAGGGGAGTGAGCTGACGCTCGGAAGGTGTCTTGAGATTATCATCCGCTGAGGGTGGAAGCGGCCCCCGCAGACGCTCGGCAGGTGTCTTGATATTATCATCTGCTGAGGGTGGAGCTGAGGGTGGAAGGGGAGTGAGCTGACGCTCGGAAGGTGTCTTGAGATTATCATCCGCTGAGGGTGGAAGCGGCCCCCGCAGACGCTCCCCGCAGACGCTCGGCAGGTGTCTTGATATTATCATCTGCTGAGGGTGGAGCTGAGTGTGGAAGGGGAGTGAGCTGACGCTCGGAAGGTGTCTTGAGATTATCATCCGCTGAGGGTGGAAGCGGCCCCCGCAGACGCTCGGCAGGTGTCTTGATATTATCATCTGCTGAGGGTGGAGCTGAGGGTGGAAGGGGAGTGAGCTGACGCTCGGAAGGTGTCTTGAGATTATCATCCGCTGAGGGTGGAAGCGGCCCCCGCAGACGCTCGGCAGGTGTCTTGATATTATCATCTGCTGAGGGTGGAGCTGAGGGTGGAAGGGGAGTGAGCTGACGCTCGGAAGGTGTCTTGAGATTATCATCCGCTGAGGGTGGAAGCGGCCCCCGCAGACGCTCGGCAGGTGTCTTGATATTATCATCTGCTGAGGGTGGAGCTGAGGGTGGAAGGGGAGTGAGCTGACGCTCGGAAGGTGTCTTGAGATTATCATCGGCTGATGGTGGAAGCGGAATCCGCAGACGCTCAGCAGGTATCTTGATATTATCATCTGCTGAGGGTGGAGCTGAGGGTGGAAGGGGAGTGAGCTGACGCTCGGAAGGTGTCTTGAGATTATCATCCGCTGAGGGTGGAAGGCAGGTGTCTTGATGTTATCATCTGCTGAGGGTGGAGCTGAGGGTGGAAGGGGAGTGAGCTGACGCTCGGAAGGTGTCTTGAGATTATCATCCGCTGAGGGTGGAAGCGGCCCCCGCAGACGCTCGGCAGGTGTCTTGATATTATCATCTGCTGAGGGTGGAGCTGAGGGTGGAAGGGGAGTGAGCTGACGCTCGGAAGGTGTCTTGAGATTATCATCCGCTGAGGGTGGAAGCGGCCCCCGCAGACGCTCGGCAGGTGTCTTGATATTATCATCTGCTGAGGGTGGAGCTGAGGGTGGAAGGGGAGTGAGCTGACGCTCGGAAGGTGTCTTGAGATTATCATCCGCTGAGGGTGGAAGCGGCCCCCGCAGACGCTCGGCAGGTGTCTTGATATTATCATCTGCTGAGGGTGGAGCTGAGGGTGGAAGGGGAGTGAGCTGACGCTCGGAAGGTGTCTTGAGATTATCATCCGCTGAGGGTGGAAGCGGCCCCCGCAGACGCTCAGCAGGTGTCTTGATATTATCATCTGCTGAGGGTGGAGCTGAGGGTGGAAGGGGAGTGAGCTGACGCTCGGAAGGTGTCTTGAGATTATCATCCGCTGAGGGTGGAAGCGGCCCCCGCAGACGCTCGGCAGGTGTCTTGATATTATCATCTGCTGAGGGTGGAGCTGAGGGTGGAAGGGGAGTGAGCTGACGCTCGGAAGGTGTCTTGAGATTATCATCCGCTGAGGGTGGAAGGGGATGGAGCAGACACTCGGCACGTGTCTTGAGATTATCATCCGCTGAGGGTGGAGCTGAGGGTAGAGCTGAGGGTGGAAGGGGAGTGAGCAGACACTCGGGAGGTGTCTTGAGTTTATCATCCGCTGAGGGTGGAAGGGGAGTGAGGAGACACTCAGGAGGTGTCTTGAGATTATCATCCGCTGAGGGTGGAAGGGGAGTGAGCACACACTCGGGAGGTGTCTTGAGATTATCATCCGCTGAGGGTGGAAGGGGAGTGAGCACACACTCGGGAGGTGTCTTGAGATTATCATCCGCTGAGGGTGGAAGGGGAGTGAGCAGACACTCGGGAGGTGTCTTGAGGCTCAGGGAGTTATCAGTTATAGAATGTTGTTGAGTTGGAGGAGGTGGCTGGTGGCCCATCCTGTTTTTTAAAGTTTCAGCTGTGAGGTAGGGCCAGTAGGGCAATCCTGAAGAATGACGATGCTCCGCTGCCGCCATTCTGACCTGTAGGGCCAAAGGAGGGAATGTTTTCACACATATTCATTTGATGGACAAAATTACCGCCACCAACACAGTCTGCACCTTCTGTTGCTGGTGATAGATTTTTGCACCTTTCCATCCTCCAGGTTTCAAAATAGAAGTATCAGTGTCATAATATCACCCTTCCACTGAGTACTGCCAACAGCTGGAGGGTAAAGGAAAGTCATTGGGACACACTGTTGTCTCCACATGCCACTGTGTCTGTCTGCAAATGTAGGCAGGCTGGGGTCCTGCCCCAGGGAAGACAGAGTCATAACAGAGTAATAAAGAAGCATGTTTGAGACACAGGAGTGTCTATGTCTATCCTCATTCCTCCCTCACAGCCATCACCAGAGCATGTTTCTTGCACCAGGTCAACAGACAGTAAGAGACAGTAAGAGAGGCATGAAAAGCCCACTGTCCACACATGTTGCAGCTTCTTTTTGGAGAATGTTTTCCAGGCCTTTTATGTTCTGTCTCTGATTCTCAGAACTCTGCAAGGTCAGTGTGACCACCCTGCTCCAAATCTAAGAAAACAGAGGTTTCCAGAGGAAGGAGAAATTGTGCCCAGGGTCACACAGCTTGCAAGAGGCAGAGTGGAAGTTGATTCCAGCTCTGCCTGCAGGACCCTCTCATTTCCCCTCTGTTTCCCTTCTTGACAAAGGATCTTCTTCACTCTGGAGGTGCCACCCATGAGAACAAAGAGCTCTGGAGAGATGTGGATTCCTGAAGAGCTGCAGGGGAACTGGGAGAGGGTTTTCTGACAGAACAATCTCACCTCAAGAAGTCACTTAGGCATGGCTGTAATATTTCTTTTCACTCCCAGGTAATACCAAATTGTAAGTGCACTAGGACATAAAGAATACTTTTGTCCATGGAAAAATGAGGTGGGAATTCTAAACAAAGCAAGTTTTAAAACTGTGTTTCACTTCAAGTGTACAAGTCCCATCACGTGTAATCATAGGACTCGGCAGCTTTTGAAGGTACAGAGGCCACACAAGAACCAGCTTAGCTGAGCATCATTTAAGGCCTTCATTTGGAATTGTCCCTGTGGGTAATAAGTTACATTCACTCTTCACTAGTTTACAGTCAGGGCCCATCTGCTATTACAAATACGGAACCTCTGACACTTAGAATATTAGATCAGGGGCCCCACTGGGTGGGGATGAAGGTGTTTTTGCGCAACACGGTTACCAACAGGGATGGGACTGTGATGCTTGTAGGCAGCCTTTCTCTCTGCCATCTCCCTCTGCAGGGCTTGAGCACAGAGCTGTAGGGAGAAAAATGTATCCATGTCCTGACCTGGCAGACTATGTCCAAAAGCAAGGAAAACAAGCAAACTTACCCAGTTGCAAAGAGCCTTTCTTGCAGAAGGGGGGATCTGAAAAAGCCAACACATGAGAAATTGAATGTTGAGAGAGTCTAAGGGCCGTGGCATCATCTGCATCAGCACTGAACTATCCTGCAACTGCAGGGAGGAAGCTCCTTACTTTGCATTTGTGGTAGTCCTCTGCTCGCCGCCGCAACTCTTGCGCACGTTGAAACATTTTCCTATGGATTACAATCACTTTCATCAGATAAAGCACCACTTTCAGGATGATTTTAAATAATCTGCCATGTTTCTGTTATCCTCACAACTGTACCCTTACACAATCTATCTCTACCTAGAAAACGTATTTCAGATGGCTAGAAGAGTACAGTCTGAGCCGGTCACGGTGGCTGACGCCTGTAATCCCAGCACTCTGGGAGGGCGGGGCGGATGGATCACGAGGTCAGGAGATTGAGACCATTGTGGCTAATATGGTGAAACCCCTTCTCTACTAAAAATACAAAAAATTAGCCAGGCGTGGTGGCAGGCACCTGTAATCCCAGCTACTCGGGAGGCTGAGGCAGGGGAATCACTTGAACCTGGGAGGCGGAGGTTGCAGTGAGCCAAGATCACGTCATTGCACTCCAGCCTGGGTGACACAGCGAGACTCCATCTCAGAAAAACAAAAACAAAAACAAAAAAACTGTACAGTCTGATCCAAACTGTTGCTGTATTGATTCCTCCTCTTGCTTACTGCCTGCTGACTTCTGAGATGATAGTTTCCTTCCCCATTCTCAGTACATCCCTAATTCATCCTTCATTGAGCATCTTTTATCATAAAGCTGTATTCTCTTTGTATTAATATCCTTACCGTGTTTCACAGGGCAGAAACAGCTGGGCTTATAAACAGGCATAGTCCTTTTGAAGGATGTGGTTGATCCTACAACAACACACTTTCCTAAGGATGACAACAACTCACCCCACCCCTAGAATGGCTGGTATGAACCGAGTTTCCACACAGTCTAGCTGGCAATGGGGTCAGGAGACGTTTTGCTACTTCACATCTTTTGGTCACTGGTAAATATTAAGGTACTTTGTTTTCTGTTTTGTGAACTCTCTCTCGCTCTCTCTCACGATATGTCTTCTGACCGTTTGTTTCTATTTCTGCATTTACTGGGTCTAAATACTGTACAAAGGTTAAAAACAACACTCCAATGGGCGTTTCCCAAGAGGGTGGGGTACAGTTTCTGAACTCACTTGTAGGTGTGTATTTCTTTCATATCCAATTTCCCATTTTCCTCTGCCTCTGATACCTGCCTCTCCTTTTCTGCATGCTCACATTCTTTCACGCTTAGTTTCCTCAGATTAGAAGGGAGAGAAATGCACACACATGATCCACCAGCCCGTGTGGGATTCCCTCTGCCCTTCTGGCATCTGAAGGCTGTGATTCAAAGATTCCCCCCTGCAACCTTCCCACAAATGAACCAACTGATTCTCACAACCGAAGGGAGAATTGACACCTCCCATTGAGGGACAAAAAAAAGTCACACTCTGGCCTGCTGGCAAGTCACCTGTCATTTCCAGCTCATCTTCATAGTTCCATAGTTAGTCCTATTCTTTAGTAAATATAAAGACTATTAAAAGCTTCTATGAGGTGCACTATGTGTGTCTCTGGGGTCAGTCTTGTGCTTGACACAGCGAAAGCTCATTTTAGTTCAGTGTGAAAAACCAGACCTCACCAATTCATCACAACTAACTCCATCGGAAGCAGAGGATTGCTCCTCATCTGACTCCTCCTGTGTGAGACCTGATTCTCAGTCAGAGGCTGATGCCGGAACTGAGACCATCAGCCATAGAGAGATCCTTCCAGAATAACCCCGCAGTTCACTACTGCACTTTGCCATGATTCAGGACTGGAACTCTTGTCATCAACTTTAAAGATCCTGGTTGAGAGAAAAGGCAATCTGAATGCTGGGCGCATCTATTGAATTAGAAATGATCGGAATGGCTCCTAAGTCAGGGTGTTATGTCCTGAAAATAGGTGACAACGGCAAACCATCCACCCTGGTGTTGACTGACTTTAACAAGGTTCAGTTCACAGAGATTGAGGGCAGAAAAAGGAAACGGCCTAAAAAGGGTAAGTTTGCTGTGTTGCCCTCACACCACTTGATTCATGGTCCTGATCCTAAGGATCTCACCTGATACTTGGCTTTATAGGAAGGATGTGTAAAATTCCCAGAACGCTAGGAAACAGGGGCGAAAACACTTCAAAGAGAAAGTTAATGAACTTGTTTCTGACCACAAGGCATCCTTCAGCACATGCTGTCTGGAGTGGCCTCAAACAAGGAGTGTGTGGTGTGGTGCTGAGAATGCAATGGGAGCAGGGTCCTGTCCCCACGCTAAAGAAGCTCACAGCTTAATGCAAATGAGAAGCCAGTGAGGACATCACTACTCCTGCTGTGCACTTGGGAACTAGAAACACAAAACCTGACTCTGGAGGGAAGCTAAGGAAGCATTCTACTCTTGAGTTGACATAAGTGCATCTGAAGCTTCTGATCTCCAATGAGAACAATGGGGGACACCAAACAGAATATAAAACCCATGATTGAATACATCAAATTGCTAACATGGCAGTAAACAGACATGAGGTGAAGATGGAGAAGAAGGAAACCCAGGACGAAAGTCAGCCTCGCATTTGGAACCCATTTCCCTGAGTTTCATTGCTGAATTCCAGAAGGAACTACTGAGATGCAAAGAAGCACAGCAGCTTTTGCACACATGCGTGGGATTAGATGGAAAACAAGTGGATTGAGGGTCTGCCAATGAAAGCGACCCATACTGAAGTCCGCTGGCTCTGGTTGAGACCCAGAAGAGTCATGCATCAGAATAAAGGTGGACAGGAAATACCCTGGCCTTTGTAGGGACTGAGCCTGCACCGACGACTTCAATTGCAGCTTGTATGGAGGACCCCTGACCATCCCCCAGAAGTAGACTCCCATCTCTTCTGCAGCAAGATAACATGCTACTAGGCCTCAATTCATTGCTAAACATTTTTTAACAAGTATCTCACATTTAACAAAAAAAGATCAGTCATATGGCAGCAAAATACAATGTCATATGACCAAAACATGAAAGACTGTGAAAATGAATCTGGAGGTGACCCAAGCATTGAATTCAACAATCCAGGCTGGGTGCGGTGGCTCACACTGGGAGGCTGAGGTAGGCAGATCACCTGAGGTCAGGAGTTCAAGACTAGCCTGGCCAACATGGTGAACCCCTGTCTCTACTAAAAATACAAAAATTGGGCCGGGCACGGTGGCTCACGCCTGTAATCCCAGCACATTGGGAGGCCGAGGTGTGCGGATCATGTCAGGAGTTCTAGACCAGCTTGGCCAATATGGTGAAACCCCGCCTCTACTAAAAATACAAAAATTATCCGGGCATGGTGGCATATGCCTGTAGTCCCAGCTACTCAAGAGGCTGAGGGATAAGAATCGCTTGAACCTGGGAGGTGGAGGTTGCAGTGAGCCAAGATCATGCCACTGCACTCTAGCCTGGGTGACAGAGTGAGACTCTGTCTCAAAAAAAAAAAAAAAAAAAAAAATTGGTCAAATGTGGTGGCACACACCTGTAATCCAAGCTACTCGGGAAGCTGAGGCAGAATTGCTTCAAACTGGGAGGCAGAGGTTGCAGTGAGCCAAGATTGCACCATAGCACTCCAGCCTGGGCGACAGAGCGAGACTCTATCGCAAAATTAAAAAAAAAAAAAAAAAAAAAAAAGGCTGGCTGTGGTGGCTCACGCCTCTAATCCCAGCACTTTGGGAGGCTGAGGCAGGTGGATTACCTGAGGTCAGAAGTTCGAGACCAGCCTGGACAACATGGTGAAACCCCATCTCTAGTAAAAATACAAAAATTAGCTGGGCGTGGTGGTGGGCACCTGTAATCCCAGCTACTTGGGAGGCTGAGGCAGGAGAATTGCTTGAACCCAAAAGGCAGTGAGCTGAGATTGTGCCATTGCACTACAGCCTGGGCAACAACAGCAAAGCTCCATCTCAGGAAAAAAAAAAAAAAAAAAAGAGAAAGGAAAACCAATGCCAGTACTAGCAACTCCTCTTCCTCCGAAAAAATGAAAACAAGAATGTAGGAAGGGAAAGGAATTATACAGCTTAAACTAATGAAGCAGAAAGGACAAACTCAATTTTGAACCCACTGAATTTGCCACAAATATTGTAGAAAATATTCTCAAGGACTTTACAGTTGTCTACTTTGATTGGCACATGGTTCATACAACAGTATTTGTGTCAAGGCACATCTTACTGTTTTCTGGCGGTCTTCCTCTTTCCATTGATTTTGTCATGATGGTTGATTTTCGTTGTCACCTTCCTCTTACGGATTTTAGCTCTAACTTTTGTTTCCACATGTCTCCGTAGAGTAATGACGTCTTTCAGGACAATTTTATTTCCTCGAAAGGAAGAAACTCTTTTCTTTGTGTGCATACAAATGGACCTCAGCCCTTGGTGAGAGTGAGGAGAAGAGAAGGTGAGAAACCTGAGGGCAAGAAGCTGTTCTTTCCCTTTCCAGGGCAAACTCATTTCCACACTATGCGGATTCCAACAGAGCCATACCTTCCTGTCTACGGCGGTTGGACCTCCAGGCTCTCTGCTGTACATCCGTGGATCCATCATGTCCATTTCGAGACCAGAAGATAGTCTTCAGGAGAGACACCTAGGAAATAATAATATAAGAATGACGGCTGGGCACGGTGGCTCATGCGTATAATCCCAGTACTTCGGGAGGCCGAGGCAGGTGGATCACGGGGTCAGGAGTTCAAGACCAGCCTGGCCAAGATGGTGAAACCCCGTCTCTACTAAAAATACAAAAATTAGCCGGGCATGGCAGCGGGCGCCTGTAATCCAAGCTACTCGGGAGGCTGAGGCAGAGAACCGTTTGAAGCTGGGAGGCGGAGGTTGCAGTGAGCCGAGATCACACCACTGCACTCCAGCCTGAGCGACAGAATGAGACTCTGTCACATACACACACACACACACAAGAATGACATGAGGCTGGCACGGTGGCTCACTCCTGTAATCCCAGCACTTTGGGAGGCCGAGGCAGGCGGATCACCTGAGGTCGGGAGTTTGAGACCAGCCTCACCAACATGGAGAAACGCTGTCTCTGCTAAAAATACAAAATTAGCCAGGCATGGTGGTGCATGCCTGTAATCCCAGCTAGTCGGGAGGCTGAGGCAGGAGAATCACTTGAACCCAGCAGGAAAAGCTTGTGGTGAGCTGAGATTGTGCCATTGCACTCCAACCTGGGCAACAAAATTGAAACTCTGTCTCAAAAAAAAAAAAAAAAAAAAAAAAAAAAAAATAGGCCAGATGCGGTAGCTCACGCCTGTAATCCCAGCACTTTGGGAGGCCGAGGCGGGTGAATCACAAGGTCAAGAGATGGAGACCATCCTGGGCAACATGGTGAAACCCCGTCTCTACTAAAAATACAAAAATTAGCTGAGCATGGTGATGCACGCCTGTAGTCCCAGCTACTCGGGAGGCTGAGGCAGGAGAACTGCTTGAACCCAGGAGGCAGAGGTTGCAGTGAGCCAAGATCCCACCACTGCACTCCAGCCTGGTGACAGAGTGAGACTTCGTCTCAAAAAAAAAAAAAAAAAAAAAAATGACATGAATATACTTCACACAACTGAACTGTACACTTCAACACGGTTAGATGGTAATTATCATCTTATAAGTATTTTACCACAGGTTAACATGTTTCACAACTTGAAAAGGAAGTAATTACCTTCAGCTCTCTGAGTTCTAGAATTTGTAACATTTCATCCCCTGCTCCTTCCTGATCTGCACTGGAGCATCTTCCTTCTGTCCCTGCTCTACTCAGAGTTCACTTTCCCTTCCCTCACATCAGCTTCATTGAGGCTGGTTTGAACTTAACGCAAAACATTCTCACTAATGACTGAATTCCCACCAAGATTTCCATATTATCACAGTATGCTTTTAATCTTCTAAGATATTAAATATTTCTTCTCATCATAGCTAAAATGCAATGCAAATCCCATCTCAGATGTGGGTCAGATACCTATGAATCTCCTGAGGTGGTCATTGAAATGACTTTTTTCTTGAGACAGAGTGTCACTCTCAACCGTGCTGAAGTGCAGTGGCGCTACCTTGGCTCACGGCAACCTCCACCTCCCAGATTCAAGCGATTCTTGTGCCTCAGCCTCCCAAGTAGCTGGGATTACAGGTGCCTGCTACCATGCCTGGCTAATTTTTGTCTTTTTAGTAGAGATGGGGTGTCACCATGTTGGCCCATCTGGTCTTGAACTCCTGACCTCAAATGATCCATCTGCTTCAGCCTCCCAAAGTGCTGGGATTACAGGCATGAGCCACCACACCTGGCCTGAAATAATATCTTTCAAATTCTTTGTAGAATTTGTTTTTTCCTGATTTCTGCACATAGGATAAAAAAAAAATCATGTACTAGGATTTCGAGAGAAGCAATGGGTAATCTAAAAAGATGAAAAGAGCAACCACGTCAATCCCACAGCTACTGCTAGATTTCATAGGAAAGGTAGCTGGCCCAGTTTGGAGCTAGGGGAAATGTCAAACACATGAAGAAATGAGAAGCCAAGAAATGCCATCACGCATGAATGCTTCATGGCACCCATGATGTCCCTGCTAAGGAGGTAATGGTATAGATGACTAGATGACAAGGACAAAGATGAGAGGTGCGAAGTTGTCCAAGTCCAACAGCTCAACTGAACTTTCCTAAGTGGAATTGTTAAAAAGTGGTAAATTTAAAAACTTCCCCTGGCTCACGTGGTGGCTCACGCTTGTAATCCCAGCACTTTGGGAGGCTGAGGTTGGTGGATCATTTGAGGTCGGGTTTTGAGACTAGCCTGGCCAACATGGTAAAACCCCGACTCTACTAAAAATACAAAAATTAGCTGGGCATGGTGGTGGGCACCTGCAATCCCAGCTACTTGAGAGGCTGAGGCAGGGGAATCACTTGAAGCCAGGAGGTGGAGGTTGCAGTGAGCCGAGGTCACACCATTATACTCCAGCCTGGGCAACAGAAGGAGACTCGTCTTCGGGGTGAGAAAAGAAAAAAAAAAAAGAAAAAAGCTTCCTCCAATTTATACCGAAAATTCTCTGTTCAGGACTAAGTGGCATAGAGAATGTTAAATGTGCCTAGATATCTTCATAACTCATATATTTTCTGTTTTCTACATATCTTGAAAGGCAGTGCCAAATGACGTGTAATTATCTAGGTGGTAAAACTGAAACATACTTCCTCTTCCCTTGAATATAAAAAAGCATTGTGGTATTAGTACTTTTATCTTGGATCATTGTTCAGAAGGAGGTTCAGCCCCCAGACAACCACATTTTTACTGTCATGAATGGCAAGACAAAATGTAGAGCTCAACTTACCCAAAGGAAAAAAGGCTCAAAAGACAAATTATGGCACAACTTAGCAGCCAAATTCTTACCAAGTACAGACTTTTGACATACTGATCTCTCTCCAGTTCCAAGTCGGAACATGCACTTTGAATGATGTCATTCAAAATTACCCTGCCCAGACACACTTTTCATTGATTCTCTTGGAGGGCAGTTCTAAGAGTCTCTGGGGCTTTCTCTGCATCATGAGACGCAGTGCAGTTCTGCCCTTCACCTTCCGGCAGTTTGTCACCTCGTCCCTATGACCTCACAGGAACTTTGTCTCAGGCCAATTGTTTGTTCCTTGGCCTCTTTCATTTCCCCTAAAAATCATTTGCTGCCCCTCTAAATGGCCTACATCTCCATCTATCTCCCTCTCCCCTCAGAAGAGGGTGCTCTTTAAGCATCAGCCATCCGGCCCTTCTAGCAGTCTCATTTTTCAGCTGGTTCCCATGTTTATGCCTGTTCTATGTTTTTCTTTTCCTGTTAAGCTGTCTGTTGTCAGCTCATTTCTGCAGTGAATCTTCAGAGAGGAGATTGGAAGCTTTCCTTCCACCCATACGATAGAACTATAAAGCAGAAGAGTTTAGAAAGAATTTCCTATTTAAGTGACGAAACCTCATACTCCATTTGTGATAAATAGCACAAAGGTTAAAAAAACTTATTTTTGACCAAAAGCTCTGTTGACATTCTATTAAACAAACACCGACCTATTTAATTTTCATAATGCAAATGGCAGATGTTTTCATAATTCTTATACTAATAAATCATTTCCCTGATTTTTTGGGTAAAACCACATATTCATAATGAAGTCCAGAAATGTGAATTGTTTTATATAATTTATTCTTATTTGTGATTACAAGTATACCTCTACAGAAAGTTAGTATACTCACCCAAAGGTAAACTATCCAGAGGGTAATGACAACTTTATAACTTGTCGGAAATGCAATAATGACATGTAACCAAGGACTTCCACCAAAGTCAGTCCCACGATGATGATGGTCAGCCAGAGTATTGATAACCTGGAATAATAATAGTTGAAATAATGAAAAGGTCAATGACACTGACAATATTTCACTCAGAAAGAATCATCCTTAGAAACCGTCAACCTCCTCCAAAAGGTAACCACATCCCTCAGATATCACCGTGGGATTCCACTGCTACAAAAAAGAACAGAAGTTAGAAGTCACATGTTTTTCAGATGGCTGGTAGTGTTTTCAGGCATTGCAAATGTGGGGTGTTGTCTTTCTTGGTATAAAGCAGGGATATCCAATCTTTTGACTTCCCTGCCTATATTAAAAGAAGCAAAGTTGTCTTGAGCCACACATAACATACACTAACACTAACAATAGCTGATGATCTAAAAAAAACCTCTTTTTTTTTTTTGAGACAGAGTTCCGCTCCACTCAGTCGCCCAGGCTGGAGTGCAGTGGTGCAATCTCGGCTCACTGCAACCTCCAGCTCCTGGGCTCAAGCCATTCTCCTGCCTCAGCCTCCCGAGTAGCTGAGATTACAGGTCTCTGCCACCATGCCCGACTCATTTTTGTATTTTTAGTAGAGATGAGGTTTCACCATGTTGGCCAGTCTGGCCTTGAACTCCTGACAGGCGATCTGCCTGCCTCGGCCTCCCAAAGTGCTGGGATTACAGGTGTGAGCCACCGTGCCCAGCCATTTTTTTGTTTTTGTTTTTGTTTGTTGTTTTTGAGATGGGGTCTCACTCTGTCACCCAGGCTGGAGTGCAGTGGTGTGCTCCCGGCTCACTGCAACCTCTGCCTCTCAGGTTCAAGTGATTCTCCTGCCTCAGCCTCCTGAGTAGCTGGGAGTACAGGTGCCTGACAGTGCACTCAGCAAATTTTTGTATTTTTTGTGGAGATGGGGTTTTGCCATGTTGGTCAGGGTGGTCTCGAACTCCTGACCTCAGGTAATCTGCCCGCCTCAGCCTCCCAAAGTGCTGGGATTACACGCATGAGCCACTGTACCTGGCCAAAATCTCCTAATGTTTTAAGAAAGTTTACAAATTTGTGTTGAACTGCATTCAAAACTGTCCTGGGCCACATGCAGCCCGTCACTCATGGGTAAGACAAGCTAAGTATAAAGTAATTATCTTATCTTTTCTTTTCTTTTTGTTTTGAGACAAAGTTTTGCTCTGTCACCCAGGCTAGATTGCAGTGGCATGATCTCAACTCACTGCAACCTCCGCCTCCCGGGTTCAAGCGATTCTCCTGCCTCAGCTACTGAGTAACTGGGATTACAGGCGCCTGCCACCACGCTCGGCTAATTTTTGTATTTTTAGTAGAAACAGGGTTTCACCATCTTGGCCAGGCTGGTCTCCAACTCCTGACCTCATGATCCACCTGCCTTGGCCTCCCAAAGTGCTGGGAATACAGGTGTGAGCCACTGCACCTGGCCAGTAGTTATCTTTTCTTTAAAGTTATTTACTTGTTTTTTAAATTGATGTATAACATTGGATGCATTTATTATATATCACATGGTAAAAGAATCCCTCTAAATAATACTTCTCTCTTGGATTATATGAATCTTTGTCATTTAAATCTCAGCATAAGTAAAAAAAAAAAAAAATACAATGAAGAGATTACTTCATTCACAAATAAGTATCAAATTTTAGTGCTTAAAAATTAACAAGGTGGGCTGGGCGTGGTGGCTCACGCCTGCAATCCCAGCACTTTGGGAAGCCGAGGTGGGTGGACCACGAGATCAGGAGATTGAGACCATCCTAGCTAACACGGTGAAACCCGTCTCTACTAAAAATACAAAAAATTAGCAGGGCATGGTGGCACATGCCTATAGTTCCAGCTACTTGGGAGGCTGAGGCAGAAGAATCACTTGAACCCGGGAGGCAGAGGTTGCAGTGAGCCGAGATCGCACCACTGCACTTCAGCCTGGGTGACAGAGCGAGACTCTGTCTCAAAAAAAAAAAAAAAAAAAAAAAAAAAAAAAAAAAAAAAAAAAAAAATTATCAAGGTGGAGATCATGAAAATGGCATGAATAGTGTGGGATTTCTCTAAGATTGTTGATATTAATTCCATTAGACTCTTATGTGAGTGAAGACGAAGACTTCCCCTGAGTAAGTTCAGACAGCTTGTGATAACATTTCTACGTCGATTCCTCAGGATTTAACTATATATTCTTGAAAACATCTCAATTTTAAATGTTTCTTTCAAGATGGTGAATTAAACAGAGATAGCCCTTCAACAGGTTGAACTCAGCATATGCTGAGTCTGAAATGGAAATGATGAAGTTAGAGAACCATACAACAATGGTAATGATTTCAGAAACATGGTGTTGAGCAGAACAAAGCAGACACAAAAGAGTACCTATGGCATGGCATGCATCTGTATACGCGAAATTCCAGAATAAGCAAGCTAACCTATGATAAGAAAGAGACTGGCTGGGAAGACTGAGAGTTCACTTTCTGGGGTGACATAATAGTGTAGATCTTGGCTGGGCATGGTGGTTCACGCCTGTAATCCCAACGCTTTGGGAGGCCGAGGCGGGCGGATCACCTGAGGTCGGGAGTTCAAAACCAGCCTGACCAACATGGAGAAACCCTATCTCTACTAAAAATACAAAATTAGCTGGGAGTGGTGCCACATGTCTGTAATCCCAGCCACTCGGGAGGCTGAGGCAGGAGAATCGCTCGAACCTGGGAAGCAGAGGTTGCGGTGAGCTGATATTGCCCCATTGCACTCCAGCCTGGGCAACAAGGGAGAAACTGTCTCAAAATAAATAAATAAATAAATAAAATAATGTAGATCTTGAAAGGGGGTTGGTTTATGCTGGTGTATGTACTTTCCAAAGTTAGTAAACTTACACTTAAGGTTATATATTTTGGCCAGGCGCGGTGGCTCACGCCTGTAATCCCAGCACTGGGAGGCTGAGGCAGGCAGATCACGAGGTCAAGAGATGGAGACTATCCTGGCGAACATGGTGAAACCCCATCTCTACTAAAAACACAAAAATTAGCCAGGCGTGGTGGTCTACTAAAAATACAAAAATTAGCCAGGCGTTGTAATCTGAGCTACTCAGGAGGCTGAGGCAGGACAATTGCTTGAACCCCAGAAGCGGAGGTTGCAGTGAGCCGAGATCTTGCCACTGCACTCCAGCCTGGGCGACAGAGTGAGACTCTGTCTAAAAAAAAAAAAAAAAAAAAAAAAGTCATCAAACCAGATGACACAAATCAAATGACATTTCACTTTGTTTTGGTCCATTTTCTTTGTTAAAAACAAGAGTGCAGCGGGGCCATCTCGGCTCACTGCAACGTCCAGCTCCTGGGCCCAAGCGATCCTCCCACCTCAGCCTCTCCAGTAACTGGGATAACAGGTACGCACCACCAGGCCCGACTAATCTTTATTGGAATTTTTTGTAGAGATGGGGTTTCGCTATGATGCCCTGGCTAGTCTTCAACTCCTGGACTCAAGTGATCTGCCCACCTCGGCCCCCTAAAGTGCTGGGATTACAGGCCTGAGCTGTGTAATTTCATGCCACGTGATACAGCCCAGTAAAAAGGAAGAAACCCCACGGGTCCAGCGTCTACTCACAGAGATGCACTGATGGCTGATAAATTCCAGTAGGAGCCCAAAGAGGAGCCAAAAGAGCATCCACCGCACCCGCATGTCCTGGTCCTTTCAGGGCGCCCTGAGGCGGCCAGGACAGAGGTGGAGGTGGCTTAGGGCAGGGGGGAGGGAAGGGGACGGGGACCGGGGCCGGATCTGAGTTGGGGAGGGGAGGGGGAGGGGAGGGGGAGGGGAGGGGGAGGGGAAGGGGAGGGGAAGGGGGGAAGTAAGGGAAGGGAAAGGAGGAGAAGGGGGCTGTTGGGCACCTGGAGGAGGTGGAGGAGGAGGAGGAGAAGAAGAAAGGGGTCTGGGAAAGGATCCGGTTCAAATTAAGTTCTCAAGCGCTGGTGGAAGGTTTAGCTACAGGTCACGGAGAAGATCAGGGAAGCAACAGGACACGCGGGGCAAGGGAGCGTGAGGCTTAGGAGCAATCAGAGGGAGACAAAAAGGTTCTGCTATCCACCAAACCTTCTTCGGTCTGGGCCCTCCCTTACCAACCCTGGGGCTTTATACTCCCTCTCCACCAATCCCTGATGACCCCGGTGGTGCCTCACAATGGACAGTGCCTCACAATGGACAATGCCAAGTAGCGCCCGCATCATTCCAATGACCCCTCCCCCATCTCAGTCTCCCACACTCCTCCCAAAGACAGGTCCTCTCTGGAACCTTCACAAACCTGATTTCTGGTCCTCCCCAACCAGCTCCCTGTCCCTGCTTCTGGGCGCTCCTTCCTTCCTGAGCTCCCAGGGTTCCTCAAGGTCACTTATGGCGACAAAACATAAAAAACAAATGATGGCAGGATGGCAGGAAGAACCTCATACCCAAGCAGAGTGCCAGGTTTTACAGCCTCCGCTCAGCCATTCATATCCTAAGCAACAAAACATCAGCAGGGTGCGGAAGGTCCCGATAGTAAACCATCTCCATCACATCCATGTAGCCATCCGTCCATCAACCTGTATCTCGGGAACAAATGTAGATACATTCATTTTAAGCATGCCTGGTACATTTACAAAAATTAACCTGACTTATTTTGTTCCAGCAAATCTCAATATATTTGAGAGCAATCAAATCACACAGCATGTTTCTGATCATATAACTGTGCTAGAAGTCAATGATTAAAAGCTAATTCAAAATTATTATTTGCTTGGAAATTCAAAGTGCCCTTATAAGACATAAACATAAGAAAGAATCCAAAATGAAACAAGATTGCCTTTCAACTCAATGATGAGATCATAACATGGCAATAAAATGTCTCCCTCTGGCCTGGGAATTCCTCTTTGTGGCACAAGGTTGTGTGATCTCAAATCACCGCTAACCCACCTAGACATTTTAACATCCGAAACCGAGTGATGACGTCCTTATCTATATCATCTTACTGCCTGTGTGTGTGGACTTTAAATTCTGAACCCAAATGAGGGGGAGAAAACCAAGTTGACTTTCATGACTGAGCTCTCAGGGACGTCCAAGGAATCTGTGCATTTCAAGAAACAAAGTTCATCAGCTTCTCTCCTAAGGTATTTGCCCACAATACCCAGAGGGCTTGGCAGCATCATGTGTGATGGGTGGGGAGCTCCAAGCAGGTGGGCAGGACCCAGGGGCCTGGTGACCAGGACAGACCCCCACTGTCCATCACCTTTCCTGGCCCTGTCCTCTGCTAAACTTCCCACAGGCCTTCTGCCCGATCACACAGAGTATGCCCAAACTCTCTCAGGCCTCTGGCAGCTGAAAACCACTGCTTTAAATCCCTTTACCATTTACTATGACATAAGGTTATTGTAAACAGGAAATATTCTATTGATGCTACAAATGGAAAGCCAATGCCTTTACCATAAATAGAAAAACAACCCTAAGAAGCAAGCAAAACAAAAACAAAACAGGGGCTGGGTGTGGTGGCTCACGCCTGTAATCCCAGCACTTTGGGAGGCCGAGGTGGGCGGATCACAAGGTCAGGAGTTCCAGACCAGCCTGGCCAATATGGTGAAACCCTGTCTCTAATAAAATACAAAAATTAGCCGGGTGTGGTGGTGGGCGCCTGTAGTCCCACCTACTTGGGAGGCTGAGGCAGGAGAATAGTTTGAACCCGGGAGGCAGAGTCTGCAGTGAGCCGAGATTGCACCACTGCACTCCAGCCTAGGCGACAGAGCGAGACTCTGTCTCAAAAACAGCAACAACTACAAACAAACAAAAAACAGGGTTAACAAAAGTATGGAATTCAATTCTTTTTATATGCTGCAGCCATGTTCCTGCCCTAGATTTGGCTGGGCATGGTGGCTCACGCCTGTAATCCCAGCACTTTGGGAGGCTGAGGCAGGCGGATCACGAGGTTAGGAGTTCGAGACCAGCCTGACCAACATGGTGAAACCCCGTCTCTACTAAAAATACAAAAATTAGCCAGGCATGGTGGCACACGCCTGTAATCCCAGCTACTCAGGAGGCTGAGGCAGGACAATCCCTTGGACCCGGGAGGCGGAGGTTGCAGTGAGCCGAGATCGTACCATTGCACTCCAGCCTGGGTGACAGAATGGAATGAGACTCTGTCTCAAAAAAAAAAAAAAAAAAAAGCAGCCCTAGATTTCGGTTGTGGTGGTTGTAAAAGGAGAGACCAAGTAAGTGGGGGTTGAAGTCAGATTAGAGCAAAAGTGAATGGCAGAGAGTACTATAATGTCCATGAAGGGCTGCTAGAGTCACCGTGATCATAGCCCAAGCAGAGATAGGGAAAGGAAGATGTGAGCAGAGTTTGGGGTCTCGAACAATGGAGGTTATTCGTGCAGCCCAGGAAAGGCTCCCCAAAGCCAGGATCAACCTCCCTTGGAGGCGGTCCCTCATGGAGGCATGGTCAGGCACCTTAGATTTGAGACCAGCTATGTTGCTGCTGACCAGCTGTGTGACCCTGGGCTGGTTTCCTTCCACACAATGGGAGTGCCAATGGCTGCATGCATGCAAAGACCGTCTGAGGATAGGAGGAAGCAATCTGTTGAGCACCCGTGTACCTGAGTGTCATCACCTCCCAAGGGCATCCTTCGTTCCAGAGCTGGCACCTTGGAAGGCCCTTGGTCACTGAAGGCAGTGATGATGGTAACAGCAGTAAATCATCATTTACGGCTGATGAGGGAAGGCCAGGGGTAGGGCTCCTAGGTCCTGGATAAGAATGAGGGTCTGGGCACTCCTGGGGACAGCTGAGTGGTAGGACTCCTGGGTCCCCAGGGGGCAGGTCCATCTTCAGTGGCATTGGGCCTAGGCTGGGATGCTGAGTTATCCACTGGAGCATCAGCAGTACAGGCAGGCACAGAGGCAGTGGATCCATCGGAGGTGGCAGGTGTAGGATCGTCTGGTGAGCAAGTAGAGTCACCAAATCTGGCTGACCACTACCCCCACTACCCCCACTATCCCCACAGACGATGCCCTGTCCCTTGCCTCATGCTCCGGCAGGGTACAGGCTCGCACCTGGGGCCTCAAGGAGCATCTCTCTAAGACCTCTGTGTCCTGGTCATTGAATGGGCACTTGAGTCACCCAGGGCCATTGGAACAAAGAGGAAGAATCAGGCCCCACGATGTTTTGGGAGAGTGTTTAGCACAGGAAAATGCGCAGAATACACGCACGACACGGGGGCACTGTCAGTGTGGGAGCAATGGTTTACAACCTCCAGCCCTAATCTGAGCACTCTCACCTGTGCAATCTGAAAGGAACAGGAGACTTGCAGGAAAGACAGTGCCTGGATTTAACTTAAAGGAACTAAAAATGTTGGAATTTTTACTCTTGATATCCTTCCAAATCAACTCTCTCAATGTTCCCATCCTCAAAACTATCATATGGGGTAACTGAGGCAGTCAGAGATTTACTGACTCAATGTCACTCAATTGATTCTGAGTTCACTGCTGATTACATCCGACCAAACTGCTTTTTCTGAAGTCTACTCCGTTTAATCATGCTGGTGATGATTTTGTGCGGCTCTGGGACAAACTCCACCTGGCTGAAGATAAAGCAAATCTGCGGTGACTTAGTCCTCCTGTCATTTCCCATCAGTTCCCCACTCTCCTCCTCTGCCCCTCCACAGTCTCCCATGCAGGCTGACACCATATGACGGCCTTAATGGAGTCCACCGAGTATTTCAGGTTCTCTCCTGGGCCACTTGAAAGTGGATGTACCCATGGGATTTGCTTTGACCCAGGAGATGTGCGTGGAAGTGAAGCGTGTCACCTCGAGGCAAAAGAGTTGGGAGCCATTGAGACGGGCCACTCTCTCCTTCATCTCTTAGAGCAGCTGACAGCTCCCATATGGAGGCTGCTCCTTTATTCTCGTGGCAGGATGAGGGCATGTGGGGCACAGGGCACAGGAGAGCCATGGAGGATGTGCAGCATGGGCAGGAAAAGAGCCTTCAGTGGTGTACATTTCCATAGTTTGGGGCTGTTTCTTACCTACAGTGATACCTAGCCCATCCTAGCAGGCATGCACCATCTACTCCACACTCTGTGATGCAGACTAGCCTGCCGTCAGAACACGAACTGGTGGTCAGACACAGGTAGGTTTCAGTTCCAGCTCTGCCTCTTATTGACTGCAACCTCAGGCTTAACTTTCAGTCTCTGAGCCTCAGTTTCAACTCTGTAAAATGAGGTGGCTATACCATCTCAGGTTGCAGAGAGAATTAAATGAAATATAAGTGCATGTAGAGCATTGAACCCAGGGCCTGGCACACACAGTGAGTACACAATGTTAGCCAGGTAGCTTCATAATGCATACTGATTGTCAATATTCAGACAATGCAGTAAAGTGTTACCAAAAATAAAAGTAAACTTATTTGCATATGTATTCTTTCAATCTTTATTTTTAAACAGGGTAAAACTATGCATATTCTTTCATAGCCAGTGTTTTTCTCTTCATAGTATATTGTTAAAATAATTTTACTTGGACCGGGTGCAGCGGCTCACACCTATAGTCCCAGCACTTTGGGAGGCCGCGGTGGGCAGATCACGAGGTCAGGAGTTGACACGAGCCTGGCCAATATGGTGAAACCCCATCTCTACTAAGAATACAAAAATTAGCTGGGCATGGTGGCACACACCTGTAGTCCCAGCTACTCAGAGGCTGAGGCAGAGGAATTGCTTGAACCCGGGAGACAGAGGTTGCAGTGAGCCAAGATTGTGCCATTGCACTCCAGCCTGGGGGACAGAGTGAAACTCTGTCTCAAAAAATATGTGTGTGTGTGTGTGTGTGTGTGTGTGTGTGTGTGTGTGTGTGTGTGTGTGTGTGTGTATCTATATAAATCTCAAAAATAAAAGATCATTTTTGAGATTATCATTTTAAAAGACAAGATAATGTTCAACTTAATGACTAATTTAATTATTACTATTGGACTTTTTGTAGACTGCACAGAGCATTCAAAACAAATGAAGGAGAATAAAAAATATGTATTACATGTTATAAAATAAATGTGATGTGGTTAACTCTTTTATTCAAAGTTATAGAACATACATATGTACTATAGAATGTATTATTATGAGTCATGTTAAAAAGTAGTTTAGAAGCTGTTGATTTGAATTTCCTTTTCAAATTTTGCAGGATAATTTTTTTTTTTTTTTTTTGACAGAGTCTCGCTCTGTCGCACAGTCTGGAGTGCAATGGCGTGATCTCGGCCCACTAAAACCCCCACCTCCTGAATCTAAGCAATTCTCCTGTCTCAGCCTCCTGAGTAGCTGGGACTACAGGCTCACACCACCATGCCCGGCTAATTTTTGTATTTTTAGTAGGGACGAGGTTTTGCCATATTGGTCAGGCTGGTCTCAAAGTCCTGGCCTCCGGTGATCCACCAGCCTCAGCCTCCCAAAATGCTGGGATTAGAGGCATGAGTCACCATGCCCAGCCTAAACTTGGCAAGATAATAAATCACCTTTTTAAGTGTCGTTGGGCACTTGTCTGGTTGTTTTTCTTTAGGTTACCATGCCAGCAATGATTCCTTTTGAGTTTCTGACAGAAGATAGTGGTTTTCATCCAAATAAGTCAACTACTCTACCCCATCCCTAAGCCACTTGTATGGAAAGAAAAAGAGGAAGAAGCCAGTACTGTGACTGCGTAAGCTTCCCCCAGCATCACCGGCTATGAGATGTGTGGCAGCTGAGACCCGGGAACTGCTCAAGGGCACCAGGCCCCATCTGTCTGCACTCACTCACCTTCCTCAGGTACTCGCATGGGCATGTCACTGACTTTACATGCTGCTGCAGCTCCTTGGTGAGCTGGCCCTGGTCATGGGACAGGAACTGTGGGGTCAGGACAATAGAGAGCTTCACCATTTGCAGAATGAGAACAGGGGCTCATGATGAGTGCCAACCTATTAGATAATTTAAAAAAAAAAGTGTTGAATGAGTGGAAAAACAAGGTGATGTTTGAGTCTATAGTGGTCAAGGGCTTCAGAAAAGGACAGAACCAAGTTCAAATTCCTGTACTTTGAATTTCTACTTCATGCCATGCAAAATTACTTTACCCCTTTTAACCTCAGTTTTCTTCTGTGTGAAACAGGAACAATAGTTTCATTCGTCATTCAGTTTCTCTCAAGATTTCACGAGATCATACCTATAAAACATCCAAGTCATTTAAATGTATCATCATTTCTGTCATAATTAGTGGGATCCATTTCACTATTATTGGATATACAGTTCTGTGCCTGAAACCTACAAAAAAACAAAATGTTAAGTCTAAAAAGCATTAGTGATTTCTCATTTTTATATTACTAATTATAACCCTATTTAATCACACAAGGCCTTGTCCGCGGCAGGTGCTCAATAAACACTTGTCGAATCAATGCATGTGGGCTCCGGAGCCACACTGTTTAGATTCTATTCTGCCTCCACCACTTATCAGCTGTGTGATCTGGGTAAGATAATTCACCTCTTTATGTCTGCACTTCCCTCTCCATAAACTATATATAATGAGAATCCTTAGCTCATTCGGTTGTGGTGAGGGGTGAATGATTTGGCACACAGGAGGGGCTTGTTAAACATTAGCTGTGATGATCTCCTTCCAAATCTTCATTTTCAGAGCCACAGATGAGGCCATAGTGCAACCAGGTGACCTTAGAGTGTAAGTACACATGATCGCCAGCTATGCTCTATCTCCACCATAGGTCCAAGACTGGGTAGTTCTGGCCTGGAGGTTTCTGCTGCATCTGCCTTCTCAGTGTTCACCTAAGGACTTTTGTATTTTCCTCCTCGCATCCCCACAGATGGGGTTCAGGCTGCCGGACACAGCTGGGTGATGCCAGGGCAGTGGTCACCTGTGCCAGCCCCGTGAGGTAGCTGGAGGATCATTGTTCCTTCCTTCTCGGGCTCTGGGCAGATGCCAGGGCTGGGGTGACCCATGCCCTCAAGTTTCTTGCTTTGGTGGGCCACATTTTCCCTTGGCAAAGAGGGTAAAGGTCACAGGATGCCGGAGAGCTGTGACTTCTCTGTGCCCTGGGCCCAAACTATGAAGACCTGACACACTATGCTAAAAGTCCAACGCTGGGTGCTCCCCAGAGCTTCTTGCCTCACCGCTTCTGCTGAGGGAGGAATGAATACTATGTCCTCCCAGAGCTTTGGGAGCTTGTAGCAAGCAGCCTCCCCAGCGCAAAATCTCTTGGAAACCTCTAACTGTGTCTGAAACATTAGTGCAAATGTTGCATCCTATTTCCCATATGTCCGCATGTTTTAGAAAAAAACCCTCAATTTCCTAAATATGCAAGAAAAATCGGTATTGTAGGACAATGTGACTTTTTAAAGAATGTTATTTAAAAATCTTCCCCACCTCCTTTTCTGCCCTCCAAGACTGCCAAATACTTGTTGAACATATATTATTAAATGCCTACTACATGCCAGCCATGATTCATGGTCTTGGGGACACAGCAGAGAACGAACTGACAGGACTCCTCTCTTATGTAACTCACATTCTTATATGATAATGATAAGGGTTAACATTAATTAAGCTGTCACTGCATGTTAGTCACGGTGCAGTCATTCCCACACATTATTACACTTAAACCTGCTAGCAAGCTTGCAAGGTAGTTAGTTGTTTTTCCTTTAAAAACTGAGTCTCGGAATGATGAAGCACTCTGTCCAATGTCACACAGCTAGTAAGTGTGGAGACCTTGCATCCAATCAATGCCCGTCTCATTCTAAAGGCCATGTTATGTGTTCTCCAGCCCATGGAGAATAATTTTAACACAGTCAATGAAATTTCTACACAACAATGTTCTTGTCTCAAGTCCAAGAATGCCTCCTACACCTCCTATAATACTGGCTTTCTGGTGAGTAAAGATGCCATTCTCATGTGTAATCAGGTGGCAAATGGAGATATGACCAAAGTAACCACCTGCCTACACTCATAACCCTGTACACACTCTTCCTGTGTCGATTCAATTCAAGTACCCCTTTTGATCACTTAGCAAATCTGACCTTTAAAAGGGTTAGGGTTTTTATATCCATGTAAGTTTCTGTATTGCTTTGGAAGTCTCTGGTTAAATTAATACTCTTTTAATAGTGACCTGTGATTCTGTTTTGATCAAGTGTTTTCAAACTTGACATCTTTGATGGGTTTCTCCAGTGTCAAAATCCTAAATCAAGTCTTTTTGGCTTAAAACTAACTTTGGGATTTTTTTCAGCTGCATCCCTTGGGGAGTCTAAAGAATGTATCTCTCATCTTGTAGAGGTATTAAGTGATTCGATTTATTTGGTAGATTAAATGGGCAGGCATTGTCAAATGTGGCGATACTGCATGGGAGGGCACTGTCAAGTGAGGTGACATTAGATCTCATCTCAGTTATATTTATGGGTATGTTGTTGATATGCGTGTTCCAAAAATTGCATACATTTATACAAATTTAATATGATTTGTAATTTTGATAGTTATGCTAAATATTTGCTAAAGTTATATTTGTATAAACATGTCACGAATGGCTGGGCACTGTCACTCATGCCTGTAATCCCAGCACTTTGGGAGACAAAGGCACGTGGATCACCTGAGGTCGGGAGTTCCAGACCAGCCTAATAGAGTGAAACCCTGTCTCCACTAAAAATACAAAAATTAGCCATGCCTGGTGGCACATGCCTGTAATCTCAGCTACTCGGGAGGCTGAGACAGGAGAACTGCTTGAACCCAGGATGCGGAGGTTGTAGTGAGCCGAGATCATGCCACTGCACTCCCGCCTGGGTGACAAAGGTAGAATCTATCCAAAAAAAAAAAAAAAAGTTATTATTTCTGAAGATTGTATGAAATTTATAAAAGTCTGCTGGCCCTGATATGATGCTGTCAGTCATGATTCTGATTACTGTCTTAAAATGCTGCACATAAGTAATTAAATTTCCTTGTGAACTGGGAAGTTTCATCAGACTTTTATCATAACTATTGTTTCCATCATCCACAGTTACTGTTTTGAATTCTTCTCTAAAAATATTTGTAATTGGCAATAGTCCAAATTTTCTTTTGTTTTCTTTCCTGTTTTTGAGACACAGTCTGGCTCTGTCGCCTAAGCTGGAGTGCAGTGGTGGGATCTCGGCTCACTGCAAACTCTGCCTCCCGGGTTCACGCCATTCTCCTGCCTCAGCCACCCAAGTAGCTGGGACTACAAGTGCTGCCACCACATCCAGCTAATTTTTTGTATTTTTAGTAGAGACAGGGTTTCACTGTGTTAGCCAGGATGGTCTCAATCTCCTGACCTCGTGATCTCCGCGCCTCGGCCTCCCAAAGTGCTGGGATTACAGGTGTGAGCCACCGTGCCCAGCCTAATTTTTGCATTTTTAGTAGAGAGGAGGTTTCACCATGTTGGCCAGGGTGGTCTCGATCTCCTGACCTTGTAATCCGCCTGCCTCAGCCTCCCAAAGTGCTGGGATTACAGGCGTGAGCCACTGCAACTGACTTTTTTTCTTTTTTTTTTTTTTTTTTTTGAGACAGAGACTCACTCTGTCACCCAGGCTGGAGTGCAGTGGCATGATTTTGGCTCACTGCAACCTCCACCTCCTGAGTTCAAACAATTATCCTGCCTCATCCTTCGGAGTACCTGGGATTACAGGTGCGTGCCACCGTGCCCGGCTCATTTTTGTATTCTTAGTAGAGACGGCATTTCACCATGTTGGCCAGGCTGGTCTCAAACTCCTGGCCTCAACTGATCCACTCTCATTGGCCTTCCAAGGTGCTGGGATTATAGGCGTGAGCCACCACAACTGGCTCAGTAAATACATTTTTTATTATCAAAAAAGAGTAGTGTATGGTTGGCGTATTCTGTGTAGAATGTATTTTATTGATGTCTCCTATTTTTATAATTTCTGAGTTAAGTACTTTTTAATTAATGCTTTTTAGTTTTGGGCAGATTCAGTTGACTAAAGCACCTCATTTCCCAGATACATGAAATAAAATATTTGGCTTCTTTTCCAATTTCACACTGATGTTATTTTGTGAAAATCAGTGCTTTAAGATAAATCGTTATACGTTAAGATAAACATGAGAAACTTGATCTAATATTTAATAGTTATTCAGTTCTACACTTTATTAACTTCTACACCAGCAGATTTAGACATTATGTAACCATCTCAAGAAGTTTCACTTGGATGTAATGCTTCACGCTTGTAATCCCAGCACTTTAGGAGGCTGAGGTGGGAGGACTGCTTAAGGCAAGGAGTCTGAGACCAGCCTGGGCAATACAGCAAGATCCCATCTCTATTTTAAAGAAAAGTTTCACTTTGGGAGGCCAAGGCGGGTAGATCACAAGGTCAAGAGATCGAGACCATCCTGGCTAACATAGTAAAACCCCATCTCTACTAAAAATATAAAAAATTAGCCGGGCGTGGCGGTGGGCGCCTGTAGTCCCAGCTACTCGGGAGGCTGAGGCAGAAGAATGGCGTGAACCCGGGAGGCAGAGCTTGCAGTGAGCTGAGATTGCGCCACTGCACTCCAGCCTGGGCGACAGAGCGACACTCCATCTCAAAAAAAAAAAAAAAAAAAAGTTTCGGCAAATTCCATCTAAGAATTCCACCAGAGTTCTGTTGTCTCCAATGTCATCTTCCACAGATTTCAAGTTGTGAAGCCCTGAACTGTTAATTTATCTTGAGAATGTATATTTAAGCTTAATTTAAGACTATATACCTAAAAATTGAGCATGTAATTTCTATAATTTGTTTATGTAAGTTTCTGTAAGTCATAAGTATGTGGTTTCCAAGTGTATAATTTATCTGAATGTAATAGGCATTAATATATTTTACATTACTGGGACCATAGTACAGAAATTTCTAAATGGTTTGTAAAATAACTTGTTATTTGTGTTGTTGTAAAAGCAGTTAATACAATGGAAAAACTCGTAATAAGAAGATACAGTTTAACATCAAAAAGTTTACCCAAGGTAATTATGAGTACTACCTGGCAAAACTTCACGGAAGCTGTGGTATCACTTTTATGATGGAAGAATGGTGTTTGCATTTTGTGTAAAAGTACTTGCGGCTGGGCGTGGTGGCTCATGTCCCAGTGCTTTGGGAGGCGAAGGCAGGTGGATCATCTGAGCCCAGGAGTTTGAGACCAGCCTAGGCAACGTGGCAAGAGCCTGTCTCTCCAAAACCTACAAAATTTAGCCAAGCTTGGTGGTGTGAGCCTGTAGTCCCAGCTACTTGGGAGACTCACGCTGGAGGATCTCTCGAGCCCAGGAGGCAGAAGATGAATAAATAAATGGAAGCAACTGAATGGGATGAGGTCTCTCTTGAAGGAGAGAGCAAAAGAGATTTAAATAGTAACAATTATAATAAGGCTGGGCGCTGTGGCTCACGCTTGTAATCCCAGAACTTTGGGAGGCCAAGGCAGGCGGATCGGTTGAGGTCAGGAGTTCAAGACCAGCATGGCCAACACGGTGAAACCCTGTCTCTATTAAAAATACAAAATTAGCCGGACATGGTAGTGCGTGCCTGTGGTCTCGGCTACTCAGGTGGCTGAGACAGGAGAATCGCTTGAACCTGGTAGGCACAGGTTGTAGTGAGCCGATAAATATAAAAAGTATTAGAGTACTAACAGAGGAAAGTTTCCACTGATCACCTTTTAGCTTTAAATAATGCAGAAGCATTTGCCCAGTTTACTTGTAATTAAAAATCATGCATCATTCACAATTTATATCTTTTTTGTTTGTACAAAAATGAACACAAGTTATTCTCTTTTATCTGTATTGTGATTGGTTTGGTGAGAGGGAATTAGGCCACTTGAGAGTTTGTGTGTGTTTACAATTTTCTGGCCAGGCACGGTGGCTCATGCCTGTAATCCCAGCACTTTGGGAGGCCAAGGCGGGCGGATCACTTGAGCTCAGGAGTTCGAGACCAAATTGGGCAACATGGTGAAACCCTATCTCTACGAAAAATACAAAAATTAGCTGAGTGCCGTGGCTTGCGCCTGTCCTCCCAGCTACTTGGGGGGCTGACGCAGTAGGATCGCTCAAGCCCAGGAGGTGGAGGTTGCAGTGAGCCAAGATCACGTCACTGCACTCCAGGAAGGGCAACAGAGCAAGACTCCTTCTAAAAAAAAAAAAAAAGAAAGAAAGAAAAGAAAATTAACTTTGGTATTTCAGGTTGTATTTAAATGGAGACTTAACATGAACTATGTTCATAACACTTGATCAAATTAAGTGTAGATCGTCTCTTTAATAAAGAGATCATCTGGAACTGCAATTTCTAACTCATACATCATTGCTACAAACCTTATTTGTTTACTGTTTCTCTTCCAGGGACCATCAGTCATCCTTTAAAATTCATTTCAAGCTCTGAAAAGATATTTTTTGTTACATGGGCAATTTACTTTTAGTACAGTAAAATGTTATGTGAATTTCTACAGTATGTTTGCCAAAATGAATTATATCTAGAATACGCTTAACAATATATTCTGGAGGCAGCTTTCATTTGAAATTAGGTTCACCTTCTGAGAGTATGAAAAAGTTAATGGGTTTTTGTGCCTGAAGATTTTGATGTTGCATTTGGCTACATTTAATCCACTTTCACCCATAAGTTTTAGCATCTAAAAAAATTAAATCACTGCTAATGCAATTAAAATGCATTATGAAATGCACTTCTGTCCAGGCTGGAGTGCAGTGGCACAATCTCGGCTCACTGCAAGCTCCGCCTCCCTGGTTCACACCATTCTCCTGCCTCAGCCTCCCTAGTAGCTGGGACTACATGTGCCCGCCACCACGCCCGGCTAATTTTTTTTTTTTTTTTTTTTTAATGAGGCGGAGTCTCGCTCTGTTGACCAGGCTGGAGTGCAATGGCATGATCCTGGCTCACTGCAACCTCTGCTTCCTGGGTTCAAGTGATTCGCCTGCCTTGCTGGGATGACAGACGTGCACCACAATGTCCGGCTAATTTTGTATTTTTAGTAGAGACATGGCTTCACCATACTGGCCAGGCTGGTCTTGAACTTCTGACCTCAGGTGATCCCACCTTGGCCTCCCAAAGTGCTGGGATTACAGGCATGAGCCACTGTGCCCAGCTTAAGATCTCTGTTTTAATGTTAATGCTGGTCAGTTGTGTCTGGATTCCAGAGGGAGGAAGGTAGAATGAGGCATGTTGACACCTCCCCTTCCCATCATGGCCTAAGCTGGTCTTTTCAGTTTACTTTGGAATGTCCTTGCTCAACAGGAAGGGTCCATTCAGTCGGATTGGGTGGCTTAGAATTTTATTTTTGGTTTACATCTCAACTATCACAGCAGCCGGGCGCGGTGGCTTCACAGCTGTAATCCCAGCACATTGGGAGGCTGAGGCAGGGGTATCACCTGAGGTCTGGAGTTCTAGACCAGCCTGACCAACATGGAGAAACCCCCCGTCTCTACTAAAAATACAAAATTACCCGGGCGTGGTGGTACATGCCTGTAATCCCAGCTACTCGGGAGGCTGAGGCAGGAGAATCGCTTGAACCTGGGAGGCGGAGGTTGTGGTGAGCTGAGATCGTGCCACTGCACTCCAGCCTGGGCAACAAGAGCGAAACTCTGTCTTAAATAAATAAATAAATAAATAAACAAACAAACAAACAAACAAACTATCACAGCATAAAGTAGGAATATTTCGTTACTGTCTAGTTAAACTGGTTAATGCAGAAAGGAAGTCTGGTAATTCCAGTTTTAAAGTAAAATTTTGGACATTGTAGGATTGATTATTTGGCATAGTTGTGATGTTTGTTCCTGCGTTATGGTTTTGTTGGCAGGGCAGCCTTTAAGGACCTGTATATTTTCTTCTAGACTCTATATATTCCCTGTGAGTATTAGTTGTATGGTCAAACTGGCAAATTTTACCATAGGTATAAATAATAGAGAATGTGGAAGAATAGTGAATAGTGTCAGAGATAGTTAAAAGTCCATACAATAGTAGAGAAGGTAGTAAGTAATAGTGGCTTGGACTAAATATTTGTTGAATAAATGTTTTAAAAAACAGGCTACCTACAATTTGTGTTGAAGATATGAATGAATGAAGTTTCCACACCTTTATGTGGAGACCTGATAAGTAAGCAACAATAAGGAAGGGTCCCCAGGTTGGGGAGAGCCCCAAGTTGAGAACAATAATGAACAATTATTGTATGAACAATTGTTAGAGACAGCTAATCACAAACAACCTGCGGGCACAATGACCTCATTCCACACGTAGCACCCTTCAGCAGGACCCTATAAAACTTTCCTCCAGCCCTTGCCTCTTTGCAGGTAGCCCCTTCTCTGCTGAGCTGCCCACTGCAACATATTTTCACAATTTCTCTAATAAATCTGCCCTTCTTTACCCACAACTATCTTGGTAAATGGCTTTACCACCTGCAAAACTGACCCTAGGTTGTTGCTACCCGATATGGTTTGGCTGCGTCCCCACCCAAATTTCATCTTGAATTGTAGTTCCCATAATCCCCATGTGTCGTGGGAGGGACCCGGTAGGAGGTAATCGAATCATGGGGGCAGGTTTTTCCCATACTGTTCTCGTGATAGTGAATACATCTCACTAAATCTGATGGTTTTATAAAGGGCAGTTTCCCTGCACGTGCTCTCTTGCCTGCTGCCATGGAAGACATACCTTTTTGCTCCTTCTTTGCCTTCCACCATGATTCTGAGGCCTCTCCAGCCTTGTGGAACTGTGAGTACATTAAACCTCTTTTTCTTTATAAATTACCCAGTTTCCAGTATTTCTTCATAGCAGTATGAAAAGTAACTAATACACTACCCGAGACATCTTAGGAGATTTGTAATAGCTGTAATGCCAGGTCCACCATATTTTTAGCATAAAGCAAATGTTTACGCGTGATATGACTGCACGGGCTTTCTTTCAGCTGGAGCCATAGCAACTCAAGTAGTAACCCTATCTTAGTCTGATTAAAAGTAAATATTAGTCTGGGCATGGTGGGACATGCCTGTAATCCCAGTACTTTGGGAGGCTGAGACAGAAGGATTGCTTGAGCCCAGGAGTTTGAGACCAGCCTGGGCAACATGGAAAAACACCATCTCTACAAAAAATACAAAAATTAGCTGAGCTGGTGGCACACACCTGTAGTCCCAGCACCTTGGGAGGGTGAGGCAGGAGGATCTCTTGAACCCGGGAGGTGGAAGCCGCAGTGGGCAATGATCATGTCAGAGGTGTGTGAACCAGAGCAACTCCATCTTAAATAGGAGCCGGGAAAAATGAGGCTGAAACTACTGGGCTGCATTCCCTGATGGTTAAGGCATTCTAAGTCACAGGATGACATAGAAGGTCAGCACAAAATACCAGTCATAAAGACCTTGCTGATAAAACAGGTTGCAGTGAAGGAGCTGGCCAAAACCCACCAAAACCAAAATAGAGACAAGACTGACCTCCCATCATCCTCCCTGCTACACTCCTACCAGCACCATGACAGTTTACAAATGCCACGGCAACATCAAGAAGTTACCCTATATGGTCTAAAAAGAGGAGGCATGAAAAATCCACTCCTTGTTTAGCATATCATCAACAAATAACCATAAAAATGGGCAACCAGCAGCCCTCACGGCTGCTCCGTCTATGGGGTAGCCATTCTTTTATTCCTTTACTTTCTCTCTTTTTTTTTTGAGATGGAGTCTCCCTCTGTCACCCAGGCTGGAGTGCAGTGGCGCGATCTCGGCTTACTGCAAGCTTCGCCTCCCGGGTTCATCCCATTCTCCTGCCTCAGCCTCCAGAGTAGGTGGGACTACAGGCACCCGCCACCACACTTGGCTAATTTTTTTGTATTTTTAGTAGAGATGAGGTTTCACCGTGTTAACCAGGATGGTCTTGATCTCCTGACCTCGTGATCCACCTGTCTCGGCCTCCCAAAGTGCTGGGATTACAGGAGTGAGCCACCGTGCCCCTCCTCCTTTACTTTCTTAATAAACTTGCTTTCACTTCACACTGTGGCATCACCCTGAATTCTTTCTTGCACAAGATCCAAGAACCCTCTCTTGGGGTCTAGATTGGGACCCCTTTCCTGTAACTATCATGCTACTGCACTCCAGCCTGGGCAACAGAGCAAGGCCCTGTCTCAAAAAAAAAAAAAAAAAAGGAACATGACTTAATACATTCATTTTGGAGGGTAAGTCTCTCAAAATAGGCCTTTCACTGGGGGAAAATGGTAAAAATACTCCCTGGTAATTCAAGAATTGGAGACTCCTGAGATGCTGCTCATATTAGCTGAGCACTTATCAATACTTCACTTTTTTCCATATATACTCAAGGAACAAGTGCTATTTAAAGTGTTTCACTCCACTGTGCTAGGTGCAAGACTATAAAGAGGTGTGAGGATCAACACTTTTATGAAAACCAGTGTCATTCTGGATATAGTTTCAGATGCTAGTGCAAAGGAAGCTCTTGGTATACGGAAAAAGTATTCAACAATAAATTAGGCATGGTTGCTTCCATTTTCTGCCTCACATACTTTTTTTTTCGTGGTTGAAGTGATATAATGTCTATGATATTTTAGATTGGCAGTTGCAAACTAGTGGTCCTCAGCGTGCTTTTTATGACACCTACAAGGTCTGAAGACTTTGATTTCATATTAAAAATCTGGGTTTCAGGCTGGGTGTGGTGTTGCATGCCTGTAATCCCAGCACTTTGGGAGGCTGAGGCAGGAGAATCGCTTGAACCAGGGAGGTGGAGGTTGCAGTGAGCCAAGATCGCGCCACTGCACTCAAGCTTAGGCAATAGAGCAAGACTCCATCTCAAAAAATGAATAAATAAATAAATAAAATCTGGGTTTCAGGCCAGGTGTGGTGGTGCACTCCTGCAATCCCAGCACTTTGGGAGGCTGAGATGGGCAGACAGCTTGACCTCAGGAATTCCAGACTAGCCTGGGCAACGTGGCGAAACCCCATGTCTACAAATAATACAAAAAAATTAGCTGGGTGTAGTGGAGTGTGCCTGTAATCCCAGCAACGTGGGAGGCTGAAGTGAGAGGATTGCTTGAGCCTGGGAGGTTGATGTTACAGTGAGCTGAGATCGCCCTCCTACACTCCAACCTGGGCAACAGAGCCAGACCTTGTCTTAAAAAAAAAAAAAAAAAAAAAAAAAAATTCTGGGTTTCTGGCATCTCAAAAAAAAAAAAAAAAAAAAAAAAAAGGAAAGGTCAGGGCACATGGCTGCTACAGTCCTCTATTAAGCAATGTGCCACAGCAGGGGTCCCTGACCCCTGGGCCATGGACATGTACTGGTCTGTGGCCTGTTAGGAACTGGGCCACAGAGCAGGAGGTGAATGGTGGGTAACAACTGAAGCTTCGTCTGTATTTCTGGCTGCTCCCCATTGCTTGCATTGCTGCCTGAGCTCTGCCTCCTGTCAGATCAGCAGCATCATTAGATTCTTACAGGAGCATGAACCCTGTTGTGAATTGCACACACGAGGGATCCAGGTTGCATATTCCTTATGAGAATCTAATTCCTGATGATTTGTGGTGGAACAGTTTCATCCCAAGACCATTACCATCCTGCGCCCCATCCCTTGCCGCCTGTGGAAAAATTGTCTTCCACAAAGCCGGTCCCTGGTGCCAAAAATGTTGGGGACTGCTGTGCTTTAGAATCTGCCATGAATCTGCAGCCTCTATTATATAGCTCCCTATAGACTTTGCTTCCTACCGTCTTACGTTCTGCCTTATAGGCATTTGACTTTGCAACCCTTGTTTTTGTTAGTATGCTACGCTGGTGACATTGACCAAATTGACCACACATTAATTATAAGCTTAGTTGGTGATGACCTCAACGGAATAACGTGACATAAGTATTGTGACAATACTTCTTGCATGTATCTGCAGGTGGAATTGTAAACCTGGTGGTCCGAGATGGTCTAATTCCATCTTCCTATGTATCTCCTTATATTAATAGTGGTAACATTTGTGGTGGTGATTCAGCATTTCAATGCCTCTTCTCATGGCAACAACAAACGTTTTCCTTCTGAATCAACATTAACCTAGATGTTACTGCGGATCAAAATTAGACTCTACATTTTCAACCACAGAAATACCGGGCAGTAAAAATTTTTCTTAATATTGATTGCCTACATAGGTTGTGTAATTAGCATATGTTTACAGTTCTATGATTTCTGCGTGGCTGCTACAGAGCTGGAGGGGGTAAAGCAACAGTATTTTCTCAGTTGTGCGAGCAGCATTACATTATAATAAATAGGTAATATTAAACTGGGCTGATGAGAGTTGCAAAAGACTACTTTAATGTTCATATGGAACCAAAAAAGAGCCCGCATTGCCAAGACAATCCTAAGCCCAATGAACAAAGCTGGAGGCATCATGCTACCTGACTTCAAACTATACTACAAGGCTACAGTAACCAAAACAGCCTGGTACTGGTACCAAAACAGACATATAGACCAATGGAACAGAACAGAGCCCTCAGAAATAATACCACACATCTACAACCATCTGATCTTTGACAAACCTGACAAAAACAAGAAATGCGGAAAGGATTCCCTACTTAATAAATAGTGCTGGGAAAACTGGCTAGCCCTATGTAGAAAGCTGAAACTGGATCCCTTCCTTACACCTTATACAAAAATTAATTCAAGATGGATTAAAGACTTAAATGTTAGACCTAAAGCCGTAAAAACCCTAGAAGAAAACCTAGGCAATACCATTCAGGACATAGGGATGGGCAAGGACTTCATGTCTAAAACACCAAAAGCAATGGCAACAGAAGCCAAAACTGACAAATGGGATCTAATTAAACTAAAGAGCTTCTGCACAGCAAAAGAAACTAGGATCAGTGTGAACAGGCAACCTAGAGAATGGGAGAAAATTTTTGCCATCTACTTATCTGACAAAAGGCTAATATCCAGAATCTACAAAGAACACCAACAAATTTACAAGAAAAAAAACAAACCCCATCAAAAAGTGGGCAAAGCATATGAACAGACACTTCTCAAAAGAAGACATTTATGCAGCCAACAGACACATGAAAAAATGCTCATCATCACTGGCCATCAGAGAAATGCAAATCAAAACCGCAATGAGATATCATCTCACACCAGTTAGAATGGCGATCATTAAAAAGTCAGGAAACAACAGGTGCTGGAGAGGATGTGGAGAAATAGGAACACTTTTACACTGTTGGTGGGACTGTAAACTGGTTCAACCATTGTGGAAGACAGTGTGGCGATTCCTCAGGGATCTAGAACTAGAAATACCATTTGACCCAGCCATCCCATTACTGGATACATACCCAAAGGATTATAAATCATGCTGCTATAAAGACACATGCACACGTATGTTTATCGCGGCAATATTCACGATAGTGAAGACTTGGAACCAACACAAATGTCCATCAATGATAGACTGGATTAAGAAAATGTGGCACAGATACACCATGGAGTACTATGCAGCCATAAAAAAGGATGAGTTCATGTCCTTTGTAGAGACATGGATGAAGCTGGAAACGATCACTCTCAGCAAACTATCACAAGGACAAAAAACCAAACACCGCATGTTCTCACTCACAGATGGGAATTGAACAATGAGAACACTTGGACACAGGAAGGGGAACATCACACACTGGGGCCTCTTGTGTGGTGGGGGAGGGGGAAGGGATAGCAGTAGGAGATACACCTAATGTAAATGACGAGTTAATGGGTGCAGTACACCAACATGGCACATGTATACATATGTAACAAACCTGCACATTGTGTACATGTACCCTATAACTTAAAGTATAATTTAAAAAAATAAGTAAATAAATAAATAAAAAAAGAAACAATTGCTGGCTTTGCAATTCTCTTTCCTCCAAAATCGCCAAGGCCTCAATTTACTCATTGCTGAAAAAGGACGACTCTGTATATTTTTAAATGAAGAGTGTTGTTTTTACCTAAATCAATCTGGCCTGGTATATGACAACATAAAAAAACTCAAGGATAGAGTCCAAAAACTTGCCAACCAAGCAAATAATTATGCTGAACCCCCTTGGGCACTCTCTTAATTGGATGTCCTGGGTCCTCCCAATTCTTAGTCCTTTAATACCTGTTTTTCTCCTTCTCTTATTCGGACCGTGTGTCTTCTGTTTAGTTTCTCAATTCATACAAAACCATATTCAGGCCATCACCAATAATTCTATATGACAAATGCTCCTTCTAACAACCCCACAGTATCAGCCCTTACCCCAAAATCTTTCTTCAGTTGAATCTCTCCCACTGTAGGTTCCCATGCCGCCCCTAATCCCACTCGAAGCAGCCCTGAGAAACATCGCCCATTATCTCTCCATATCACCCCCAAAAATTTTCGCCACCCCAACACTTTACCACTATTTTGTTTTATTTTTCTTATTAACATAAGAAGACAGGAATGTCAGGCCTCTGAGTCCAAGCTAAGCCATCATATCCCAGTGACCTGCACGTATACATCCAGATGGCCTGAAGCAACTGAAGATCCACAGAAGTGAAAACAGCCTTAACTGAAGACATTCCACCATTGTCATTTGTTTCTGCCCCACCCTAACTGATCAATGTACTTTGTAATCTGCCCCACTCTTAAGAAGGTTCTTTATCATCTCCCCCACCCTTAAGAAGTTTCTTTGTAATTCTCCTCACCTTTGACAATGTACTTTATGAGATCCACCTCCTGCCCCCAAAACACTGCTCTTAACTCCACCGCCTATCCCCAAATCTATAAGAACCAGTGATAATCACACCACCCTTTGTTGACTCCTTTTTCGGACTCAGCCCGCCTGCACCCAGGTGAAATAAACAGCCATGTTGCTCACACAAAGCATGTTTGGTGGTCTCTTCACACAGACACGTGAGACAGGAGTTCGAGACCAGCCTGGCCAATCTGGTGAAACTCTATGTCTCTACTAAAAATACAAAAATTAGCTGGGCATGGTGGCGGGCACCTGTAATCCCAGCTACTCGGGAAGCTGAGGCACAAAAATTGCTTGAACCCAGGAGGCAGAGTTTGCAGTGAGCCAAGATCACACTGTCAGGCCTCTGAGCCCAAGCCAAGCCATTGCATCCCCTGTGACTTGCACGTATACATCCAGATGGCCTGAAGTAACTGAAGATCCACACAAGAAGTAAAAATAGCCTTAACTGATGACATTCCACCATTGTGATTTGTTTCTGCCCCACCCTAACTCTTCAATGTACTTTGTAATCTCCCCCACCCTTAAGAAGGTACTTTGTAATCTCCCCAACCCTTAAGAAGGTTCTTTGTAATTCTCCCCACCCTTGAGAATGTACTTTGTGAGATCCACCCCTGCCTGCAAAACATGGCTCTTCACCCCCTATCCCAAAACCTGTAAGAACTAATGATAATCCACCACCCTTTGCTGACTCTCTTTTCGGACTCAGCCCGCCTGCACCCAGGTGAAATAAACAGCCATGTTGCTCACACAAAGCCTGTTTGGTGGTCTCTTCACACGGACGCGCATGAAACACACGACTGCACTTCAGGCTGGGCGACAGAGCTAGATTCCATCTCAAAAAAAATAAAATAAAAAGGAGTCACCTCCCCCGAGAGGCCTCTGGACCACCCCATCTGAGCAGGCCACTCTTCCTTCTCTATCTTACCATCTTGTTTCTGTCCCAGTAGTTAGGGCTACCTCCAGTAATCCTATTTGTCCCTTTACTGTTTAGTGCGTCTCGCTTGACTAGAAGCTCCATGAAAGCAAGAGACCCTACCTGCCTCCTTCGCCACTAGACCCCCAGGGCCTGGTATGTGGTGATCGCTCAGGGCCCATTTTCTTCCTTTCCTCCTCCTCCAAGGGTGGGGAAAGAGCATCAGAAGGTCTAGGTGGCCCCAGGCCCAAACAATGCTCCTTTAAAAGGAAACTAGATTGTTACAAAGGTCAGAGGCTGAAAAGTTATTTCCGCCTTTTATCCCTCTAAATTCTTCACTTCCTGAAAAAACAAACAAACAAGCCACTGAGGGCCCTTGGACTAAATCCAGGCCTGAGTTGCTGGGCAGAGGTCAGTCTTGTCCAGACATGGGAAAAAAATAACTCGAGTCAGACAGGTGGGTCACCACAGAACTAATCCAGCCTGCAAATGGCCTGTGCAATCTTCAGCTCTGTCCAGACCTGCCTCCCTCTGGGGATGCCTTTAAAGGTGATGAATGATCTGGATGAATGGGCTTAGAAGATAAGAGGGAAAAACAAATATCACAGGTCAAATCGTTATTTGTCTTCAAGTTTAACACCGTCTACTGGACTAAAAGATGTCCAAAGAATAGTTGTTCAACTATGTAAATTCCTTTTTTTTTTTTTTTGAGACAGAGTCTCGCTCTGTTGCCCAGGCTGCAGTGCAATGGTATGATCTTGGCTCACTGCAAGCAACCTCTGATTTTAGTATTATTAGTAGAGACAGGGTTTCACCATGTTGACCAGGCTGGTCTCGAACTCCTGACCTCAGGTGATCCACCTGCCTCGGCATCCCAGAGTGCTGGGATTACAGGCGTGAGCCACCGTGCCCGGCCAACTACATAAATTCCTAACAACGTATCTCCAGAAAGTATAGGCACAACAGCACATGCAGTCATTCCTGTAATTAAGTGCTCCGGGAGGCCAAGGCAAGAAGATCCCTTGAGCCCAGGAGTTTGAGACCAGCCTGGACAACATAGCAAGACTGTGTCTCTACAAAATATACAAAAATTGGGCTGGGGATGGTGGCTCATGCCTGTAGGCCCAGCACTTTGGGAGACCAAGGCAGGAAGATCGATTGAACTCAGGAGCTCGGGACCAGCCTGGACAACATAACGAGACCCAGTCTCTACTAAAACTCAAGAAAATTAGCCAGACGTGGTTGCATGTGCCTGTAGTCCCAGCACTTTGGGAGGCCAAGGTGGGTGGATCACCTGAGGTCAGGAGGTCGAGACCAGCCTGGCCAACATGGTGAAGTCTCATCCCTACTAAAAATACAAAAATTAGCCAGGCACGGTGGCACACACCTGTAGTCCCAGCTACTTGGGAGGCTGAGGCAGGAGAATGGATTGAACCCGGGAGGCAGAGGTTGCAGTGAGCCGAGATGGCACCATTGCACTCCAGCCTGGGCAACAGAACAAGACTCCATCAAAAAAAAAAAAAAAAAGAAAGAAGAGAAGAAAATTAGCCAGGTGTGGTTGCATGCACCTGTAGTCCCAGCACTTTGGGAGGCCAAGGCAGGAGGATCAATCAAGGCTAGGAGATTGAGACTGCAGAAGGAAACCCTGTCTCTAAAAACAAGGTCCAGCTAAAATCAGGGTCCAGCTCCACCACAAGCGCAGCTCCAGGGGCTGTTGAGTTTTGCCTCTACCATTCCAAGTAGTCTCTGCTCCAGACCAAGTCCCACCATCTGGCAGTCATGTCAGTCCAACCACAGTCATATCAGGGCGCTTCCAGTCATTGAGTGCCCCTTGAGGAGGCTGGAGGAGAGGCCAATGACATTTGCACTTGAGACTCCAGAGTCTAGATTTATAACCACTATGTTACGGCTGCCAGTGTGGCTGCAAGGACACTTCTTTCATTCATTCATTTACAATAGATGTAGCATCTGCTGTGTGCCAGATGCCATTCTAGGTTCTAGGGAAACAAGGCAGAGCCCCTGTTTTCCAAGGCATCCACATTCTAGGAAAGACTGCTACCAGCCTGGCGTGGTGGCTCATGCCTGTAATCCCAGTACTTTGGGAGGCCGAGGTGGGCGGATCACTTGATGTCAGGAGTTCAAGACCAGCCAACATAGTGAAACCCCGTTTCTACTAAAAGTACAAAAATCAGCTGGGCATGGTGGCACGTGCCTGTAGTCCCAGCTACTCAGGAAGCTAAGGCAGGAGAATCGCTTGAACCTGGGAGGCAGAGGTTCTGGTGAGCCGAGATCATGCTACTGCACTCCAGCCTGGGCAACAGAGTGAGACTCCATCAAAAAATAATAATAATAATAAAATAAAGACTGCTACTAAACAATAAAATAACCAAACCAGATAGATGACTTCAGGTGGTGGTAAGAGCTTTGAAAGAATAAGCAAGGTAACTAACTGGTCAGAGGAAGGGAGATGGGTGCATTCCCTCAGATAGACCGCCCCAGAGGTCTGCCTCTCTGACATGACATCTGAGCAGAGACCCAACAGGAAAAGGAAGAGGCTGCTCTATGGCCGGGTACGGTGGCTCACACCTGTAATCCCAGCACTTTGGGAGGCCCAGGCGGGCGGATCACGAGGTCAGGAGATCGAGACCATCCTGGCTAAGACGGTGAAACCGTCTCTACTAAAAATACAAAAAAATTAGCCGGGCGTGGTGGCGGATGCCTGTAGTCCCAGCTACTCGGAAGGCTGAGGCAGGAGAATGGCATGAACCTGGGAGACGGAGCTTGCAGTGAGCCGAGATCGCGCCACTGCACTTCAGCCTGGGCGACAGAGTGAGACTCCATCTCAAAGAAAAAAAAAAAAAAGAACCAAGAGGTGTCCAGGCGAAGAGAACAGCAGATGCAAAGGCCCTGTGGCAGAAACAATCTTGGTATGCTGGAGGAATAGGAAGGCAGCCAGTGCAGCTGGAGCAGGATAGGTTAAGGGAGGATCAAGGTGATGAGGGCCTGGAAAGAGGGGCTGGGGTCGAATCACCAGATCCTGTTGGTTGCAATGGAAGAGCCTGGAGTTTATTCTCAGAGCAGTGAGAAGCCACTGGAAAGTTGTTTTTTTGTTTTTCTGTTTTTGAGACAGAGTCTAGCTCTGTGACCCAGGCAGACTGCAGTGGTGCAATCTTGGCTCACTGTAACCTCTGCCTCCCAGGTTCAAGCGATTCTCCTGCCTCAGGCTCCCCAGTAGCTGGGATTACAGGCACATGCCACCACACCCATCTAATTTTTCTTTTTCTTTTTTTTTTTTTTTTTTGAGACAGAGTCTCTGTCACCCAGGCTGGAGTGCAGTGGCGCAATCTCAGCTCACTGCAACCTCCACCTCCCTGGTTCAAGCGATTCTCCTGCCTCAGCCTCCCGAGTAGCTGGGACTACAGGTGCATGCCACCATACCTGGGTTAATTTTTTGTGTTTTTAGTAGAGACAAGATTTCACCACGTTAGCCAGGATGGTCTCGATTTCCTGACCTCGTGATCTGCCCACCACGGCCTCCCAAAGTGCTGGGATTACAGTCGTGAGCCACCGTGCCTGGCCAGCCACCGGAAAGTTTTATGTAAGCAGGGGAGTGATCTGTTTTATCATTTAGAAGGATACACACCTCTTCTTCTTTTTTTAGAGACAGGGTCTAGTTCTGTCACCCAGGCTGGAGCCCAGTGGCACAATCATAGCTTACTGTAACCTCAAACTCCTGGGCTCAAGTGATCCTCCTGCCTCAGCATCCCAAAGTGCTGGATTACAGGCATGAGTCACCATGCCTGGTCACACTTCTCATTCTTTAAACCAGACCTCATTTGTCCATCTCCCCCATCCCCCGCCCCACCCCACGGACTGTCCTATAATGCCCATACAACAGGTCACTGTTTAGAAAGTGCTACAAAGTTACAAACACAGTCCCTTCTGAGCCTCCCACCAATGTTGGTGGGTACAAGGTCAAAAAAAAAAATCTCATCTATCTAAGGGGCATAGGAGACTTTTTAGTTAGAGGGCCCAATTATAGTCCTCCTGAAAAGATGCCAAAAGTCCCCTTCAACACTTAGCAAAGATTCAAGAAAGATGAATCTCACATTCTTTGTATGGGAAATGAGGAACTTGACATCTTCAATATAATGGATTCCACTAAAATAAGATGACGATCAATAGGAACCAACTAAAAAAATACTTGACTAGCTGTTATTGAAAGGCTGAAATTCAGCTGACATAAGCAGTATTAATATTGAGCTAGAAAATAATTCGCATTGAATTCAGCCCAACTTTTGTTTTCTGATTTGGGTCTCTTCTAAATTTTTTTTTTCTTCTGGACATTGAGAACAATCCAATTTGAAGGCCTCAATGCCCAAATCTACACTCTTGTTTTATTCTATATCCTTGGTTTCTTCTTTTTTTTTGAGATGGAGTCTCATTCTGTCGCCCAGGCTGGAGTGCAGTGGCGTGATCTTGGCTCAATGCAAGATCCGCCTCCCGGGTTCATGCCATTCTCCTGCTGCAGCCTCCCGAGTAATTGGGACTACAGATGCCCGCCCCCACGCCCGGCTAATTTTTTTGTATTTTTAGTAGAGACGGGGTTTCTCCGTGTTATCCAGGATGGTCTCGATCTCCTGACCTCGTGATCCACCTGCCTCAGCATCTCAAAGTGCTGGGATTACAGGCGTTAGCCACCGTGCCCGGCCCACACCTAGGTGATTTTTAAAGTTCTTCTAGTAGAGACAGGGTCTCACTATGTCGGGTCGCCGTGTTTGATGTCAGTTTTCCCTGCCAGAATCTACAATCTCCTTGATCACCATTATATCCCAACGAAGAGCTCAGTACCTGGTACAAAGCACATTTGATCAATACTTGCTGAATAAAGAAATAAAAATGAAGAGGCACTCCAGCCTGGGCAACAGAGTGAGATGGTCTCAAAAAAACAAAAACAAAAACAAAAAACGACTGGAAAGGAGATGAGGGTACTTGTGAAGCCATATTATATGACACGCTCTGTGCTAGGACTTTTATATACCTTGTCTCATCTCTTCATCTCATATAATCCTTACAAGTACCTCAAAAGTGGGGAAATCCCCATATAACTGAAGACGAAGGCAGTTCAGAAGTTCATTGATTTGCCCTAAGGTTCCTCAATTTGCAAACGTCAGGCCAATGATCCAACCCCAGGTATGTTTGGCAGTGAAGGACCAGTTGAGTCACAGCTGCAAGTAACCACCCTGCAGTGGTCCCTATCTTGGCCGTTAGCTTACATTGACATTTAACACTCAAATTTACTCAGTAACACCAGCTATCATGTTTTCCACTAAAACTCCACAGCATTCTGGCAACTTTTCTATTTTAGAGCAATAAAGTAAATTGTTAGCATCCCTTTGACATATAAATATTTCTACAAATAGTAATTCTCTAGCCATTCATTTGGAGTATTTAAAACTCAACATTCATAGCACATTTTATGTGACAAAGAACTTATGTTCAGAACACAAAAATAAGTCGTACGTCTTCATTAAAAACAGGTGAAGAATTTGAACAAACATTTGCAAACTAAAATACAAATGAAATACACTCAACATCATTAAACAAGAAAATAAAATTATGAGATAATCACTAATAATCACTACATATGCACCACAGTGATTAAAATTTTTTTAAGTTAAGCCACGTGACCCAACAAGGTGCATTCACTCAAGAGAAACGCAAATATATGTCCACTCAAAGACTTGCACATGAATGTTGAGAGCAGGTTTATACTGAATAGCGCAATGTGAAAAAACCCCAAAATCTAGCAAAGGATGAAGGGAGAAATAAACTGTGGTAAATACATACAATAGAACACTACTCAATAATAAAAAGGATTATATTCCTGATACATGCAATATGGGTGAACCGTAAAAATATCATGCTGAGCAAGAGAAGCCAAACACAAGAGAACATGTTGTTATGATTTCACGTACATGAAACTTTAGTAAAGACAAGTCTAATCCATAGTGACAGAAAGCAAATCAGTAACTGCTGACAGGGGCAAATGAGGAGATGATCCCAAGGGAACCTTCTGGGGTAAGACGCTGTTCTCTATCTCGATCGTATTGGTGGTCACACAAGTGAAGACATGTTAGAACTCATCAAACCATACACTTAGAATGTGTAATATAAACCTCAATAAAGCAAAATTTAAAAAAAAAAACCACCTTTAATTTTCTCTTACAAAAAAAAAAAAGGAAAACCACTTAACTTTAATTTTCTCCAACAACTGATTCTGGTACACAGTATACCTTAATGCCTGCATCCACGGCCTCACGTCATGCTGTTTACATGAACGTAAAGCTTCGCCGAAGAGTGGAATAAGACAGTCCTGCCAGAGAAAAACCAAAATTACTCAACGTAAAACAGGCTGTTGATATGTTTGCAGATATATAGCAAGTCTTAAGTCCAAGACTGCAATATAGTTTGGCTACTTCAGATTGATTGCAGTAGTTTTATCTATTACACTATACCCTTACATCATTTATCTTCTACTCACAAGAGGCAAGCACACAGTAAGAGAAAGCCTTTTGTTTTGAAGGGAAATCTTCTTCAGAATATTAAGTCTAATTTATCAATATACTTAATAAAGCACATTACAAAAAAAAAAGTCACAGCACATTTACTATAAAGCAGACTGCAGAAAAACATTACAACTAATGCTTTATTATGAAGTTCTCGAAGATCACCATTCATTCAGAAGCCCCCATCTCTGGTCGAACTTTACCCCATTTAGGATGAAGAGGAGAGATCTTTGTTTGCAGCAAATCTAAAATTTACGTGATCTGCCTAAAGGAACTGTCTTTACATACACCACCTCCCACCCCAAAAATAGAAGAAAAAACTGAGCAATTTGCCATCCTTGCGATTATCTCAGGTTCTTCCATCTGCCCCATGTACTTCCCAAATGAAAGACTGCCTGAAAACAGCATGTTAGATTTCTGGATTTACCAGCTTGCCCAACTACAAATCCTATTCCAAAAAACTCAAAAAATAAGGTCTTTGTTCTACAGTAATGACCATTAATAGTCATAAGAGTGTGCTTGTAAAAATATACAGACCTCTGTTGAAAGTCTGTTAGAAACTGTGGTCTCCAAAGCAGACGAGCAATACAGCTGCAAGGTACTTAGAACTGGCAAAGACTGTGAAACTGTTAAAGTAGAAAGTCTCAGAGGTCCAATAGCGATGCGGGATGTTTGCTTCAAGTACTTTACCACATTTCTGAAACAAAATATTTACTGTCAATTAATAAAAATTACAATTCATAACCACTCAAAGAATAAAGCAATTGATAAGATGCTATCAAATTGACATCCAAAGTTAGGGGGCAGTAAGAGGAGCAGCCTGCTCTATAATAAAATGGTATCAGCAAGTCAAGACATTTGCTTTTGGGGATTTTTACATTTTATTTCATTTCAACCTCAGTTTTTGTTGGCAAGCAGCATTCATATATCATATGACTTCTACAACTAAAATGAAGCTATTAGCACTAGTATTTAGTAATCTAGTAACTCTCCTTCCAGCCCTCTTCACCCCATGTATGTTTATCACATGATATACACAATGTACATTTACCTCCGTAAGAGTAAACTTACTCAGTTATAGACTGCCACTTCTGATCTTGTTCTATCGGGTTTAAAGCAGTTGCCAAACAAACAGAACTTCTTAACAATGGAACTTCAATGGATTTCTGAGGTTCCCTTGGATCTGGACTTCACATGTTACGAAGCAGTTTTTTCATGTCTACAGAAGTTAAATGAAATGTCATTAAGTTAATGTGCTTTTATTATAAATTTTGATTTATGTTTGGCATTATTAAAAACTAATCACCAATGAACAGCTCCTTTAATATTTCAGGCAGTTAAACACTATAAGCATTACTGAGAGCTATATAAAAATCATACTTCATACAAAATTACTGTACCTCAGACCCCTAAAAAGCAGTTGCCTTCAAAGGCTCAAAAATCAGTAAGTCGAGGTCAGGCGTGGTGGCTCACGCCTGTAATCCCGGCACTTTGGGAGGCCAAGGTGGGTGGATCACGAAGTCAGGAGTTCAAGACCAGCCTGGCCACGATGATGAAACCCCGTCTCTACTAAAAATACAAAAAATTAGCTTGGCACGGTGGCAGACACCTGTAATCCCAGCTACTCAGGAGGCTGAGGCAGGAGAATCGCTTGAACTCAGAGGGCGGAGGTTGCAGTGAGCCGAAATCGCGCCACTGCACTCCAGCCTGGGCAACAGAGTGAGACTCTGTCTCAACAAAAAAGAAAATCGGTAAGTCAATCTACTATTTAAGGGGACAAATCTAGACCTGCATTAGCAAATCTTGCTCAATCCAGAATACTCATTAAACTTTTTAATAACATCTTATCAAGTGTTCCATTTGTGATAAAGAACTTAATGAGCCACATCAAGATGAAAATCAAGAAAAATATTTAGCTGAAACACTACTTTGTCCTTTATCAAACAAAATGGCTAGATAAATCTCAAAGTATTAAGGTGGTCATTTTTTTTATTTGACTTAATTTTAAGTGCTTTTCATTTCCCAAATCAAACATAAATAGGGCAGCCCTAAATTTGTTGCTTCACATGGGATTCTGCCCCCACAAAAATGTAAAATAACTTCCAGATTTTCCAGTAAAATATACTAAGCCAAACATTTTGAGCAACTTGTCCACTAAAATAACTTTAAAACTATTTTCTCAAGTACCTACCTATTTTTTCTTTTGATCCTCCAGCAAGTAGATTGATATTTTCTCCTGGTAACAATTCTAATTGCTCGGTACATTTGACAAATTTTCCAGACTCAAAGCTGCTTAATGATCTGTAATTAAAATATTGGTTAGCTTGTATTCCTATGCAGCCTGTGGAACCATTAAAAAAAACAAACAAACAAAAACAGAACAAATCCTAGGAAGACAGCAAAGTACACAGCACTTTTCTGACAAAATTCCTTCCACGAGGATGCCATTATTTTGGTTTTTATGTTGCAGATGTGACTACCACTTAATTAGTACTCAAATTGGAGTGGCAAACCAGAAAGTCACAGCTACAGACTTTCAGTGGAGCTGACTCGCCCGTGTCTCCTTCCTGTTTTCATGTGTTGCAGCCTGTTCTCTTCAGAGCCTGACACACTGACAGTAGACCTCTGCAGGACAACTTTGACACCCAGTTCTCTCCAAGCTGCCAGTGAGCTCCCTGTGCAGCCTCACTCCTCACCTACAGCATGAGCCCTTGCAGCTCTCCCAGCATCACAATCTTGTATCTCAGTCCTGGCTTCTTTCACTGCTGGCATCCCTCCGTCTCTCCCTTTTTCACCTACTTTTCTTTTTTCAAAGAATTCTTCTCTTTCATCTGCTTATATGAAAAATAATGACACCTCTGAAATTCTTTCCTGTAGTTCTGCAGCATCAATGCCAGGAAGACAGGCCTCATCCTCCCAGCTTCTATGCTGCTCCTTTCAGATCCCTTACCCTGTCCCCATTTTCATGACACGGGCTCTCCAGCCAGGAAGAAGACACTGTTTCTCACTCTCTCTCTTTTCCATCTTTGCCTGTCCCTCTCGCTGTGTAACTTCCCTTATAACTCAGCCTGAGGCCAGTGCTAGAAAGGCACATCACCTGACTTATTCTGTGCCTGATTCTACCTAGATCAGTGCAACCACTGGCTTCTCAGGGGGACCCTTGAGTACTGGGCACTGATGAACTGCTGCCAACACAGTCATCATTTCTGCCATTAAAAGGTCCTAAGTCCTCTCCAGTGGCAGGTTCCCCAAGTCCCCACTATGCTCTATAATGCCCTATGCTTTCAGCTAATGACTCAGTCCTCAGAAAAAACAAACAAACAAAAAAACACAGGCTTTAATTTCCTCTACCCCTACCCCCAATCCACCATACACTGCCGAAATTCTGTCTATACCAACTTTGACTGCTTTCCTTGAGGCAGAGAAAAGGTGAGGGCCAGTTAATCTATCAATGTTCTTTCTCCTGTTTCTTCAACCTCTGCTTTCTAGTGGCTCCTTCCCCTTGGCCAAAAGAACATAATCTCTCCAACATTTAAAATAAACATCTCATATTTCCCTCCAGCAACAGCTTCCTATCCTCGACTTCAAGAAAAACTCACTGACCAAATAACTTACCTCAAGCTTTTCATTTTCAAATGTCTCTACCACTCAATACTATTCAATCTAGCTTCTTCTGTCTCTCTACAAAACTCTTTTTCCTTATAATCCCTAGAGCATCTGACAAGGCTGACTACTCCCATCTGGATGTCCTATATCTAGGGCACTTCCCTTCTCAATGTCCCTGTATTTTTTTGAATGGCTTCCTCTTCTATCCTTTCACAAAAATGCTAAACTAGGATTCTGACCCAGGCCTTCCTTCCTCTTCACTCACTATTCTCCAGAGGCTTCTCTCTGGTTTGGTTGCTTACAAAGGCTCTAGAGTATAGAGACTGAAAAGGAAAGAGGGCCTTTTCTGTGTACTAATCATCTGCAAATCTCTCAAGCTTAGACTGTCTCCTTAGTTCAAAATCCAATTCTTAACAGCTTACCCAACAATCTCATCTGCACATTTCATTAGAAATCTTAAAACAGGGCTTGTTCTCTGTGTGCTCCTACTCCAGTTAATAGCATTGTTTCTCTTCCCTCTACCATTGCCCCCATAAATTAATGGTCTCCATGCTTCCATACTTGCCCCGCACCTCCAGTCTCTTCACCACAGCAGAATGAACCAAGTCAGATCACAACACATCTCTGTTCAAATCCCACCTGAAATTTTCAGTCTTACTAGAATAACAGCCAAAGTTCTTTTCTCAGTTCCCAGCTACTTCTCTGCCCTTATATCCTACTGTTTAAGGCGCTCCTAAACACACAGGCCTCCCAGCTATTTCCAGAACACTCCAAGCCCATCATTCTCACATCAGGTCTAGGCCCAAAGGGCATCCTGATGGGCATGTCTTGACCTTGTGTCTTCCCTCCAAAGAAGGTCAGCTTTACCTAACTGCTTTCCTTATGGCACAGAAAAGGTGAGTGAGGTCCAATTAGTCCTTCTATCAATAATCTTTATCTAATCTTTGCTTTAAAAGGTTGGAATTTGTGTCTGTTTTATGTGCTGCCTGGGTCACAGCACATGCTCAGTGAAGCAATTACACATTAACCCATTTAGCAGTAGAAGGCAAGGGTATCAGACAAAGTCTAATGACCTTTATCTTCCCAGCCAAGTGTCTGCAACAGAGTGAGTGCTCAGTTTTGAATTACAGAATTAATAAAAGCACAGAGGAATGAGAAGAAAGTTTAATTTACAGATGTTCACAAACTCTGTCCTCATTAGAATAAATGTTTTTGATATATTCAGACCTCATTTCGAAACAAAGCCATCAAATGTGATTCTTTCTAAAGCAGTACAAATTTTTCTTTATATTCACTCTGGCATAATCTTCAAACTGTATTAAGGTTTTAGAACGACAGGTTCTGAAAATTAATACCAAATGACTATCTCAGCAGTGTTTTCCCATTATACAAATACCTTCCCTCATCTCTGATGTCAGTTTCCTGTTGTCATTTTCATAATGGCAGTAAGTTAGAAATATAACCATTTTGTATTACTACATATGACCAATTTTAATATTTTTTTGCCATAGGAAAAACATCATAGTTATTGGAAATTTGTTTTATAACTGGAAACAGAAAGCCTTACTTTATATAGTTGAAGTCAGCTTTCAGGTTGAGGGAAGTGCTACTGGTACTCTTTTTCAAGTCATGGATAGCGTTCTGCCATTCCTGCACAGCAGCCCAATCGGCAGTTGAGATGTAGCACTCACATGCTTTGTTTCCTAAATAATTTATAACCTCAGGGGAAGAGTCAGTCGGTTTGGACAGCACACTTTTTCTGGATTCACCTGAAAGTATTTTATAAAATAAGAAGAGAGAGATTCAGATCAATTAGAAATATTTCAAAGAGCACAGAAACCTAAAAACATGATAAGAACATCAGTACGAAATATATTACTATAACTTTTGCTTTATTTAAAAATACTGAATGCTCACCATTCAGACAATGTTTCAGGCTGGCACTCTTACACCCAGCACTGGCTAAGGTGAGCACCGATTTGTCAAAGCTGGAGATGCAGCAATCAACACCTGTCATGGCACACAGGTGTTCCTGGTACTCCACAGAGGCCTTTTCAAACCTGAAAAGCAAATTGAAGCAGTCTTATTTCTTTATTTATCTAACTACTTACTTTTTTTTTTTGAGATGAAGTTTTGCTCTTCTTGCCCAGGCTGGAGTGCAATGGCACTGTCTCAGCTCAGTGCAACCTCTGCCTCCCGTGTACAAGCGATTCTCCTGCCTCAGCCTCCTGAGTAGCTGGGATTACAGGCGCTCGCCACCATGCCCGGCTAATTTTCTTGTATTTTTAGTAGAGACGGGGTTTCACCATGTTGGCCAGGCTGGTCTTGAACTCCTGACCTCAGGTGATCCACCTGCCTCGGCCTCCCAAAGTGCTGGGAATACAGATGTAAGCCACCGAACCCAGCCTACCTAACATGGCAAATTTTGTTTTTTTAAATATTGAGTGGGAAAAACAGATCATAAAACCATGTGCCTATGTACGCTGATGTTTTGGTGAAGAATGGAGGAAACGACATGAAAGAAAAAAGAATTACAAAGCGTATGGATATGGAAATATGGGACTACAAAAGGACACACAACAGAAGTTACTACAAAGATATGGAAGTATGAGCAGTTCTTTTATTTTCCTAAGTTCGCAAGATTTCATTAAACTAACATAAATGGACACAGAATATTATGGTACAAGCTCCTCTACCTGGAGGAAGCAATGAGTCTGAATGTAGAGTTCACTGGACTAACGAGCAAATACTCTGACAATAAAGGGTAATTTGTATCAGACTCTGAGGGGGAAGGAGCTCAACTAGGGATCAAGTTCAAAAGCATTTATAAAACAACTGACAGGTCTTGTTTTACAGTGTGATTTGCCACTAATTCTTAAATAAGAAAGGCACTCCAGTATTGCTGCTAACTAAAGAACAAACTGAAGATGCCTCCTGGTGAAGGGATTTATAGCAAGCTTCAATGCTGAAAGCAAACAAAGCTGTTTTAAGATTTGGCTACAATGTCAGTGAGTAATACAAAGAATTTAAACATAAAGTAATTCTATCACCCATTTCCTTCCCTCCAACCTACCTCCCTTCAGCCTGTTGAGCCACTGAGTTAATCCACAGAAGATGTTTTCCAACAATAGATGATGACCAGACAGCAATTCCCTGTATAGCTTCAGGACAATGAAGTTCACATAGTGCTTCTACCACCATCATAATGCTTACTTCCAATTCATTCCCCTGAAAACGCATTCAGAAAAGTTAGTCACCCAATACCATTAAAACATAAATCCCTATAAAATTTACAACTGATCAGTCTGTGCCTGCTTAAAGCCAAATGTATTTAACAATTATTGTCACAATTTTCACATTATTTAGCTCAGAATTCTTTAAAATGTTACATATAAAATAGCCACAAAGGGTGACTAACAGAACCTTAGCAGCACATGGATGTTTGTACCCCCACCCCAAAGTTACCCAAAAACATTTAACCTGTGACCTCTGTAGGAATAACACATGGAGTAAAAAGAAAGCAAAAATGAAATATAAATAAACAGGAATTAAGGAATGATTAACTTCATGTGTTTGAAAACTGCTTGACATTACCTGAATTGCTAAACATTTTGTTATTTTTGGATTCCAGTTATTTATTGTGAGCCCACTTTCAAGCCAGGAATTACTCAAGCATTTGTCATACGTTATAAAAACAATTTCTCCTGGCCAGGTGCAGTGGCTCATGCCTGTAATCCCAGCACTTTGGAAGGCCGAGGTGGGCGGATCACTTGTGGTCAGGAGTTCGAGACCAGCCTGGCCAACATGGTGAAACCCTGTCTCTACTAAAAATACAAAACTTAGCCGGGTATGGTGGTGGGTGCCTGTAATCCCAGGGACTGAGGCAAGAAGAGGCTTGAACCCGAGAGGCGGAGCTTACAGTGAGCCGAGATCGCACAACTGCACTCCAGCCTGGGCGACAGAGTGAAACTGTGTCTCAAAAAAATAAATAAATAAATAAAAATTTTCCCCCATAAACAAATTTTCAGAATTACCTTTAAAGTTCTAAACTTTGCACGGAAGAAATAGAGTTTTAACGTGTTCTAACATGAATATTGTTTTAACATGAACAAAAACATGAACATTATTTTGACTTCTAACACTGTTTTAACACGAATAAAATAGGTAACTCTGGCAGTTGTTGCTTTTACAAAATACAGGATCAAAACCTTTGAAAATGAATCCAAGCTTTAACTTATTTTATCCATAGATTAAATCATACCAAAGGAATTAAACCATGTTTTTCTTATTAACAGACTTAAAATGAATTTCAAACACACCACTTTACCTGAGATAGGCTGGTTGTTTTCATCTCTGTAAGCAAGTCAAAGCCATGTCTCACTGTCACTGCAGGCTGGCCTGCCAACAATCCTACCCTCATGATGGAGAGTCGAATCCGCGTTAGCCAGTCCTGACAAGTTTGGCGATTGGTATACAAAAAAGTTCTAATGACCTTTACGATAAGAGAAAGAAAAGCTCAGGACTGGTTCAATTTGTAGGTAAGGATGTCTCACCTATATATAAACCAAATACACAAGTCTATTGTGATTTCAGCTCTGCACATACTGCCAGCTGTGACCATTAAACTGCTATAAAACAACACTATCTCCCGGAAACCAACCTTGGGAGGTGAAGTTAAGGCATTAGCACATCCCTCGTATGCATTATACATTAATTTCTCCAGATTTTCCAGATACTGCAGAAGAAGAACAAGTCTAAGTTGGTTGTTACCATGGCCTTCATCACTGTCTGCAGTTGTCCACTGACTAACATCCTGATCAGGGTTTAATGTGTGACCTGCGAGACTTCGAATGATACCTGAAAGCAAAGACAACATTCTGAATTTTTAAAAATCTTAAAAGTTCCTAGAATAAGTGTGAGTTTTTTATGACCAATTCACATTTATCAAGTATCCTCTGTCTACCCATCATTTAAAAATAAAAAATCCCAACATGAAAGATCTTTCATTTTAGGGGAAAAAAATATATATTTTTTCCACACAACTCCCATAAGTTTTGGAAAAAAAACAAACATATTTCCAATGCAATTATTCAATGAAAGCTTATTCTAACAAACAAACCTGAAAATTATTGACTTTTTTCAAAAAAAATCATATACCCTCAAATCTTTAACAAAGATTTAAAAATCCATTATTTCTCAATAAGGCTTTGAAAGTATTCACATCATAAAGCTTGAGCGAGTTACCTTCAATTGTCTGGAAGGTGTCTTGAGCTCTGCCCAGTGGGGTTCTCAGCTTAGAAAGAACAGTGAATTGTGCAGCTTCCCATATGGCCCACTGCCAAAGGATAGCATCTGTCTTCAGGAGATTGCGTGGAATTGTTGACTGGTCACGCTTATCCAGTCTCTGGCAGCTATAGAACAGTCTTTCCAACCAATTGTCCTTCCTGGGAAAAGTAGTTTCATATTTAAAAGACAATGACAACTTCATTTTAATAATGAAAAAAAAATGCAAGGGGAATGGGAATAAGGAACTGTAATTTTCCCTACTCCAAAAAAAGGCAAAACCTATGAAATTGAGAAGCATTATGTCCCCCCCTCTCATTTTGAGGTCTTGTATAGTTAACAGGATGAGGTACAGTGTGGAAGGATGATTAGGGTAAACGGCTCATGCCAGTCAGGAATGAAACTCATTCAATGCAACTAAGCATCTCTAGAATATCTCCACCCCCACCCCACTCCCCAAAGTGTTAATGACATCACATCAGTTAACTGTTAACCACATTTCATTACTCAATTTCAAAGCCCATTTTTGTTTCTACAGATGCTATCTTCAAAGCAATTTTCCTATTGATGAAAACTGAAATAACCCATATGAGAAGAATGTTACTTGATACTCTGCCACCCCCAAACATATTTTCTCTTCAAAACTGCATGTAAAGTCAAGGGAATCTTAAAATTTTCTTTCCCAGATAAAATAGTCAAAGAAATGTCTTACCCTGTTCTATGAGAGTTCCCATACAAAATAAAACTAATAACATCAGAGAAATCTTGGGGGTGGAATGTATTACTTGGTGCTTTACTCATGTGACTTCTTAATGCTAAAGAAATTTCTTGAATTTCTGTGTGATTGTTATCGCTGTAGACAGAAAATAAAGTTGTTGTTATGCAAAATATTTTAGCTTAAAAGGTTAGCACATACTGTAAGTGGATTATTTACTTATTAACTCACTGGAGGTAAAAATATAGTAAAATTGAGACTTTCAAATGGATACAGAGATGTGATTACAACTTTAGATCCTTTTTTTATTCACCTCAGATGGGTCATGTGCCGACATCATAAGAGGATTTGAGGGAGGCATATCAAACATGTGAACATAAAAACCCAATCATTATGCTTATCTATTACAAAAGGATCAAGTTTAGGCTCTTAAAAGCTCCCAAATCAACTTGATCAAAAACAATAAAAGATTACTGTTTAGTTTTTCAAATATCTGAGCTACTAAGAAACATATTTTGGCACTACATGAGTTATTCTATACTAATTATTGTGAGCCTATAAAGCTCATTAAAAATTTTTAATTTTCTTGCAGACCTGCAAAATTTGATTATTTGACATCACTTCAATCACTGACAAGCAGGGCCATAAAAGATGTGTCATTAATGCTCTAATAGGTGATGTGTCTTCTCCTAAAGTAGACAACCAGTAGAGGCTGTAAATATCACAGAATGTCTTTGCTCCAAAACAACTGTTATACCTTAGGACAACACCTAAAGGAATTGATTTCAACAGTTTTCCAAATGCTTGTCGAATACAAGTTCCACGGTGCACTAGTTGAACACGGCAAACATCAACACATCTATGAAAGAACGAAATAGACAAAGCAGGTGTGTTAACAGTTCCAGGTTATTAGGGTTAATGTCAAAAGACATGATCTTAATTTCATACCTCTGTAAAAGATCATCTGGCAAGGAAGAGGATAGAGCATGTAGACTGCTGCATGCCTGCAGACAGATATTCACATCTTCAACGAGAGCTATTAAACATTAAAAGACAGTTACTTTCAGCTGGCCAAAAGAAATTATATCCCAGTTTGTCATAATTATCTGAATCCATTCATTCATTCAACAAAGAGTGAGTGCCTACTATAGACTAGGCACTGTTCTTGTCCAGAATCCTCATTGACTGTCACATTTGGAAAAATGACACATTCAACAAAACCCACGTAATGTAACTGATGGGTCATCACACAAAACTTTTTCTGAGAGAAAATGTAAAAGTATATGTAAACTATAAACATTCACGTTAGCTTAAAAATGTGACAATCACTTCAAAACATTTTTCTAATACTAAGAATGAAAAAAAATCAAGACTGTGTATCTGTCATTAAAATGAGGATTACACATCTTCAGGTCAGGAAAAGAGCTCGATTCATGACCATCTCCCATTACCAAAGACCCTTTTAAGGACTGATAAACAAAATAGAAAAAAAAAAAAACAGAGTCTTACTGTCAGCTAAAAGGCCTTTGCAAAATTTATGGAAAGACGGAAGACAGAATAAAGGTGCATATGTTTCGGACTTCTTCATTACAACAGCTACTTCCAAAGCCCAAGTCATTAACAGTTTCCTGAAACACAAAATATACAGTTGACTGTACATTAAAAAAAAAAAAACAACAAAAACAAAAAAAGTTAAAAGCCTAGTCTTCTTACATTGGTTTTCTCTTGGTTTTTCAAACATCTCAAACAATAAAAAATAAAAATAAAAAATGAAACTATAGAAATTACTGTCAAAATTGTTGTGTGCCTTTTAAGAAAACCTCCCAACGCAGCATGATAATAGCAAAGAGGCCGGGCGTGGTGGCTTACCTGAGGTCAGGAGTTCAAGACCAGCCTGGCCAACGACATGGTGAAACACCATCTCTACTAAAAATACAAAAATTAGCTGGGTGTGGTGGCGGGCACCTGTAATCGCGGCTACTTGGGAGGCTGAGGCAGGAGAATTGCTTGAACCTGGAAGGCAGAGGTTGCAGTGAGCAAAACTCCGTCTCAAAAAAAAAAAAAGCAAAGAATATTAAAAATCTATATATATTCTTCTATGAAACACTGGGGGTGGGGGATTGAGGTTTTTCATGTATTTCTTTTCAGAAAGAATAAGAAAGCCTAGATTAAATAATAAAACCAAATTATAAGGTGTTTGACAATAAAGAAGCTGCTCTACCTCACCTCTATAATCCACATTTTTTTAAATTTTTTGTAATCCACATTTCTTCTTCTCAAATTATAAAGGCAAATTAACAAAGTTAGGAATGGTTAATACTATATAATATCTGTTACCTCGTGTCCTGGTTATCTTTCTTAAGTAACATTCCCAGAAGATTTAATATAATTGAGAAATGTTTCTTTGTGGCCGTAGTTACAGTGCCAATCACAGCTCCATCAAACAAAGAAGGAGAGGAAGAACTGAGGCTACTAAAGATAAAGTGATCATGCCTGAAAGACAAAGCATAGATTATCTTTTCATCTTTAATCAAAGAAAGCAAGCAAGTCCAAAGTTAAATCAACATACATCTTTAAAATCTATCCATTAAAAAAATAAAATGTTTTGTGGGGTTCTTTTCTTAAGAAAAATTTGTGAATACAGTACCTGGTACAATGAGGATACAATGTGTAGAGCACAGCATACTGAATGGCAGGGAAGTGAACAGCCAGGTCACTGTGCACAATCATCAGATTCTTACTCAGAAGTGCAAAGACAGTTGGAGATAGCGCCCACATCTGATCACGTACAAAACAAAGTAAGTTTATGGCTTCTCCAAAATAAGCACAAGCATACAGAGTTTATCCTTCAAAACAGGGGTATTTGGACATTTTTAAATTAAAATTACAGATTGGAAGGGATCTAGTACACTACACCTGGGACAAATACTTTTTTGTGAAGTCAGTAAAGCCTTTGCGTGCAATATAGCATCTCTATGCAATGCAGCAACTCCTCGTCTATCGCTACAGTAAGAAAACAGCCACAGGTCAGGTGTTGTGGCTCACACCTGTAATCCTAGCACTTTGGGAGGCTAAGGTGGGCAGATCACTTGAGCCCAGGAGTTTGAAACCAGCCTGGGCAACACAGCGGGACCCCATCTCTACTAAAATTACAAAAAGTAGCTGGGCATGGTGGCGCACACTTGTAATCCCAGCTACTCGGGAGGCTGAGGCAGGAGAATCGCTTGAACCTGGGAGGCAGAGGTTGCAGTGACCCGAGATCATACCAATGCACTCCAGCCTAGATGACAAAGTTAAGACTCTCTCTCTCAAAACAAAACACCAGCCACACACAAAACACAGGAATGAGAGTACCTGTGTTCCAAGAAAACTTTCTTGAGTCGGAGTCTCTCGCTCTGTCGCCCAGGCTGGAGTGCAATGGGGCGATCTCAGCTCACTGCAACCTCTACCTCCGGGGTTCAAGCAATTCTCCCTGCCTCAGTCTCCCAAGTAGCTGAGATTACAGGTGCCCATCACCACGCCCTGCTAACTTTTGTATTTTTTTAGTAGAGATAGGGTTTCACCATGTTGGCCAGGCTGGTCTTGAACTCCTGAGCTTGGGTGATCTGCCTGTCTCAGTCTCCCGAGGGATTACAGGCGTGAACCACTGCGCCCAGCCCAACAAGAACTTTCTTTACAAAAACAGGCACTAGTGTTGTGATGGTTGTACACTTCTGTGAATATAGTAAAAATCAGTGAATTATACACTTAAAATAACAGACAAAAAACAGGTGCTGGGCTGTATTTGGCCCACAGACCATAGTTTGCTGATCTCTGGTCTAAACAGAGCCCTTTGTATGTGCCTTTTGCGGAAGTAGACTGTATTTCCTCAATTTTCCATATACTGCAAATGGCAAGGTGCCCTGTTCAATAAGGAAACAGAGGCACACCCTGCCACCCTACACCTTTTCCATCCATCTTTTTCCTTTACACTGCCAAGACACTCCACTCCACCTGACTGCCCCATCCCCACCCACTTTCTCCTTATTTCTAGAGTACAGGACATAAACATCTTTGAATCTGTAAATAATGTGAATAATTTTCCTCAAAAATCAAGCTTTCATGTTTGAAGAAGAGTTTATTGTGACTTCAAACATAAACTGTAACTGGTAATAAGCGAAGCAGCTATGGAATTATACAAGGCAATCCAATCTAACAACACGGAGCACATTGAAGCGCAAACATCAAATTTTACCTTCTTCCTCCTAAAAACTTTATTCCCTAATTACATCCATTTCTTTCTTTGTTTCTTTCTTTTTTTTTTTTCTTTTGAGACAGAGTCTGGCTCTGTAGCCCAGGCTGGAGTGCGGTGGTGTGATCTCAGCTCACTGCAACCTCCACTTCCTGGGTTCAAGCAATTCTCCTACCTCACCCTCCAAAGTAGCTAGGATTACAGGTGTGCACCACCACCCCTGGCTAATTTTTCTATTTTTAGTAGAGGCGAGCTTTCACCATGTTGGCCAGGCTGGTCTCAAACTCCTGACCACAGGTGATCAGCCTGACTTGGCCTCCCAGAGTGCTGGGTTTACAGGTGTCAGCAACCGTGCCCAGCCTACACCTATTATTTTCTATTAAAAATGATGTTTTTCAACTCTGTGTGGTCCAATAGGAAGAAGAAATACACAAACCATAAACAATAAATACAAATCAAGAGCAGGGCCACGTCAAATTACTTAAAAAAAAAAAACACACGGGCTGGGCGCGGTGGCTCATGCCTGTAATTCCAGCACTTTGGGAGGCTGAGGCAGGTGGATCACCTGAGGTCAGGAGTTTGAGACCAGCCTGACCAACATGGTGAAACCAAGTCTCTACTAAAAATACAAAAATTAGCCCGTCGTAGTGGCAAGTGTCTGTAATCTTAGCTACTCGGGAGGCTGAGGCAGGAGAATTGCTGGAACCCGGGAGGCAGAGGTGGCAGTGAGCCGAGATTGCACCACTGCACTCCAGCCCAGTTGACAACAGCATGACTCTGTCTCCCCAAAAAAAAAATAAAATAAAATAAAAAAAAAAAAAAGTCCCCCCACCACCACCAAAAGGAAGACTACAGGTTCAGTATCCCTTATTCAAAATGCTTGGGACCAGAAGTGTTTCAGACTTTGTATATGTTTGGATTTGAGAATACTTGCATATATATAAAATGAGATATGTGGGGGATGGGACCCAAGTCTAAAGACGAAATTCACTTATGTTTCATAGACACCTTCTATTCATAGCCTGAAGGTCATTTTATGCAATATTTTAAATAATTTTGGGCATACAACAGTTTGGACTCATCACATGAGGTTGAGTGTGGGATTTTCCACTTGGGGCATCATACTGGTGCTCAAAAAGTTTCAAATTTTGGAGCATTTTAGATTTAGGATTTTCAGATTAGGGATGCTCACCAGTAAGTGTTATGAAAATATTCCAAACTCCGGCTGGGCATGGTGGTGCCCACCTGTAATCCCAGCATTTTGGGAGGCCAAGGCAGGTGGATCACCTGAGGTCAGGAGTTCACAACCAGCCTGGCTAACATGGTGAAAACCCATCTCTACTAAATACAAAAAAATTAGCCAGGGGTGGTGGTGCATGCCTGTAATCCGAGCTACCTGGGAGGCTGAAACAGGAGAATCGCTTGTACCCGGGAGGCGGAGGTTGCAGCGAGCCAAGATCGCGCCATTGCACTCCAGCCTGGGCAACAAGAGTAAAAACACTATCTCCAAAAAAAAAAAAAAAGTATTCCAAAATCCAAAATCGAAAACACTTCCAGTCCCAAGTATTTCAGATAAGGAATATTCAACCTGTATGAATGTTCCTAGGGAAAAAGAGACAGCCAAAATATAAGACCATGTATAAGAACTAACTTCAGTACACAGAAAGAAAAAAGTACCAGGGGAAGAAGAAAGAGACCGCATTTTAAAACAACTATACAAATTTGAGCTGTAAGAAACACTGACATTTTCTGTAAGCATGCTAGAGCAAATAGGAGAAATTCATAAGACATTTTCTAGAAAATAAAACTAATATAAAAAAACTTATCAAGATTTGTCAAGGAAAAAGAAGAAAAGTTAAATATAATGGCAAGAAAACATTCCTACCAATTTTATTTATCCAGGCATGTCTTAAATATGGCTGTTTGTTACATACAGTGATTCTGCAGACATGTTGACATAACAGTGAAATACATAAATATGTAATGAGAAAAGGCTTAACTGTTGATAAAACAAAGTCATTACAATTAAAGGCTCACCCCTATTAGTGAGTTTTTGGCATTTCCAATTGTAGTCAGGGCACTGAGGTCAAATTTAACTACAAATTTTGCATTGTCTACATTGAACACATGATTCTTAAAAGCCTCATGTTTTATTTCAGAACAGGACTCAGGAAGTTGCAGACTGTGCAGGAGGTTGTTTAGGGCACAAGTCATTTCTCCCAATATTAACTTATAGGCAGTCTCCAAAACAGGAATATTCTTCAAGCTGAGCACTGCTTGATAAACAGCACGGGCTACAGCAACAACCTGAAAAACAAAAAATTCAAGGAAGTGATAAATGGAAAATAAATCTTCTAAAATTATATGGAAAATAAATCACTATCTGTATTAGTGCTGATGATACAAATAAATTTAAGATCGATCAATTCACTGTCTGTAGCATTTAATATTTTAATTTTTTAAAAACCAATCAGAAAACTGACACAGATCAGTATGCTATTTCAAATCTATTAAGTTTTATCACAAATAAAGAGTACTATAAATGAAAACTGTCAATAGGAAATTTCCAAAATGGCCGTTTTTGTTTTTTTTTTTTAATAATCAACATCAAAAGACATATGCAAACAGCAGTTTAAGACTGGGTTTCTTAAATCTACCAGGAAAGTCTGTGGTGGATTTGACTAGGGGGTGGTTGAAAAGCCAGTCATTTTTGTTTACCAAATATACAGTACTTCTTAATTTATAACTTTATAAATGTGTCAACTTGTTTTACCCTTATGAAAATTTAATAAATTTAATAACAGCAAAAGATGCATAGTCTGAAAAGAGTATCTGGCACACCATTCATGAAAGTATTCAGTATGATTATCAAGAAATATAAATTTAAAAGAACAAATACAATCACTATATTCTAAATCAAACATTTCACATTTCACTCAATTTCACTTATATAGCCTGGGGTAAGCAACATTAGGTCCAACTCTTCAGTGACTCAAGTTGTCAAAATTCATTATCAGTGTATTACTTACCTCTTTTTCTTTATGATAACGCAAGAATAGTAGTTTAGATGATGGTATAAACAGTTTTTCTACAAATGATGATGGCAGTTTCGTATTTATCTGTTCAACAATCTAAAAGAATAAAATTTTTAAAAAATGAGCTTCTCAAATTACAAAAAGACATGGAGAAACCTTAAAGGCACACTGGTAAGTGAAAGAAGCCAACTGAAAAGGCTACATACTATATGACTCCAACTACATGGCATTCTGGAAAAGGCAAAACGATGGAGACAGTAAAAAGATCAGGGGTTGCCATGGGCTTAAGATGGGGGGAGGGAGGAGTGGGGAGAGGGAACGAGGAAGGAGTGGGTAGAACATAAAAGATTTTTAGGGAAGTGAAACTATCCTGTATGATACTGGTAATAGGGGAAACATGTCATTACACATGTTAAAGTCCATAGAATACATAACACAAAGTAAACTATAAAATTAGTTAATAATAATATATCAATATTCACTCCTTTGTAATAAATGTACCACACTAACACAATATGTTAATGAGGGGGAAACTGTTGGGATGAAGAAGGTATATGGGAACTCACTGTTTTCTGCTCAATTTTCTGTATATCTAAAAAATGAAGTCTTTTAATTTAGAAAAATATATCTAAGCTATATTTTAAGGCCTTAATACTGTGACATTAAAGTGTTTAGACACCTAAATAGGACACACGTATTTTACAGTTATCATGGGCATTTTTTCACATTAGCAAAGAGAGGTGTAATTCTGGCAGAAATGCTCAGCAGAATGTCATCTAGAATTTGCTGTAAAATAATCTAGTTGGAGATGAAAGGATAGCAAAGAGGCCTAGATGAAACCAGATGGGCCATTTGTTTCTAATTATAGAAGCTGAGTGTTAAATATGTACAAATTTATTATACTATGCTCCCTATTTTTATGTGCTTCAGAACGTCCATAATAAAAGTGGGGGGAGGATATTTATGGTTAAGAAATTAAAGGAGGCCGGCCGGGCGCGGTGGCTCACGCCTGTAATCCCAGCACTTTGGGAGGCCAAGGCAGGCAGATCACGAGGTCAGGAGATCGAGACCATCCTGGCTAACATGGTGAAACCCCGTCTCTACTAAAAATACAATTGTGCCACTGCACTCCAGCCTGGGCAAAAGAGCGAGACTCCGTCTCAAAAAAAAAAAAAAAAAAAAAAAAAATTAAAGGAGGCCAGGCATGATTGCTCACACCTGTAATCCCAGCACTTTGGGAGGGCAAGGCAGGAGGATTACTTGAGACCAAGAATTTAAGGCCAGCCTAGACAATGTAGCGAGACCCCTTCTCTCCAAAAAATATAAAGGTTAGCCAGGCATGGTGGCATGCATCTGTAGTCCCAGATAGTCGGGAGGCTGAGTGGGAGGATCACTTGAGCCCAGGAGTTTGAGGCTGCAGTGAGCTCTGATTGTACCGCTGCACTCCAGCCAGGGGAATACAGCAAGATCCTGTGACCAAAAAAAAAAGAAAGAAAAGAAAAGAAAAAAAGAAAGAATCTGGTGCGTAGAGCAATGTTTCCTCAGAAAAAACGAGTAAAGCTACACTGAGACTAGCTATCAACCACTAAAAATAGAGGCCTGGCAGAGTGGCTCATGCCTATAATCCCAGTACTTTGGGAGGCCAAGGCAGGTGGATTGCTTGAGCCCAAGAATTCAAGACCAGCCTGGGCAACATGGCAAAACTCCATCTCTACAAAATAATATAAAAAATTAGCCAGGTGTGGTGGTGCACGCCTGTAGTCCTAGCTACCTGGGGGGCTGAGGTGGGAGGATCACCTGAACCCAAGAGGTCAAGGCTACAGTGAGCCAAAATCATGCCACTGCACTTCATCCTGTGCAACGGAGTGAGACCCTGTCTCAAAAAAAAAATTGCATTAAAAATAAAAGTAAATAGACACTAAAATGAAAGCATAGATTATAAGACTGATGAATGTACTCTAAAAAAATTATATAATAAAGCAAAGCCCTTATTTTTTTTCTTTTTTGGAGACAGGGCCTTTTTTGTCACCTTGGCTGAGTGCAGTGGCACAATCAGAGCTCACTTCAACCTCAAGTTCCTGGGCTTAATCGATCCTCCTCCATCAGCCTCCCGAGTAGCTAGGACTGCAGGTGCACACCACTACACCAAGCTAATTTTTGACTTTTTGTACAGATGGGGTCTCACTACATTGCCCAAGCTGTGCCAGAATTCCTGGATGCAAGCAACCCTTCTGCTTTGGCCTCCCAAAGCGCTGGGATTACAAGCATGAGCCACCATACCCAGACAAAGCCCTTAATTTCTTACATATCCATTTAAGGGCCTGAATAAACCAACACATTAAAAAGGAAAAGAATAATTCACATACCAGCGTGAGTAAATTCAAGACTGAGATGATATAATCGGTACCACAAGTCTGGCAATTCTCCAGTTGGTCTAATCCATATGTAATGACCATGTCACAATGTATAGTCATGCTAGGATCCAAGCTGCCGAGCAAAACACCAACACGCTCATTAGCAGCTGTCAACACAGCCTCAGAAAAAAACACCTGGTTTGCAGCCGTCACACATCTCATTACTCTGTACAGCACCTGTAAATGGGGAAAACCAGCAGCTTTTTAAAAAAATTCACGTGCTTCCACAAAGCAAGAAAATACTTTTTATTTAATGCAATTTCAACTGAAAATTAACTGCTTGCCTTGCCAGCAGTCTCTTAATATTCTAGTTCTCAGTAGCTGAATAATGATGATACCTTTACTACAATATGTAAACATGATCTTGGCTAAAAAATCCTAAAGTGCTACTATGACAGGAAATGGAATCTGCCATCCTCTATTTCCCACATACCCAACTTCGTTTCTCCCAATGTCACTAAATGGCTGAAGCTCAGAATCTTTATCATGAAATACACCACGACAGTAATGGTATTGACAGCATGGGAATAGCCTGCCCACACATACTACAAGCTAGCTCTTGGGCTTTTGGGAATCAATCTTTCAAAACTGAACATACAAGTCACTTTAAGCTTATTAAAGTTTCTATCTACTGATGGTCTCTTTTGAAAGATAAGCACTCTCATGCTTGCCACATAATATCTTCAAAAATCATATTATTTCCAATACACACACACACAAAATCCCCCACTTAACTATAATAGCCAATAATTGTGTACTAAATTTCTAATAAAATAGGGGAGAAAACAGAGCAAATGTTAAAAAATATTTCTATAATATTTAACAACCAATACATACAGGATTTTATTTAGTCTACCCATAGTTTTCATTAAAAGTATCCTTAGAGGTTGGGCATAGTGACTCACATCTATCATCCTAGCACTTTGAGAGGATTAGCTGGAAGGTTCTCTTGAGTCCAGGAGTTTGAGACCAGCCATGTCAACATAACAACACCTCATCTCTACCAAATTTGTTTCTAAATTAGTTGGGTGTGGTGGCTCACACCAGTAGTCCCACCAACTACTTGAGAGGCTGAGGTGGGAGGATCACTTAAGCCTGGGAGGTCAAGGCTGCAGTGAGCCAAGATCGTGCCACTGCACTCCAGCCTGGGCAACAGAGACCATGTCTCCAAAAAAAAAAGAGTTGGGGGGAGAGGGCGGAGGGGGAAGCATTCTTGGCCATGCATGCACAGTGGCTCATGTCTATAATCCCAACACTTTGGGAGGCTGAGGTGGGAAGACTGCTTGAGGCCAAAAGTTCAAGACCAGCCTGGGAAACACTGAGACCCCATCTCTACAAAAATAAAAAATTAGCAGGAGCTATGCTGGGAGGATCACTTGAGCCCAAGAGATAGAGGCTGCACTGAGTCGTGATGGCACCACCCCACTTTAAAAAGGAAAAAAAAAAAAAAGCTGGGTATGGTGACACCCGCTTGTAGGGCTGAGTGAGGTGGGAAGTTCACCTGGGCCCAAGAGTTCAAGACTACAGTGAGCTATGATTGAACTACTACACTCCAGCCTGGGTGACAGAGTGAGGTTCCAGCTCCAAAAATAAATAAAAAAAATAAAAACCCCACCATTCTACCATTCTCAAAGGCCTAAAAGATCCTCATAAATCAATATACACCTATCCTATAAATTATGTCCCCTTTATTTTATGTCTGAATTAACGGCTTTTTATTTCAACTCTGTACAGTCTTCAAACAACCACCTTTTAGACATTAAAAATGAAGCAAAGATATTAAACCATTTTGAAACCATATTGGTTTAAAATACCGATATGCCGGTTTCATTTATCTTTAAGTTCTGACATTTCTGCTCAAGTACACAACTTACTATATAATCAATATCCTATTTTATTTAGCAACATGTTCAGCAAAAGTATATGCTCCTAAAAGCAAGTTTTATCCTAACGGTAAAATTTTCATCAGTTAGATTAAATTTTTTATGACTGTATCACACATGCTTCTTTCTCCTTATTCAAAGCAGAGTACAATGCCTGGGGTTCATTTCTTGTGTCTTTTCCACTGAACCCTCACTGGATGTGCTATATACAGTGCAGCTAATGTCTGAGGCTGCTGAAGTGTGGCAATCTAGCTACCTCATTTTTAATTTGTTTATGTTCTTTGATATCAGGCTATCAAAGAATATAAAGATACACAAGTTTTCATATGAGTTCCATCTTATGCTCAGAGAAGATTACTTTCTGAGGCTTCTCCTATAGTGTGCTATTCGTAATATGTTGAAAAACTAAAAGGAAACCCAATAATTTAAAAGTAAAATTATAAGAAATATTATTTAAAAATGAAAGAATGAGATTTAAAAATTCAGAGTGGCCTTTTGTCATGGGAGGGTAGGGGAGTTGGATGAAAGGAGGATGAGCTATAACAGGATTCCCTGCTTTTCTGGTTGTTTAAGAAAGCAGTCAGACAATATATACATATATACATACATACATACATGCTAAACAAATGAAGGATTAATAACAGTTCACCTGGTAAAGAGAAGCATTTACAATGTAAAACAATTTTATTTTTGAATGACACTTCAAATGCCCAAAAGCACTTACATCTGTTACGTATGCCTCAGTAATTGGAGGGCCCGAATTGGGCTGAGGCTTTCCCCAGTGCTCCTCACCACAGTACTAAATACCCGGAGAAGCGCAGCCAGCTTTGGTAATGACACTGATGGAGGAGGGACGTCTTCATCCACTGATTCCCCAGAGGCCACATGGCTGAGGTCCTAGATGTGAATTCACAGCATTCTTAATAAGTAGTACATTGTTTAAAAAAACAAAACAAAACAAAAAAAAACTCTAAAATATTTCAATCAATTCATTTTAGAATAGATTTTTAGGCTTTTAGAAAGAGAACTGTGGCCCATGAGAATATTCATGACTCTGAATATAAAAATGGGTTTTACCTAATTATTTCAAAAAGCCAACATTAAACCCAATAGACAACAAATTAAGGAAATAATCTCTTAAATCAACTCAGAAAGCTGTTGGGGAAAAATAAATTCTAGCACATATGCTCTAGTTATATGTAGGTATAAATGAAGACGGAAGCTTTTGCCACTCCTGAATTAGTTTTTGGCTAAAAATCTCATTCTAGGTATTCTTTGAGCCACTCAGCTCAACAGTAAGTCCTCCAAACCAAGAGCATGCACATGAAGAGCAAAGGGAGATTACAAGACCTGGTCTACAGATGTGTAACTGAAGAAGTACGATATATGAAAAGGACAAGATTCGCAAAAACTAGGATACCAGAACCAATGTATACATCTACCTAAAATTAAGCACCAAAATAACAGAAGAGAATGAGATCTTAAGGATAACAAGGGGAAGCATCTCTACAAACTAGAATGTGTGGCTTATGAGAGGTAGATCAGCTTTAAACGTGGGCTGTGAAAAAAGACATTCTAGGTGTGGGGGCAAAGAAAAAACAACGCAGAAGCAAAACATTTCCTTGCTTTTCTAGGAAAGAGTAAACACATCAGTACAGCTAAAGGTACTGAATTCCTGTTGACTACAAGCAGCAAAGATGAAAAAAACAAGATGAGGCCAAAATCTTTATGGGAGCCTTGACTGGTTGATCTGAATAGGGGAGAAACACAAAGAGATTCAGATAAGAGATGGCACAGAGTTAAGCCATGACAGTGGGGCCAGAAAAGCCAAGTACCAGTAACAGAGGCTTCAGCAGCGCTCTTAAAGCTCCTATGCTATATTCGTACAGCCACAAAAGCTGGCTGAAGCCAAGGCTTGTCCTCCAAAGTACGATTCAAGATCTCCTGTACATATGTAAGAGGAAAATCTTTAGGAGCTTTTGGTGTTTTGTGTTTTTTTATAACACAACATCAATTTGCTTTAAGACTCTGAAGACTGGGAACAAAAAATAAAAATAAATAACAAAATATGTCTTTAGAAAAATACCAGCTACCGAGAGTATGTAAAGCTTTGCGAAATACGAAGCTTGCAACGTTTCTTTTAGTCTCTCCAGTAATTCTCCTGGTAACTTAAACACATCTGAAATAAATGTTTAAAATACTGACTGGGCACGGGGGCTCATGCCTATAATCCCAGCACTTTGGGAGGCCGACGCGGCTGGATCACCAGTGGTCAGGAGTTTGAGACCAGCCTGGCCAACATGGTGAAACCCCGTCTCTACTAAAAATACAAAAATTAGCTGGGCGTAGTGGCGGGCACCTGTAATTCCAGCTACTCGGGAGGCTGAGGCAGGAGAATCATTTGAACCCAGGAGGTGGAGGTTGCAGTGAGCTGAGATCGTGCCATTGCACTCCAGCCTGAGTGACAGAGCGAGACTCCGTCTCAAAAAGAAAAAATTTTTCAAAATATTGCAATGGGCTTGTAATTTCTGCTTAAATGTCAGGAGGTCTGAGCCATTTTAAAATAAATCTAGCACAATTTAAGATTTTTTCTTAACCAAAATTTTAAGAAACAGCTTTCTATATACTCACCTCAGCATATGCTTCCATGTCTTCTAGAAACTGACCAAGTAGAGGCGTAGAAAATGCAAGATCAGCTACCCAAAATGGCTCCAAACTCTGCAACCACCCTTGGAATCGCGTAAGAAATTGTGAAAGGGTAGGGGGGAGAAAAAACACCAAAAAATCCAAATTAAAAAATATAAGAGGCTTCTTTTAAAAAGTATCTGGTTTTCAAGCAGCATACCCTAAAACATGTCCTATATCATAAAATTAAGACTGCTAAACATGCTGATCACGATTAACCAATACCTCTTTAATTAATACCTCCTTAATTTCTGCAGAAATTAACAGGTAAATGTTATTTCCTTACTTTTTCAGTAAATTTCATATCTATATTGTCACTACACATGACTTAAGACTAAAATGCCACAATCTACCATTGGCCCGGCTAATCCCAGGGCCACATCTAACCATTAAAGGTGTATACTCATCTCCTCAGTGAAAATGAAACAGACCACTATCACCTGAATATCTTATTTTCAAAAGTTTATTACACCAAGTAAGTTACGAGAAACTATGACACTTGAAACAAGCTGAAATGTGCAAATGAGCCACGCTAGTCATTCACTTAACTCCAAAAAAGTGGGAAACAAAACCACTTCTCATTTATGACAATTCTCCAAATTAACCCTATATTTCCTTTTTTAAAAAAATAACCAGAAAAACAATAAAATGTGACAAATAACTTGGATCTTCCATTGTCCACTTCAGGGTATTGCCACTGCAATATATTCTTACCATATACTTTCCTACCAGTACAAACTACAAATAACTTGGGTAAGTCCTGTCTGTACTTACTCTACCCACCTACTAGTAATTTCCTCTGAAAATATATATTTAGCTAACAAGTCATGTTCATTTACAATAAAACATTTCTCTGAATTAGTTTTCTTGCATTATTAAAGAAATGGTATTGATAGATGGTCACTGGGGGACCACTGCTCCTCCCCGACAGTATTTAAATAACTGGTATAGGCTGCAAGACTTACCAGATACCTGCTGCGTGAGCGAAGGTTTCTGAGTATGATCTCTATGCCATCCAACTAATATACCAACTGTATCCTTGATGGAAACAAAGAGAGAGGGGGCCAATCATTTTAAGATATTACTGCAATCCACCTGTGGACCATTTCACAGCAAAAGATCCTAAAAGGAGCATCTATGTTCTACCTACTTGACATTCTAGAAACTTAGAAAGGGGAGAGGGGCAGGAAAATAAAAGAACTACATTTCTGACAGCAATGAAATAGTTTATTTTCTTCAAATATTTTAAGGTACGAACGTCAGAAAGAAAAATGCGGCATTTAACCCTGGAACCTCAAATATCACTGATTATATTCAAAGGAGCAGAGGCACTGTTTTCCATCTGATTCCTCAGTTCCTCACACACACAACCATCCCCCTCACCCCATGATCTGAACAGCGGAATGAGGAACTCACCCTAAAATTAGTGCTGAAAATATGAGGGTAACATCGAGCCACCAAAAGAATGCACTTAACACATTTGCAAAGCAATTCTGGTGTATCCACATTTTCAAGAATTGACTGCAGGCTGGTCATTACAAGCTTAAAAATAAAAGTTACAAACCGTGAACATTCAACAAAATAGGGAGAAAACAAGCAAATTAGGTTCATTATTTACGAAGTGCCTACATAAAAACCTGAGTATGAGACCAAGAAAAATAGATTCTGTAGTTTTAGTTAAAAAAAAAAAAGAATTGACTTGTAAATCCCAACTGCTTGGGAGGCTGAGACACAAGAATTGCTTGAACCCAGGAGGCAGAGGTTGCAGTGAGCTGAGATTGCACCGCTGCACTCCAGCCTGGGAAATACAGCCAGACTCCATCTCAAAAAAAAAAAAAAAAATTAATAAATAAATAAAATAAATAAACTGAAAATATTTCGCTCCACTAAGCTGTTAAGCTAAAAACAGATACTGTTTTCTCTTCTTCAATGTTTGTTAATATTAGTCCTTTGACATCAGTTAACATTAGTCCTTAATAACATCTGTTTACAATATCCCTAAATGCTCTCTTTAAGATTCTACCTGTGATTAAATTTCAAATACAAAAAAGTAAAATGGATTTGGGAAACTTTTCTATAAAGTACAACAATTACTTTGCAATCCAAAATATAAAGCAAATTTTATATAATTTATGCTTTAGTATATTAGTACTTGCTTCATATTAAAATTAAGGAAGATCAGTATGGCACCACACATGAATAACATGCAGGCTCAGGTTACCATTATACATAAATTTTTAAAATAAATATATGGCAAAAATAAAATAATAAATAACTATTTGTCATTCCATTGAAAGAATATTTATTTTGCAGCTGTTAAAAAACATTTTTCCCTAAAAAAGGAAAAGCTGTGCTTTACATAGCAATCTTATCAAAGAAATGCTAGAATCAGAAAACCATCATTTTAGGCTGGGTGCAGTGGCTCACACCTGTAACCCCAGCACTTTGGGAGGACGAGGCAGGTGGATCACCTGAGGTCAGGAGTTCAAGACCAGCCTGGCCAGCATGATGAAACTCCGTCTCTACTAAAAATATAAAAATTAGCAGAGCACAGTGGCACATGCCTGTAATCCCAGCTACTCAGGAGGCTGAAGCAAGAGAACTGCTTGAACCTGGGAGGCGGAGGTTGCAGTGAGCCGAGATCGTGCCACTGCCCTCCAGCTTGGACAACAGAGCAAGATTACGTCTCAAAAAAAAAAAAAGAGAAAAAGAAAACCATTATTTTGCAATAGCCAATGTTATAATCTACACAGGCACAGACTATCAATGCTAAAAATCATTTAAAAGACATCTTGGGGTAATTACAGAAATTTGAATATAGAACACATATGTAATAAAATTCATTTTCTTAGGTATGATTACAATATTCTTGTTATACAGAAGAAAAACCTTATTCTTGGGAGATGCATACTAAAACATTATGGGGTGAACTGTCATCATGTGTATGGTTTTCAGATGCTCAACAAAAGTGTGTGAGAAAATAAAACTGTGGCAAAATATTAGTAACTGGTAAATCTAGGTGAAGCATATATTATGAAATTATTATCGTATTTACAGGTATTTATTTTACTGGTGCATCTATCTTTCTATGAATGTGAGAATTTTCACAAGAGCTGGGAAAATGTTCATAATTATGCATGCAGAATAAGCCCAAGCTGGTGGCATTCTGTTCAGTTACAGGTAATTTTCTGAATCTTCCCTCAAATTTTTCTCAAACCTCTATAATCAAGGGGAAAATGTTTCATTTTGTTTTGCTTTTTTGAGACAGGGTTGCCTATAATGGAGTGCAGTAGCTTGACCATAGCTCACTGTAGCTTCAACCTCCCAGGCACAAGCGATCCTCCTGCCTCAGCCTCCAAGTAGCTGCGATTACAGGTGCATGCCACCATGCCCAACTTATTTTTTTTCCTTTTTTTTTTTTTTTTGTTTGATAGAAACAGGGTTTCACCATGTTGCTCAGGCTGGTCTCAAACTCCTGGACTCAGGCAATTCACCAGCCTCAGCCTCCCACAGTGCTGGGGTTACAGGAGTGAGCCACCATGCCCAGTTAAAAATACATTTTTTATTAAAAAAAAAAAAAAGAATATTCCTTATATTTCCTTTATATTTTTTAAACTACATACCCAAAATAAAGCATATCAAAAACTGTAAAAAAAAAAAAAAAAAAAAAAAAAACCCTAATATCAGATATTCCAAACACAACAATACCATAATTTAATCACTTAAAATCTTACTCAAAACTAAATCAATGATCTTTTAGGCCAGGTGTGGTGACTCATGACACTAATCACAGTACTTTGGGAGGCCGAGGCAGGAGGATCACTTGAGGTCAGGAGTTGAAGACCAGCATGGCCAACACAATGAAACCCCATCTCTACTAAAAATACAAAAATTAGCCAGGCTAATGGCACACTCCTGCAATACCAGCTACTCGGGAGGCTGAGGCAGGAGAATCACTTGAACCTGGGAGGCAGAGGTTGCAGTGAGCCGAGATTATGCCACTGCACTCCACGCTGGACAACAGAGCAAGACTCTGCATAAAAAAAAAAAAAAAAGAATGATATTTTAATATATTCAGATACACAAATATGAAATACAACTAAGTAGAGCCGGTATTCATTTACACATAATTATCTTATACCATTTGGAATAAGAATTTGGGGCACGTTAGCAAACCAAAAGGCTCAGAAAGAAGTTGTGATATTTAGTTCTTGTCTCCCTCTACAAATGTGAAGCACTCTTCTATCCGGCATTACTAGTGGAGTTCCTATTTTCAACTTTGCAAATTCTGGTCCTAAGCAATCTCAAAAAAAACATTTCTAAAAACCAAAGGGGAAAAAAATCTTTTTTTTTTTTTTTTTTTTTTTGAGACAGAGTCTGGCTCTGTCTCCCAGGCAATGGTGCGATCTTGGCTCACTGCAACCTCGGCCTCCCGGGTTCAAGCCATTCTCCTGCCTCAGCCTCCTGAGTAGCTGGGACTACAGGCGCGTGCCACCACGCCCGGCTAATTTTTGTATTGTTAGTAGAGACGGGGTTTCACCATGTTGGCCAGGATGGTTTCGATCTCTTGACCTCATGATCCGCCTGCCTCAGCCTCCCAAAGTGCTGGGATTACAGGCGTGAGCCACCACGCCTGGCGTGTAAGCCAATTTTTTAGAAGAAATCTCTCCCTCTCTCTCCACATATATGCATATATGTATGTAGCACTGATCCTTGAACAGTGTATCCTTTACTCAAACTGAGAAAGAGGAATTTTTAAAACATATTTCCTATCAGTAGATAACCCCTATTCTATGATTCCCTTCTTCAAGCTCCCCTCCAAGGACATGTGTTAAAGGGACAATTTTCTTCCCAAGTATATCATGCATTTTTTCCCCCTTCATTCTTACCTGCATTACAGATGAAAAGGCTTTCTTTTCTCCTACAGTCTCTAGTGCTTTGTAGGTGGCACATAAGTAGAGGAGTTTAACTTCATCTTTTGCAGATGAGCTAAATTTGCTAAAAATCCACTTGAAGATCTTCTCAGCCTCATAGCTCAGAGAAGCACAAAGAAGGCCGAGACAGCAAGCTCCCTCCTGTCTCAACTCCTGAAGCAATTTGCTACTGTGTTTATTTTAATGCAAACAAAAAACACACACAAAAGGCTTAAGTTTTCTATGATGACACGAGTAATACATCTTACAAAAGAATGTCTTAAGTGGTTTTTTAAATTTCTATTCAAACTACATAAAAGGTTGAAATTTTCTCCACTCTAAATACTACATTCTGTCTAGCCTGCATTGCCCTCAAGTATCTGTCTGACATCACTTTCTTTTTACAAAATCAATTATTTACAAACAGTGAGGGAAGGCCCAAAAATGCTAAATTCCATCTCAAACTGTATTAAATAACTCTCAGAAAAGGGCAGCAACAAATAAGTAGATAAAACACTCTATACATAACTACATTCTACATAATATCCAATATGTAATGACTATAAAATAAAAAATGGTAATAGTTAAATACAGAAACTTAAAAGGATAACAGTAATGATTTACATAGAACTTTAATAAGTAACTCTATAAAACAAAACCATCAAAAGGCACTAAGGTTTATGACCAGCTGAGATAAATTTTGGGTACTTGCCAACACTGCAAATCTTTGGGAATCACCATAACAAAAAATGACCACACACCTCTGGAGACTCTAATAGCCAGAGAATATATGGTTTGGATCCACTCTTACCCAAAGAAGGAAATTCCTTTTTACCTCTATTCTCTAAGCAGTTTCAAATTCTCTTGTTTACAAAAACTAATTTTATTCTTCATGCCTGCATCAAGAGTTTATGCCATTCCATAAGTCAAGACTCAGTTATCCAGTGAGACTAGCAAATTAAAAAAATAAAATATTCCAGCCAGGCACGGTGGCTCATGCCTGTAATCCCAACACTTTGGAAGGCTAAGGTGGGTGGATCACCTGAGGTCAGGAGTTCCAGACCAGCCTGGCCAACATGGTGAAACCCTGTCTCTACTAAAAATACAAAAATTAGCTGGCAGTTGTGGTGCACGCCTGTAGTCCCAGCTACTCGGGAGGCTGAGGCAGGAGAATCACTTGAACCCGGGAGGTGGAGGTTGCAGTGAGCTGAGATCGCACCACTGCACTCCAGCCTGGGCGACAGGGTGAGACTCCGGCTCAAAAAATAAATATTCTTTTCAAGTGGATTCCATTTGTATTCAACCGTAATTAACACATAATTAATGCAGATAAAAATGACAAGACCCACTGAAATGTCAATAAATGTTCATAAACAAAGCCAGTGGGTTTGTCTTCTTGTGTATTGTTAAGTAATTTCTAAAAATATATTTTAAAGTCATTTAAACCGAACCATTATTAGTTACTTACCTTTCATTAAGCACATCATGTACAGCAGCCAAGATATCCAATTGTTTAACTAGTACCTTTAAAAGAAAACACATTTATAAAAACTTCAAATTCCTATACTTTTAAGAATAGCATTGTGTACTTTTTTATTTGTCTTCCCTCCAAATTCTAATTCAACAGTACTTTACTTTCTTTATTATTCCCACTCCCCAATGAGCATGTATCAGGAATGTCATGTTTCCTTTCAGCCTATGAAAGAAATTCACCCACTGGAAACATAGAGCTGTGACCATCAACAAAAAAATAAACTCAAAAAGCTTGTTTCATTTACTTTGAAATCCATTTGAAAAATTGACTGACGGATGGAGGGATAGATGGAGAGATATGTGACAAGGCAGTATTTAGGGTAAAATGTTAACGACAAAAATTAGATGATGGGTTTAACAGATTCAATGTCAAATTCTTTCAACTTGCTATATATTTGAAACTACTCATAATAAAATTTGGAAGGAGGAGAAACTTGCTTTGATCCAAGTGTCATCTGCCTCACTAGACCATTTTCATTAATTTTCTCCTGCTCATTGTCAAGTTCTTTTTTTTTTTTTAAGATGGAGTTTCACTCTTTTCGCCCAGGCTGGAGTGCAATGGCGTGATCTCAGCTCACTGCAACCTCCGTCTCCTGGGTTCAAGCGATTCTCCTGCCACAGCCTCCCATGTAGCTGGAATTACGGTCATGTGCCACCACACCCAGCTAATTTTGTATTTTTAGTAGAGATGGGGGCTTCACTATGTTGGGCAGGCTGGTATCGAACTCCTGAACTCAGGTGATCCACCCACCTTGGCCTCCCAAAATGCTGGGATTACATGCATGAGCCACCACACCTGGCCCATATCAAGTTCTTAATTGGTGTAAAGAAAGTGAAGAAAAAAATTTAACCCTTCCTATACTTTGTTACATTTCTGTTGTTGTTTTAAGAGACAAGGACTCCCTCTGTCGCCCAGGTTGACATGCAGAGGTGTGATCATATCTCACTGCAACCCTGAATTCCTGGGCTCAAGTGATTCTTCCACCTCAGCCAGGTGTAGTGGCACATGCCTGAAGTCCCAGCTACTCAGGAGGCCACAGCGGGAGGATAGCTTGAATCCAGGAGTTTGAGACTGCAGTGAGCTATGACTGTGCCACTGCACTCCAGCCTGGGCGACAGAGCAAGATCTTGTCTTTAAGAAGAAAAAGAAATTACATATTAGAGAGCATTAAGTTCTTGATCATCATAATACAGACTTTCCCCATTCTTAAACTACTCAAGGTAGCATTACCTAGTTTATTATGGAAACACAAAAATCCTCATATTTCCAAACATACTATACTTACCAGCTTATTTTCTGGTTGCTGAATAAATTCTTTCAACTGCTTTACAGTAGCCAATCTTCGGTCTCGGTCGTTTTCCCGGGTGATCCTCCGAAGAAGATATGACAGTCGAGACTCATCACAATAAGACATCGATCTCTCTGTGAATATATAAACATTTTGTTGTCCACTGAGTATAAATAAGCAAAGGAAATTTTAAATTTTAAAATAATTTTAAAATTTTTAAAATTAAAAATTATTTAAATAATAATTAAATTATTATGGGGGCTCATGCCTGTAATCCCAGTACTTTGGAAGGTGGGTAGATCACATGAGTTCAGGAGTTTGAGACCAGCCTGGGCAACATGGTGAAACCCTGTCTCCACAGACACACAAAAAATTACATAAACTAGCCAGCCAAGGTGGTGTGCACCTGTAGTCCCAGCTACTCGGGAGGCTGAGGCAGGAGAATCACTGGAGCCCGTGAGGCGGAGGTTGCAGTGAGCCAAGATCACCCCATTGCACTCCAGCCTGGGTGACAGAGCAAGACCCTCTCTCAAAAATAAAATTACATCAAAAGTCACAGTCCACTGGTCAATAAAAGCTCAGGGAATATAGGTCCTATCGCTCTTTTGTTCAACTCTGTATTCCAAATCCCAGCAGAGTGCCTGGCACATAACAGACCCTCAAAAAAATATTTGCTGAAGGAAACAAGAAATGAATAACCCTAGGCCAACTGAACACCTCATTCCAGAGGACTGGCTGGGAGAGAAAAAAGAAAGGCCTTAGTAACAACTTTCTTTGGGTCCATTCCAAACTGTTTTCAACATGCAGGTAAAGAGCCCGGGTGTAGGTAAATTAAACAACTTCCAAGGGGTATGGATAAAGTCTCAATCGAGTAAAAACAGGATATAGGCTTCTACTTATCATCTAGGTATCCCACTGGAGGAAAGCCTCTTATTCACATTATCATCATTTCCCTGGGATGAAGTTTTGGGGAGCCATAATCACACATTTAGTTCAACAAATGTCTAATTATCATCTACCACATGCAAGGCATGCCTCCACTAGAAAGGTAGCAAACCACAACTTTTCTCCCTTTATTTTTTAATCACAAGAACAAGCAAACAATAGTGAATACTATTAGTATATTAACGATGCCTTTAAAAACTAGATTTTTGCTGGGCGAGGTGGCTCTTGCCTGTAATTACCCAGCACTTTGGAAGGCCAAGGCAGGCAGATCACTTGAGCACAGGAGTTCGAGACCAGCCTTGGCAACATGGTACAACCCCATCTCTACGAAAAATACAAAAATTAGCTGGGCACAGTGGCACATGCCTGTAATCCCAGCTACTCAGGAGGCTGAGGTGGGAGGATCGCTTTAGCCTGGGAAGCAAAGGTTGCAGTGAAATCACACTAGCGCATTCCAGCCTGGGTGACAGAGCGAGACTGTCTCAAAAAACAAAACAAAACAAAAAACTCAATTTTTGCAAAACATTTTCAACTGTGCTATTTACCATAATTAGCCAATACATACGTAAACAACAAATCACAAAGGGTCTGACAGTTTCATTTCTAAGGTATGAGAAAAAATTGATAATAAAAGAAACCAGAAGGCTGGGCATGGTGGCTCACACCTGTAATCCCAGCACTTTGGGAGGCCGAGGAGGGCAGATCACGGGGTCAGGAGTTGGAGACCTGCCTGGCCAACATGGTGGAACCTCGTCTCTACTAAAGATACAAAAAATTAGCCGGGCGTGGTGGCACGCTCCTGTAATCCCAGCTACTCGGGAGGCTGAGGCAGGAGAATCACTTTAATCTGGGAGGTGGAGGCTGCAGTGACCTGAGATCGCGCCATTGCACTCCAGCCTGGGTGACAGGGAGATACTCCATCTCATAAATAAATAAATAACTACAAGGGGGAACAACACACACTGGATCCTTTTGGAGGGTGGGGGGTGGGAGGAAGGAGAGGATCAAGAGAAACAACCAATGGGTACCAGGCTTAATACCTGGGTGATAAAATAATCTATACTACAAACCCTCATGACACAAGTTTACCACTGTAACAAATCTGCACTTGTATCCTGAATTTAAGTTAAAAAAAAAAAAAAAAAAAAAAAAGAAACTACAATGACTGAGAGAAGAATAGGATTTTTACAAATCCGTAGCCCATAGAGTATTTCAATAAGGACAGATACCAAATATGTCATCAAGTTACCAGCTGGGAAATTAGGCTCTACTTACAATTCTGTCACTAGCAAACTACATGACCCTGAGCCTTTGAAGAAGAGGAATTCTCTACTGAACTACTTTAGAATCGCTGTTTAGCTTCTATAATATCATAAGTCTAAGGCTTCAAACACTCTATTTTAACAAACAGCATACATAGCCTTTGAATTCATTCCACTTGTGAAAACATAAAAAGAAATCAGTTTTTTAAAAGTTATATACCAACAATAAAAGCTACAGGCACAAAGATTTTCACCAAGATACACGAAGCACACACACAGTATAAAAAATAAAAAAAAAAAGTCAAAAACTAAACGTCCAAAAAGTAATTACATCTGACAAAGCCCATAACTCAGCTTTACCGATAAGTTTCTCTTTAAGGAAAAAAATTATCATTACCTCTAATCCTCTGAACTTTCTTTTTTGTTGTTGTTTTTTTGAGACGGAGTCTCGCTCTGTCGCCCAGGCTGGAGTGCAGTGGCGCACTCAGCTCACTGCAAGCTCTGCCTCCCGGGTTCACACCATTCTCCTGCCTCAGCCTCCCGAGTAGCTGGGACTACAGGCGCCCGCCACCGCGCCCAGCTAATTTTTTGTATTTTCAGTAGAGACAGGGTTTCACCGTGTTAGCCAGGATGGTCTCGATCTCCTGACCTCGTGATCTGCCCGTCTCGGCCTCCCAAAGTGCTGGGATTACAGGCGTGAGCCGCTGCACCCGGCCAATCCTCTGAACTTCCAAGGCACTCACCTATACAGTGAGGCTATGTCATAAGGCAGAAATGCTATCAGTGTATTTAACTTTAGAAAAGTGCCCACTCAAGGCAGGGCCCGGTGGCTCACGCCTGTAATGAGCACGTGTGATCACTTGAGGTCAGGAGTTCGAGACCAGCCTGGCCAACATGGTGAAACCCTGTCTCCACTAAAAATGCAAAAATCAGCTGGGTATGGTGGTATGCACCTGTAATCCCAGCTACTTGGGAGGCTGAGGCATGAGAATCACTTGAACCTGGGAGGCGGAGGTTGCAGTGAGCAGAGATTGCAGCACTGCGCTCCAGCCTGGGTGACAGAGCAAGACTCTGTCTCAAAAAAATATATTGAAAACAACAACAACAAAAAAACCAGAAAAGTACCCACTCTAGGGGGCGGGGGGAAGGAGAGCATCAGCAAGAATAGCTTAATGGATGCTGGGTTTAATACCTAGATGATGAGATGATCTGTGCAGCAAACTACCATGGCACACGTTTACCTACATAACAAACCTGTACATCCTGCACATGTACCCTGAACTTAAAAGAGAGAAAAAAAAAAAAAAAAGACAGAAAAGTACCCCCTCTCTACATATATCTATATCCTCCACAGGCCCAAGAGTTCAAGGACTTGCTGTAGTAGGAGCCTACTATGCACTATACATTCAATATCCACGATAATTGGGTAAACCTTTTCTGTAAGATCTTATCCAGTCTTCTAATCTTGTTTTAAGAGAATTCTCTTTTAAAATGTACTATAGCCTTTCTAGTGGGAAATTAACAATTCACAGGAAAAGAATGTAAACAATTTTTACCTGCACAGTAGACTAATCAACTTATGCCTTTGCAAGGCATTAGTAAGAGGCATCCAGAATAAGAGGAGATACAAGTCTTTGGAAGGTGTATGTGATTGGTCCCCGTTTTCCCAGCCTTACCCTGTGATTTCCTCATGTCTTTGGTGGCTAAAGCACAACTGCCATGCTGAACACTGGTGAACTCAGGGCTGGTCACATTGTTAACCCTCAGCTCTTGCCCCAATGACTTCCGACCATAAGTATTTTCCCCAGATCCCCCATTGACACCGTAGCCACCTACAAACAGCCATGTGTACGTCATTTAAATATGATTGTTCGTTTCATTCAGTCAATTTCCTGATAGCTCAGGATCTTATGACTCAATCTGCAGCTCAACCAGCCTTTGCTTCTCCTACCTTTTTCCTGTACTGTCTGCCTTGAAAATCATTTTCATTTCTTTTAATACACCTTTGAAGTTAAATTAATTTTATTTTGATCCCTTCATTGGAAAATAAGCAAAGAAATGAAAACTAAATTAAATCAAATTTTGCACCTTGTTTTAAAACTTTCTTGAAGTTTAGAGACAGTAGCCAAGAGGAACTTCAACCTTAGCTAAATATTTTTGAAAATAAAAACAAAAATAGTATTGTATCTTTTTTGTAAGAAAACTGCATTGATGAATTATGTATGGAAAAATTTTAAATTTTAAAAATAATAAAGTGGATAAACGTCCTATGAAGTTTTCAGAAATAACACTGCATTTGTTATTCATATTTTAAATATATTAGAAGAAAGTGAGAAAGTTGGGGGTGTAAGAAGGCAGGAAGGTGGGATAGGTAGGTTCAAAAAACATGCTTGTAGCAATAAGAAAATATATATACCCTTTTCGTCATTCTGTATGTCAGCGTGGACTCTGGTATCATCGTGCCTTTGCCGAGACACCACAGCTGAATTTGAAGGTTGCAGTCCGTAAGAGGAAGAACCACCTCTATCTCTGGATGAAGAATATTTTAAATTACCTGGGTCGGCTGATGCACTATCAGTTCTATAAAAAGAGAAAAGTTTAAGATTAGAACTTTAAATAACATAAATAAATCTTTCTTTAAACAAGCCTCTCTTCTCCCAAATTTTACATTTAACCATTACTATTGTATTTAGTGTAATATGCACTATATATTATATGTAAGCACTCAGCCGTCTAATAAGAAGTCTTTCACTGGGAAGAGAGTCTCAATGGATGAAATGCCAACTTTTCACTCTCTTCTACTGTTCTAAAGACCCATTCAGAAATATGAATAACTACTGGGATTAGGGTGACTTTGCTGGTTTTAGCATTGAAAGTCTCCTGTTCCAGGCAAAACAGGACAATTGGTTACTCTGGTCCAGTGTTCTCCTCACATGACTTGATAATAAGAATAATTCTTTCTAATTCTCCCCCATGGAGACGGTTAATCAGTCAAAACATTTCAGCCTTTCCTGTCATAAAAATAAAAAACACTGGCAGCATGTCAGGGACGGGCAATGTCTTACCAAGTTATTTTCTAAGTACTGATTAGGTACTGTAGTATTGAAGACCCCATTGAAGATGCCTTAATTGTAAAGAGTAGCAATCAAAATTTTAAAAAGTAAAAAAGAAGACATTTTAAGAAAATAAAAGGTATCAGAAATGCAATAAAGTTATATCAGAAAGTTGTAGTTCGTAATCTATTTAAAATTCAGGTACTGTTTAGAATAATACCTGATGCTTATTAGTAAACAAGTAGGGTACAGCCAAGGGTAAAAGTGTGTCCTCATCTAAGTATCTGCTCTATGCTTCAACTGCCTCATAAGTAAAACAGAGCTGAGTTACAAGACTTCTCATGAGTGTTACTCTTTCAGCCATCAATCATAAACTATCAAGAAAGAAGACAACAAAATAATCTGTTATAGCATATGAAAAATCCAAGTAAGTTCTTCCCCTACTGATTTTCTCCTGAGAGGAACAATTTTGAGGAAAAGAAAAAGAAAAAGAAAAAGAAAATCACTTCTATGATATTTACTAAAAATGCTTTCTCAACCTTTTAGAACCTGAATCTTTTAGAAAAGTTTAGGACACTGGCAAGGCCAGAAACTAACCTATTCCTCTACGCTTTGCCCCTCCCTCTATGGTGTAAAAGTGACAGCAGTGTTTGTATACTGTATATATTTCGTTTAGAGTTTATTAGTCTTTCCTTGCTCCCAAAAATACTAAACATAAAACTTTGCATGAGCTCAATCAGTTGGACACCTTGATCTGCACTTACTGCAATCACTGTTAATACAGAATGCAGACAATAGGTCCAATTAAACTTGGATATCTAACTGGTACAAGTCATTACTTATAAAGGATCTCAATCTGAAACTTCATGAAATTCAAAACCTAGCATACTAAAATGACTAAGGCTCCATAAGGAGTATCTTCTAATATTCAGAGTTCACTTATTCATAAAGCTAAGTACTTCGAACATAAGGGAAAATAAAATCTATGGAATTTCAAGAAAAATGTATGAGAATATTTTCTGAGTATACTAAGTCTATAAGCATTAAAATATTAACTCAATGGACCATAACTTTTTTAAACTAATGAAAAGACATTCCTTATGTACCTAAAAATAGCACATTTAACATGCGTCTATATAAATCATAGCATACCATTACTTTCTGAAAGGAGACTGAAACGTAAGAGAGCTTATAATCTTTTCTGACAGGGTTTGAACTTTATATGTATGCCACAGTAAGCTCTTATTAGATGAGCGAATAAAATAAGCACTTGACTAATTCAGAAACACAAAGATAACTGAAGTCTGCCAATATTTAAACGTATCTTCACTTCCTGTTTTCATCATGTTTACTTATCTCCTACACTACCTTTACTATTAAGAGTTAAATGTTTGTATCATTTTCTGGTGACACAGTAGTACCATAAGGCAGCAGAGAATACAAGTTAAAAAAAGATCTGGGCTCAAATCCCAGCTCCAGCACTGAAAAGTATGTGTGCTTTTGCACAAATTACTTGATCTCCAAGCCTTGGTTGTCTCTTGCATAAAATGAGGATGATACCTATCTAACATGTAAGGTTGTTGTGAGGCTAAAATAAGATAATGAATTATAAAGAAACACTTAGTTTGCAGGGTATGTTAAAAGTTGTTATGACCATAATACAAAATAAACTCAAAGTTTCCAGTCTAAAAGACAATGTACAAACAGTTCATGAGTATATGAATATAATCAAAACAAGTTTTTACAGTCAATATAGAGCAACTTAAATACTTCACTGAAGAAAGCAGGTAATCTGTTGCTACCAACAATGTGTTTCCAACTAGGAAGCATCTGATTTCAAACTAAACTGTAAAACCAGGAGCAGCTTCCCCGTTGGTTAGAAATAAGGTTTCTAAATCCCCTAAGTTATGAACACTGAGATTTTTTTCCCAAAAAAAATCTGTGTTTTCAGAAATATAACAAAAAAAACTGGAATAGAGCCACCGTCTCAGAAATACCTCAAAACTCCCTAGTTGCCAAATTATTTTAATACAAATTGATCAAAGCATCCCCAACCAGAACTCAGGTTGTAAGCATTCTGAACCTAAAAGCACAAAATGGTTTAGCATTTATAAGAAATTTCTATTTTTATACAATCTTGACTGCTTAGGTTTCAAAAAATGTCAATGTCAGGCTGTTAGCACCAACAAGATCATCCCAGTCCAATAAATAGAGAACTGTTGAAGAACGGAAATGAGCACTTAAAATGAGGCAATCAAAGCCACAAAATAGAAACTGCAGATTTGAACTCCAAGAAGCAGGCATGAATGTTAGGCTAGTTAGTTAGAAGAGCTGAAAGGGATATCATCTGCCAGAATTAGTGTCTCAATTTAGTGAAAAAAGAAAATCTATCTGTTAAGTCTAAGAATCCTAGCAAGGAACCAAAAATACCTCTACAGCCCCTTTAATATTCTAAAAATATCATGGAGAGAAAAAAAAAGAAATGCATAAATTTCCCCAAAACGATCAAACTGAAGTTAAAGCCTGATGTACATGCCACATGAGAGGTAAGTTTCTAAAGCTCATACCTCAAAAATCGCCTTTGTGATGTTGTGCATCAAGTCAATCTGTAAGACAGTAGTTACAATATTAGTGAAGACAGTGGGTTAAAACATTTGTTGTTCAAACATGGAGCAAATATCATTCATGAGTTAGGTGCCTTTAGTTGAACTATGGTCCCATTAGGGTTCATACATTAAAGCAAAAATTGAGGTGGAAAGACACTCTGTGCCTTACAGGATAAAGAGGCTTAATGTGGCAACCAAAAAAATTTTAGTACATAAGAGAATTTAAATGTTAACTATCACATACAAATCACATGCAAATACAGTTACCACTTATTTTAGTTACCTATTCTCAATATACAGAAAAATGCCACAAATCTAGGAGGCCATTCGTTTCAAATGACCGGAATCCTTAGACCTCACACCAACAAGCCACCATGTGCTGGGGATGGTATCGCCTGACTAAATGTAGCCTTGCAGTCCATTCTTGTAAGTATTAGAGAGAAAAAGAGAGAGAGCGTCATCTCTGGAAAGTGTGAAGTCAGGGAATTCCCTACTAGGAAGCATTTCCATAAAGCACCCCAAAATGACTTGATGCAAACACCACACCTAGTGGTGTCACTGGAGTAAGCATCATATTACTTCAAATTGCTTTTACCTAGGTTTATTAAGGGATTTTGCTCTCATGGTGAGATCTAATTTGTAATGGATATAAACCAGGAAATGAGATTTGCACTAAAGCCAATGAAGTAGGAATGTACTTATTCTCTAAAGCAGCAAAGATAGTCTCACTGTCACAGAGCAGTTATAGGATATGTTGCTTTCCATACTAATGGTTAATACCACTTGGAAATGATTTACCCTTCAAAAATAAATTCAAGGTTTTCCCCTGTAATGCCTCTTGCCTGGATTCAAACATGCTTTAATGAGGAATAAGAGAAACGGTGAAACTATGAATAACCCTGGGCCTTGTATCATTACATTAGAAACACTGCTCTAAATATGAGTCTATGGCTAAAATATTAATTTGAGAGGCTCAGGGAATTTATTATACAAATCTCTTCTTGCAGAGAACTTTTAAGTTCAAATTTAATAAAACAAAACAGAACCATTCCATGTCAAAATTGTAAATGAGTATGCATCAGTTTTGCAATACTGAAATATTAAATTAATATAATTTATTGGTAAAACTACCTTAGCTACCTAAGTATTAAGTGTCTATAATAACCAAATCTTAATTATCCATTTATGGGTGATTTGTTTCCTTTTTTGAGACAGGGTCTCACTCTGTCACCCAGGCTGGAGTGCACTGGCATGACCATAGCTCACTGCAGCCTCGACCTCATGGGTGCAGCCTCGACCTCATGGGTTCAGCCTCTCAAACAGCTGGGACCACAGGTGCATGCCACTCCATTTAGCTAATTTTTTATTTTTATGTTTTTTGGAGACAGGTGTCTGATTATGTTGCTCAGGCTGCTCTCAAATTCCTGGACTCAAGCAATCCTCCCACCTCAGCCTCCCAAAATGCTAGGATTAGAAGCATGAGTGACCACATCTGGACTGTCACCAATTTTTAACTGTCTGTCAACTAAACAGCCAATATAGACTGATAAAATATATTTAACTATTGTAAAATTGTAAAGAATTGTATCTTCACCAAGGAGAGGTCTGGCTTTTACCTGTGAATTCTGGAAGGTAATCTCTAAACTCTTGAAATGTCATACCTAATAAGAGGGTCCTGGCCAGGAGCAGTGGCTCACACCTGTAATCCCAGCACTTTGGGAGGCCAAGGCGGGCAGATCGCTTGAGGTCAGGATTCTGAGACCAGCCTGGCCAGCATGGTGAAACCTGTCTCTACTAAAAATACAAAAATTAGCCAGGCATGGTGACGGGCACCTGTAATAATCCCAGCTACTCAGGAGGCTGAGGTTTCAGTGAGCTGAGATCATGCCACTGCACTCCAGCCTGGGCAACAGAGCAAGACTATCTCCAAAAAAAAAGGGGGGGGGGGGCGGCGGTGGGGGAAAGTGTCCTTGTTCATCTGGGGGCTTTAGGCCACAGCACAGTCTAATAATGTGGCTTATGGTGGGGGCTTTGAGTCACATGGATCAGCTTGGCCTCCAGTGGGGCTGGAGACTAAGGTTAGCCACATGGGCATGCAACCATGGAACCCCAGTAAAAACGCTGGACATAAAAAATAGAGTGAGCTTCCCTGGTTGGCAATAATCCATGAGTATGGTCGCACACCAGTGCCACCAGGAAGGTGTCATTTTTCACAACTCTACAGGGACAGGACAATTAGAAACTCCAACATTTGGAACTTCCCCGAACTCTGCCCTATGCACCTCTACCCTTGGCTCGTTCTAATCTGAATCCCTAAACTGCAATAAACTCTAACCATGGGTATGAGAGCTTTCAATGAGTTCTAGTGAGTCCTCCTGGCAAATCATCCAACCTAAGAGTGGTCTTGGCCAGGCACAGTGACTCAAGCCTGTAATCCCAGCACTTCGGGAGGCCCAGGCAGGCGGATCACTTCAGCTCAGGAGTTTGAGACCAGCCTGGCAATATGGTGAAACTGTCTCTAAAAAATATAGAAAAACTAGCCAGGCGAGGTGGTGTGTGCCCACAGATCCAGCAACTCAGGTGGCTGAGGTAGGAGGACTGCCTGAACCTGGGAGGGAGGAGTTCAGGGCGCAGTGAGCCGTGATCATGCCACTGCACTCTCACCGGGGTGACAGAGAGAGGCCCTGTCTCAAAAAAAAAAAAGAGTGGTCTTGGGAACCCCCAAACTTGCAACTAGTATTAGAAGCAAGGGTCATCTTATGGACTGGACTCCCTCTTACTCTGCACTCATATTTAAAACCATTAAATATACTGTAGCTCAAAAAAAGTTGCTTGTTTGTTTTGAAAAAGGGTCTCACACTGTCGCCCAGGCTAGAGTGCAGTGGTGCAATCCGAGCTCAAGCAAACCTCCCACATCAGCCTCCCAAGTAGTTGAGACCACAGGCTTACTCCACCACGCCCAGCAACTTTTGTATTTTTTTGTCCCATTCTCTACAACATTCCCAAAATGTTGCCCAAGCTGGTCTCGCACTCCTGAGCTCAAGTGATCCACTCACCTCAGCCTCCCAAAGGGTTGGGATTACAGGCATAAGCCACTGCACCCGGCCATAAATTTTGTTTTTTAATAACATTTCCAGCAAACATGATAAAGATTTGACTTCAGTGTTGCTTATTTTCCTTCCAAGGAACCTCTAATATTCTCTACTTTCAGAACTCCAATCAAATTAGCCAGAAAGAGCAAACGAAGCCAATAAATCCAGGAGGGCAATAGATCTGATTTTAACCCTTGTTTCACATGCACAATTGTCTTCAGAGAAAAGCTGAAGAAAGTACCCCCTCACCTCCATGCCCCAATGCTCCTTTTCTCTGACTTCAAGTGGGCCTCTGATGCTGCCCACATTTCCCTCACCAGGTTTCTTTCCTTTCCAAAACATCTGTAAAACTTTCTGCACCTTTTTCCTTCTCCCACCACTACCAGTGGATGACCTTATAGATTTCTGCTCCATGAGAAACAGAAGCCATTTGACAGCACCCTCAGCAAGAGCTAACATTTTAGCTCCTAACAAGAGCTAGTGGGCAACTGATCCAAGCAGTTTACATATGTTTATCATGTCATTTCGTGTTCAACACAATCCTATTAGTTATAACTTGATAACTAAGGTTTCATAACTGGCCTATGGTTGCACAGCTTGCAAAAGGCAGAGTCAGAACTCAGACCCAGTACTGTCTAATGTTTGAGCTCTTCAACACTCCATCACTGCCTGTCATCTTCCTTCTAATATATCCACAAATTCACCTGCATCTGCACATACAGCTTTTCTTCCCATCATCTTCGCATAATGGAACAAATAAACCTCCTATCCATAGAAATCATCTGTCTATTCCCCCCATTTTCCAAGGTATGTCTTGTCTTTTTTTTTTTGCGATGTAGTCTCGCTCTGTCGCCCAGGCTGAAGTGCAGTGGCGTGATCTCGACTCGCTGCCTCCCGGATTCACGCCATTCTCCTGCCTCAGCCTCCCGAGTAGCTGGGACTACAGGCGCCCACCACCACGCCCGGCTAATTTTTTGTATTTTTAGTAGAGACGGGGTTTCACCATGTTAGCCAGGATGGTCTCGATCTCCTGACCTCGTGATCCGCCCACCTTGGCCTCCCCAAAGTGCTGGGATTACAGGCTTGAGCCACTGCACCCGGCCTGTTTCTTTTGTACGTTGCAAAATCTCCCATTTTACTACTGCTTATCACATCATCAACATATGAGCACTCTCAAAAGTCTTACTTTAAAAAAAACAAAAACAAAAACAAAAAATGGCCGGGCACGGTGGCTCATGCCTGTAATCCCAGCACTTTGGGAGGCGAAGGCAGGCAGATCATAAGGTCAGGAGATTGAGACCACCCTGGCCAACACGGTGAAACCCCGTCTCTACTAAAATAGAAAAAATAAAATTACCTGTGCGTGGTGGCACGCACCTGTAGTCCCAGCTACTTGGGAGGCTGAGGCAGGGGAATCATTTGAACCCGGGAGGCAGAGCTTGCAGTGAGCCAAGATCGTGCCACTACACTCCAGCCTGGTGACAGAGCGAGACTCCGTCTCAAAAAAAAAAACTAAAGGCCGGGTGCGGTGGCTCACGCTGGTAATCCCAGCACTTTGGGAGGCCAAGGTGGGTGGATCATGAGGTCAGGAGTTCAAGACCAGCCTGCCCAATGTAGTGAAACCCCGTCTCTACTAAATATACAAATATCAGCCAGGCGTGGTGGCGGGCGCCTGCAATCCCAGCTACTCAGGAGGCTGAGGCAGGAGAATCGCTCGAATCCGGGAGGCAGAGGTTGCAGTGAGCCGAGATTGCACCATTGCGCTTCAGCCTGGGCGGCAGAGAGACTCCATCTCAAAAATAATCATAATAATAATAAAATAAATTTAAAAATTAAGAAAATAAGGCCGGGCACGGTGGCTCACGCCTGTAATCCCAGCACTTTGGGAGGGCGAGGCAGGCAGATCATGAGGTCAGGAGTTTGAGACCAGCCTGGGCAACATAGTGAAACCCCGTCTCTACTAAAAATACAAAAAATTAGCCGGGTGTGGTGGTGGGCGCCTGTATTCCCAGCTAGTTGGGAGGCTGAGGCAGGAGAACTACTTGAACCCCGGAGGCGGAGGTTGCAGTGAGCCGAGGTCACGCCATTGCACTCCAGACCGGGCAACAGTGTGAGACTCTGACTCAAAAAAAACAAAAAACAAAAAAACCCTTTAACTGCCTTTCTCCCTCTATCAATCTAATAGCCTGGACTCTTCACAGACAAACCTGTTGAAAAATTTATCTTCCTTGCCTTCATTTACTTTTTAACCCACTTTAATCTGGGTTCCACCTGCAACACACCACTGAAGCTATTCCTACTAAGGTAGGAACTGCCACTCAAGGCCTTCTTGGCTCTAAAATCCCATGAGCCTTTTTCAGTTCACCCTACAATTTCTCAATACCACTCTAAAGTTTATGAGTTTTTTAGTTAACTTTAATCCAGTGACTCTTTCTACTTTATCCCAATCCAAGTATTCTCCTCCTTCTTCACTTCATTTTTTTTTTTTTTTTTTGAGACAGACTCTGACTTTGTTGCCCAGGCTGGAGTATAGTGGTGCAATACTGGCTCACTGCAACCTCCACCTCCAGGTTCAAGCGATTCTCCTGCCTCAGCCTCCCAAGTAGCTGAGATTACAGGCCCCTGCTACCACACCCGGCTAATTTTTGTATTTTTAGTAGAGACGGGGTTTCACCATGTTGGCCAGGCTGGTCTCGAACTCCTGACCTCAAGGGATCCACCCGCCTCGGCCTCCCAAAGTGTTGGAATTACAGGCGTGAGCCAACGTGCCCGGCCCCTTCTTCACTTCTTTAACCAGCTTAGATTTCATTGTGTATCATTTCAACAACACTCTTGCCTATACCCTTAACTCTTAAGATTCTCATCACACCCATCTGGCAAAACCCCAATCCTGGATAAACCCAACGATCCATCAATAAGCACCACACTCCCAGGTCCTCCAGTGTTTACTTCCCATTCTATACATGCACTATCCAGACATTCCCATTCTCTTCAAATTCCAAAATATCCTATCACCTCCCCTCCCCATACACACATTCTACTTCACCAACAAGAAAAAAGGTACCAGCTGGGCACAGTGGCTCACGCCTGTAATCCCCGCACTTTGGGAGGCCAAGGCGGGTGGATCACTTGATGTCAGGAGTTGGACACCAGCCTGGCCAAAATGGTGAAACCTCATCTCTACTAAAAATACAAAAATTAGCTGGGTGTGGTGGTGCGCACCTGTAATCTCAGCTACATGGGAGACTGAGGCAGGAGAATCGCTTGAACCCAGGAGGTGGAGGTTGCAGTGAGCCAAGACTGCACCACTGCACTCCAGAGCCTGGGCAATAATAAGAGCGAAACTCCGTCTCGGGGTGGGGTGAGGAAGATACCATAAAATACCTGTACCCGATTCTAGACCTTACTGAGGATTCCATCTACTTCCACCTTACTGTAGCTTTTCAAATACTTTTCCCACTGAACTAAATCCCCCCCATAAACATGCAACACTTTCTAATGTATTCCATTGAAAAATACAAAAACATATAAAAAGGAAAAACTCCATCAATCCCACACGTCCCTCCATCAAACAATCTGCCTTTACTTGCTGCAGCCAAACTAAAGTTGTCTAGATTCCCCTCTCCCATTTCTTCACTTCTTCTAGCTCCTTAACACACACTGGTCCAATTTCTGCCCCATCACTCTTGGCAAAATCCATTATGACCTCCAGGCTGCTAAATCCAAGATACAGTTCAGGCCTCAATCTGCTCATCCTTTCAGCAGCTTTCACAGGGCTTCTGAGTAGGGTTGAGCAGTTTTGCCCTGCACACAGGTGCCCTGCAGAGGAATGAGGTGGGCTGAATGAAACTCCTTTTTTAAAAATTCTTGGCTGGCATAGTGGCTCACGCCTGTAATCCCAGCACTTTGGGAGGCTGAGGCGGACGGATCACTTGAGGTCAGGAGTTCAAGGTCAGCCTGGCCAATATGGCAAAACCCCATCTGTTAAAAATACAAAAATTAGCTGGCCGTGGTGGCGGGCACCTGTAATCCCAGCTACTCGGGAGGCTGAGGCAGGAGAATCACTTGAACCCAGGAGGCAGAGGTTTCAGTGAGCCGAGACTGCCCCACTGCACTCCAGCCTGGGCAACAAGAGAGAAACTCCATCTCAAAAAAAAAAATTGTTTATGCCAACTAATTGTACACCTAAATGCACCAAGTTCCTGACTTTCTCCTTGCATTTATTTATTTATTTATTTATTTATTTATTTATTTATTAGGTCTCACTCTATGTTGCCCACGTTGTAGTGCAGTGTGTGATTACAGCTCACTGCAGCCTTGAACTCCTGGGCTCAAGAGATTCCTCTGGTCTTAGCCTCCCCAGTAGCTAGAACTACAGGTATGGAGTGGCTCTCTGCCTTTATTTCTAACCCAAGCTACCTTACAACCTTAAAAAGAGACGCTGCTTCGCCGGGCACAGTGGCTCTCACCTGTAATCCCAGCACTTTGGGAGGCCGAGGCGGGCGGATCACGAGGTCAGGAGATCGAGACCATCCTGGCTAACACGGTGAAACCCTATCTCTACTAAAAATACAAAAAATTAGCCAGGCGTGGTGGCGGGCACCTGCAATCCCAGCTACTCGGGAGGCTGAGGCAGGAGAATGGCGTGAACCCAGGAGGTGGAGCTGGCAGTGAGCCGAGATTGCACCACTGCACTCTAGCCTGGGCGACAGAGTGACACTCCATCCTAAAAAAAAAAAAAAAAATTTATTATATACATACACACACACACACACACACACACACACACACATACACACACACACACACACATCTCCCCAGAAGCATCAATATTTACTGAATTAGAGTATTTCATTACCTGTTATAAAAAACAAACAAAAAAACCTTCCATTATACTAATTTATAAAGGAATCAAAACAAAATGGGTTGGCGGGTCCAGGCACGGTGTCTCACTTCTGTAATCCCAGCACTTTGAGAAGCCAAGGTGGGAACTCGAGGTCAGGAGTTCGAGACCAGCCTGGCCAACATGGCGAAACCCTGTCTCTAATACAAAAATTAGACGGGCCTGGTGACATGCGCCTGTAGTCCCAGCTACTCGGGAGGCAGAGGCACATGAATCACTTGAACCCAGGAGTGGAGGTTGTACTGAGCCAAGATCGTGCCACTGCACTCCACCCTGGGAGACAGAGTGAAACTATGTCTTTAAAAAAAAAGGCGGGGTGCAGTGGCACACACCTGTAATCCCAGCACTTTGGGAGGCCGAGGCAGGTGGATCACCTGAGGTCAGGAGTTCACGACCAGCCTAACATGGTGAAACCCCATCTCTACTAAATATAAAAAAATTAGCCGGGTGTGGTGGCACATGCCTGTAATCTGATCTACTTGGGAGGCTGAGACAGGAAAACAGCTTGTACCTGGGAGGCGGAGGATGCAGTGAGCCGAGATTGCACCATTGCGCTCCAGCCTGGACAACAAGAGCAAAACTCTGTCTCAAAAAAAAAAAAAAAAAAAAAAAAAAAAAAAAAAGTTGGGGTGAGGGGAAGGTTCAACTTAAAGATACAATTACTAAGTGTTTCATAAGGAATGACTTATTTCATAATGGAGTAGGAGTTTGACACCAGCATGGGCAACATGGGGAGGCCCCATCTCTACAAAAAAGTAAAAATAAAAAATTAGCGTGCCAAGCATGGTGGGTCACACCTGTAATCCTGGCACTTTGGGAGGCCAAGGAGGAAGGATCACTTGAGCCTAGGTATTCAAGACCAGCCCAGGCAGCATGGCAAAACCCCGTCTCTACAGAAAACAAAAAAAAAATAAAGTAGCTGGGGGTGGTAACATGCACCTGTGGTCCCAGCTATTGGGAGGGTGAGGTAGGAGGACTTATTGAGCCTGGGAGGTGGAGGCTGCAGTGAGCTGAGATGGTTCCACTGCACTCCAACCTGGGCAATGGAGCGAGACTCTGTTTCAGAAAAAGAGAGAGGAAGCCAGGCGTGGTGGCTCACGCCTGTAATCCCAGCACTTTGGGAGGCCGAAGCGGGTGGATCACCTGAGGTCAGCAGTTCAAGACCAGCCTGGCCAACATGGTGAAATCCCATCTCCACTAAAAACACAAAAATTAGCCGGGCATAGTGGCATGCACCTGTATTCCCAGCTACTTGGGAGGCTGAGACAGGAGAATCACTTGAACCAGGAGGCGGAGGTTGCAAGTGAGCTGAGATTGTGCCACTATACTCCAGCCTGGGCGACAAAGTAAAGCTCTGTCTCAAAAAAAAAAGAGAGAGAGAGAGGAAAAATAAATTAGCCAGGTGTGGTGGTATGCACCTGTGGTCCCAGCTACTCAGGAGGCTAAGGCGGGAGGATTCCCAGAGCCCAGGAAGTCAAGGCTGCAGTGAGCAGTGATTGCACCACTGCACTCCAGCCTGGGCAACAGAGCAAGAGCATATCTCAAAAAAGAGGAAAGAAAAGAAAAGAAAAACATAAAAACAAATGTTCCTTTAGTTTTAATTTTTATTTTTTAGTTTATTATGGCTGTTTTACTCTCCCCCAAGTAAAACAGCCATACACAATTTGCTGAAATTTTCCTTAGTGTACTTTGAAATCTGTGGAACAGAACTGGCAATCGCTAAATTCTATTTGACTCTAGTTCCATTTAATATTAGACTGGTGTGGAAGTAACTGCGGTTTTTGCCAAAACCGCAATTACTTTTGCACCTACCTAATAGGTATAAAATATGTAACTTCACTTAATTTTATCCTTTATGTATCTCCCTATATTATGTACCTATGGACATCAAACTTAGTACAGACTGATAAAAGGCTGAATAGACAACTCTGGTTTCAAAAATCCAGCTTCTCACAACATCAGACATACTAGTATACAGCTTTTCTAATTTCACAACACATTTCCATTTTTTGGTCTTTCACAATAGAGAAGATGTGTGTACTTTTGAATACTCTGATCTGTCTACAATCTACCAAAATTGGAAGGTGTTTTTATTATACAGTTTCATCCTTTTAGAAATATAGAAAGATCCTAAGTTTGGGCACAGTAAGACACTCAATATAGATCTACTACTAAACAAGTAAGACCAATTACACAATTAATGTCCTAATACCCCGAGTGGAGAAGTAAAATCTACTTGTTTTCTGTTGACTTGAACGCCTTCTCTTCTTTGTTGAATTAATCAATCTATTTGACTCCAATGTCAAATTAATCAATGTCACTTTAGAATATTAAAATGTACAATTATGAATTACACATTTAATTTTAAAACACATCATTCTGATCTCTGTCTTGATTGATACTAGAAGATTATCTTCCAAACTAAGGTGGAAAAAATGACAGACTTTAGCTATTGGCAATGATAGGTCATTTTTTTAGGGAAGAGGAGTAAAGAGGGCCACCTCCATAGGTCAGATATCCCTTTGTTCTAAGAAGCCACCACCCCTGTTTCTTCATATGAAAAAAACCAGAGGCATCCAGTGGTTCCCAAAACCTTCTCAACTTTACGCTTGAGGAACCCACAGATTTCAAATAATACAACTGACCTAAGACACTCATTTGTTTAACCATTCTTTTTTTAACTTTTTATTTTTTTTGAGAAGGAGTCTTGCTCTGCTGCCCAGGCTGGAGTGCAGTGGTGTGATGTCGCTCACTACAACCTCTGCCTCTCAGGTTCAAGTGATTCTCCTGCCTCAGCCTCCCGAGTAACTGGGATTACAGGCATGCACCACCACATCCCGCTAATTTATTTATTTATTTTTTTTTAGTAGAGACAGGGGTTTCACCATGTCGGTTGGCCAGGCTGGTCTCGAACTCCTGACCTCAGGTGATCCACCCACCTCAGCCTCCCAAAGTGCTGGGATTACAGGCGTGAGCCACTGCCCCCGGCCTGCTTAACCATTCTTAAATGTCGGGTGCAGTGGCTCACACCTGTAATCTCAACACTTTGGGAGGCTGAAGGTGGGCAGATTGCTTGCGTTCAGGGGTTCAAGACCAGCCTGGGCAACGTGGTGAAAACCCCATCTCTACAAAAAATACAAAAATGAGCCGGGCTGTTGGCAAGCGCCTGTAGCCCCAGCTACTTGTGGATGCTGAGGCAGGAGGCTTGAGCCTGGGAGGTCGAGACTGCAGTAAGCCAAGTATCTGTGCCGCTGCACTCCAGCCTGGGTGACACAGCAAGACCGTCTCAAAAAAATTGACAGAAGAGTTGACTGAGAGCACAGTGAATGAAAAGGAAGACTATAAGCCAGTGCCATATAAATGCTTACTGTTGGAGGTATGCTTCTATGGAACACGGGTTTGCTCTCTTGCCATATGACATTCACATATTCAGCCACCTGGAACACTTCCTGTCAGTATGTGTGAAGTATCATGTGTGGTCAAAATTGTCTCAACAGTCATTTTCCACACCAACTGGCAAACTAACACTAAAAGAAATCAACAAGTATTGCTTTTTCAAAAGCCTAAATCGGCTGAGTGCGATGACTTACACCTGTAATCCCAGCACTTTGGGAGGCCAAAGCAGGCGGATCACCTGAGTCAGGAGTCCAAGAACAGGCCGGCCAACATGGTGGAATCTCGTCTCTACTAAAAATACAAAAATTAGCTGGACGCCTGTAATCCCAGCTACTCAGGAGGCTGAGGCAGGAGAATTTTTCCCTGTAACCGGGAGGCAGGGGCTGCAGTGAGTCGAGATTACACCACTGCACTCCAGCCTGGGAGACAGAGCAAGACTCCATCTCAGGAAGACAAAAAAAAAAAAAAGCCTACATCAAGGAAAACAGAACCAAAACACCAGGGACAAAATGGTACATAAGAGGCAAAAAAATTTTCACCAAAATTATTCAGATGAACAATAATAAATGTGCCTGCATCTGAAGATGTTCTAAACCTTCATTTAAGCAAGAAGCAAGATCAAGATCTGTTCCGTCAGTTACCTGGAGTCTGTCATCTTTCTGAATAGGGGACAGAATCACCTCAAATTTAACTAATAAAAATTTATGACTTGGCAAACACCCCAGGTATTTTTATTGACTAACAAATCAGCTATGACAATCTTAGCAACAAATCAAGTTATGCTATGGGGTATGTCCACACTTCCCTGTTCCCTCTACAACAGGAGAAAATCAAATTTTTCCAACATCCTAACAAACTGTTACTGCCTGTAACCAAATGTATCACAGTATCGTCTACCAAGGCGTTACATCCTGAAACTTTCCTACAAAAAGCACAGCTTCAAAGAAACCTTGCAAGCTTTCTTGTAAGCTCCTCCCTTCCCCCATCGCCCCTCCCCAGAGCCAAGAAATAAAGCACTTGAAAGAAACAACATGGATAATATTTATTAATAGCTCATGTACATATTCCATAACTACATAAGCCATTTGGCTTCATACCTGTCAGCAATGAAGTCAGCTGGCCCTAGCACGTGGCTGCGACTCTTCTCTATTTATTTAGAACTACAAACTACAATTTACACTTTTCCAAAAGCTGTAGGACTATTTGGGAAGGGCACTTTATTCTTCTAAAAGGTTACTAAATTCTCTTATATACTTATACTGATCACAATACTGAAAAATAATAGAAAATCCATTGTCATTCATTTACCACCTAATTTGTTAAGATGCCAGAAAACCAAATTTTACACATTTCAATAAAAAGGCAAAACTAAGCATGTCAATCATAGGAAAAAAATACTTAATCAACTAATTTTATTTAAAGCACTCACAAACTCTTAAGTGGTACAAGACAAGTCAACGCTGTTTATCGAACAATATTTTTTTTTACGACTAAACATCTCAATTCTAGACTCAGGCACTAATTATTAAAGTCATCTAGTTATATACACCAATTCTCAACAGACACAGTTTTTTTTGGAAAGGCATATTAAACAGACTAAGATGTGTACTACCCATTAGCCAAAGATAATTTTATTGATTTTTCTAACGAGTCTTCAAATGTTACATTCTAACATCTTAGCAAATTATTTCCAAATACTGCTGGAATTACATGTAACTATCAGGAAACAAAAGGGCTTCTCTTTTTTTTTTTTTCTTTTTTTTTTTTTTTGAGACGGAGTCTCGCTCTGTCGCCCAGGCCGGACTGCGGACTGCAGTGGCGCAATCTCGGCTCACTGCAAGCTCCGCCTCCCCGGTTCAGGCCATTCTGCCTCAGCCTCCTGAGTAGCTGGGACTACAGGCGTCCGCCACCACACCCGGCTAATTTTTTGTATTTTTAGTAGAGATGGGGTTTCACCGTGTTAGCCAGGATGGTCTTGATCTCCTGACCTCATGATCTGCCCACCTCAGCCTCCCAAAGTGCTGGGATTACAGGCGTGAGCCACTGCGCCCAGCCAGGTTTTTTTTAATGTAATTATTTAAGCTGTAGTTTTCACTTCTTGGTTTTGGGTAATAGATCTTGTGAGAAAAGATCCAAACCAATTTTGACTTCTGCTGAAGTATTTAACTTGACTTTGAAATGTGATCTTTGTTGACAGGTCAAAGAAATTCATTGATCCTATTTATCAGGTATGGGAAGGCATGAGTGCTGAAGAGCTACAGGAGTTCAAGAAACCCATGAAAAAGGTCAGTTTGTGATTGATTGAGCACACTCTCGGAATCTCCTTTCTGGTTCCAGGTCACAGTCAGATAGTAAGTGGCAAGTTGCTCGTGCGTGTAATCCCCACACTTTAGGGGGTCAAGGCCAGAGGATTGCTGGAGACCAGCCTGGGCAACACAGTGACACCCTGTTTCTACAAAAATTTTTTAAATTAGCTGGGCGTGGTGGTGCACACCTGTAATCCCAGCTCCTCTGGAAGCTGAGGTGGGAGGTCAAGGCTGCAGTGAGCTGTAAATGCAGCATGGCATTTCATCCTGGGCAACAGAGCAAGACCCTGTTTTCTTTAAAAAAGCACACCGAAACCGTGTCTTACTCATTCTGCCTTTATAAAATTCCAGGCCCAGGTTTTGTTGTTATTTAAAGAGTCTATGGCTTTTTTGGATAAATTGCTTAAACCAGACACTTCACATACTGACATGTGAGAAGCGAAGGTTAATTACAAATTAGCTGAACAAATTTAGATCTTTGCCACTTGCGCATTCTCACCAAGTAACAATCTCCAGTTGACTCATGTTGAAATTGCCCCAGCAGTTTACATTAGTTTTATAGATCTTCATGAATGGGTGGTGAAGACGCAGGTTGCAACATACCCTCCAGGTCACATGAAGTGGAGCTGAGACAGTTACAGTTAGAGAGGAAAGTTAGAATCCAGTAATAAAGAATTTCGCTGCTCTGTTGCTTGGGAGCACATTTGTTTTCTCATTAAAAGCAGCTTCAAGATGGCTTTTTTGTTGTTGTTGTTTTTCATAAGTAATCATTAATAAGTAATCATTGGAAAGCCCCACCACACCCAACCAATTAGCTTCGTGTGGTGGCAGGCATCTGTAATCTCAGTTACTCAGGAGACTGAGGCAAGAGAATTGCTTGAACCTGGGAGGCGGAGTTTGCAGTGAGTTGAGATTGCACCGCTGTATTCCAACCTGGGCGACAGCGCCAGACCCTGTCTCAAAAGAAAAAAATAATAATATAAAGTGACCAGGTGTGTTGACTCACGCCTGTAATCCCACCACTTTGGGTGGAAGCAGGAGGATCACTGGAGCCCAGGAGTTTGAAACCAGCCTAGGCAACATAGTGAGACCCTGTCTCTATATTAAACACACACACACACACAAAGGCAGCCAGACTATGCACTAGGAACTGCCCTGGGAATCCCTTTGTGTTCTCACAACAATCCCATTTCACAGATGAAGAAACCAAGGCACAGAAATATTAAGTAACGTGTCCAGGTGCGGTGGCTCACACCTGTAATCCCAGTACTTTGGGAGGCTGAGGCAGGCAGATCACAAGGTCAGGAGTTCGAGACCATCCTGGCCAATATGGTGAAACCCTGTCTCTACTAAAAATACAAAAGTCCTAGGGGTAGTCAGCCCCTCTCACCCCACCCTCATCCTCTCACACAAGAGTCATTTACTGTCCCTCCAGTTATGCCCAGTCACGCAGACACTCTGCTGCTCAAATGCCCTCACCCCATCCTCAGCCTGCTCCCAGGCCACCTCCCTCCAGAATCCACCTTGCCTGCCAGGTGGCCATAGGGACCCTCGCCATACTGTCTGCTTGTGGCAGTGCCCTCCAGCCTGGGGGGTCTTCCAGAGCAGATCTCTGGCCAAGCGCAGTGGCTCATGCCTGTAATCTCAGCACCTTCAGAGGCCAAGGCAGGTGGATCACCTGAGGTCAGGAGTTCGAGACCAGCCTTGCTAACATGGTGAAACCCCGTCTCTACTAAAAATACAAAAATTAGCCAGGTGTGGTAGTGGTGCATGCCTGTAGTCCCAGCTACTCAGGAGGCTGAGGCAGGAGAATCTCTTGGACCCGGGAGGTGGAGGTTGCAGTGAGCTGAAATGGTGCCACTGCACTCCAGCCTGGGCAACAGTGAGACTCTGTCTTTAAAAAAAAAAAAAAAAAAGAGAGCGGAGTTCTGATATAAGCTGCCCTGGCACATAGTGAGCCTCCAGAAATGGTCCCTTGACCTCTAAATGCACCAAGACCCAGGGAACACGCCCTCTCTGAGCACCCTGACAATGTCCCAGTCCCAACACGGTACCCTGAAGCTGTCCCCAAAGTTTCCCCTGCCACACTCCCTGACCACTCTCTGGTATCTCAGAGCCCTAGCAACAGCCCTATAGAGGGAGGGTTCTAGGCATGGGGCAGGCATGAGCACTGTGCTTATAACCAAGCAAAACACTCCCTCTGTGCCAACATAGGTGGGGCAGGTCACGCTGGGGTCTGTTTGCCCTGTCTGCCCGCTGCAGCCTCCTCGGGGAGGGCCAGGGTTGTCTGTGCATCCTGTGAGCCCCAGGGTCTATGTGCACATATGTGTGTCTGTGCCTTTCTCTCTCTCTCTGTGTGTGTGTGTGTGTGTGTGTGTGTGTGTGTGTGTGTACACGGCGCATCTGAATTGTCCTGAGTGCCGTCTCGGGTATCCTTGAGCTGTGTGTGCATGTGTCCCCCTAGCGGTAAGTCTCCTCGGAATAAGGGAAGAAAAGGTGCTCTTTTGATGTTATTATTCCCCCAGCCCCTCCCCCGCTCACCTAATCCCATGTGTACAGTGTCATGGAACCTTACCATGTTGTGTGTGTAATCCCCTGTGTGCAGTGTCATGGAACCTTACCATGTTGTGTGTGTAATCCCGTGTGCGGTGTCATGGAACCTTACCATGTGTTGTGTGTTATCCCCTGGGTGCAGTGTCATGGAACCTTACCATGTGGTGTGTGTAATCCCCTGTGTGTGGCATCATGGAACCTTACCATGTTGTGTGTGTAATCCCCTGTGTGCAGTGTCATGGAACTTTACCATGTTGTGTGTGTAAGTCTGCTCTGTTAGCAACTCCGCAGGATTCATTCACAGGTGCCCCCTCCACAGTTGACTCTTCTCTTTCAGAGGGTTCCTGGCATAGTCTGTCTGATTTTTCCTTTATACACAACCCTATAGGGAAGATCCTTGCATATATGTCTTGGCAAATAGATAAGTTCCTGGAAGTAGAATTGCTACATGTGTTTAAAAGTTTGTTAAGACGGTAACAGGTTTTCTAGAAATGTTTTACTAATTCTTCCACGGACAGTGCTTGAGAACAAGTTTTTTCTACACCTTTGCTAAGGCTGGTAATTTTTAAAAATGGTGTTAAAGGCACATGTCTACTTTGAAATCATAACTGTTTGTTTGTTTAAAGGAGACCCTTGAGAAATGAAACCCTAAATTTCAGGAACTTCATCTCTTCATCTGTGAAAACACTTTGTCCACACTTATTGTTTTAAAAAGATTTTTTTTTTTTGGCCATAAAGTAGTATATGTTCTATTGTTCTGTTAAGTTTGAAGTGACCAGCCCACCACAGTTAGGTCACTGAGTGTTTTGGTTGCCTGGTTATTCTTTCAGGAATGTTTGAATCGAAATGCTCACAATTTATTTCCCCAGAAGAGAGAATTTTCAGAAATCTCCTAAGAAAGTCTGATGTCCGTTCATATGATCTGTTTGCTTTGTTAGTAGAGAAAACTACCTTTGGAGACTAGTTGTAGCATGGAAGGGGAAGGCAGTAGAAATAGTTTTGGGGTGAGGCGAGCAGTCCCAGGGGAACACGAAGGCAGCGTTTCAGGAGTGCTGCTGGTTAGTTTTCCACGCCATCACTGCACATTATTTTACAAATCCCTGTTTCTAGTTCAGAAGGCAAATGACAGTTTCTTTAGAAAATGTAACACTGTAATCTTGTAAAATGAAAGTGTTCCAGTTACATCATTTTCGGTTATTTCAGAACCATTAAAGTTCTGACAGCCTACTTCCCCAATCTCTTTGTAGACTGTGGCCCAAAGAAGGCTTAGAGAAATAATTTTGAATCTTGATTTTGTTCCAACTCTGTTCCTTAAATGCCTAAGAACTGTGATTTTTTGAGTATTTGTTAAAAGCCTACTGTGTCAGCCAGGCATGGTGGCTCATGCCTGTAATCCCAGCACCTTGGGAGGCTGAGGCGGGCGGATCACGATGTCAGGGGATCGAGACCATCCTGGCAAACACGGTGAAGTCTCTACTATAAATACAAAAAAATACAAAAAATTAGCTGGGCGTGGTGGTGGATGCCTGTAGTCCCAGCTGCTCAGGAGGCTGAGGCAGGAGAATGGTGTGAACCCGGGAGGCGGAGCTTGCAGTGAGCTGAGATCGTGCCACTGCACTCCAGCCTGGGCGACAGAGCAAGACTCGGTCTCAAAAAAAAAAGCAAAACCTACTGTGCACAGAGCTCCGAGGCCTGCCCCAGTACAAAGCCTGCAGTCTCTGACCCAGGAGAAAGTGTGCACAGCTGCAGGTACCTTGATGTGTCAAACACCATTGCCTCTGGCTGCCGAAGCTTCTGATATCTGCTGATAGTCTTCAGAGACTTTTTTAAAACGTGATACATGGCTTCTGTCTTCCTGATTTCAAGATTCTCTCTCTGTCTTTGGCTTTTGCTGAATTGATAATAACATGTCTTGGTGTGGGTCTCTTTGAGTTCATTTTCCTTAGAGTTCATTGGGCTCTTGGATGTTTATATTCATGAAATTGGGAAAGTTTTCAATCATTATTTCTTCAAATTATCTCTCTGCCCTTGTCTTTCTTCTCCTTCTTAAATACCACAATGTATATATTAGTCCACTTGATGGTGTTCCAAAAGTCCCTTAGGCTCTGTTTACATTTCTTTGATCTTTCCTTTTTTTTTTTCCTTTTTTCAATCTTTTTACTTCCTGTTCCTCAGACTCAATAATTGCCATTGTCCTATATTCAAGTTAAGTAATTTTTTCTTCTGCCTATTCAAACATGACTTTCAATCCTACTAGTTAATATTTTATTTCAGTTATTGTACTTTTCCACTCTAGAATTTTTTTGTTTCCTTTTAAAGTTTTCTACCTCCTTATTGATATTGCTGTTTTGTTTGTACATCATTTTCTTGACTTCCTCCACATCTTCCTCTAGTTTTTAAAGCATCATTAAGACAGTATTTTAAAGTATTTTTCTAGTATATCTGCCATCATGTCTTTTTCAGTACAGTTTCCATTCATTTTTTTTTCCTTTGATCCTTTGATGGGCCATAATTTCCTGTTTCTTTGTATGCTTCTGAGTTTTATTAAAAACTGGACATTTGACTCTAATAAAGTGGTAATTCTGGAAATTATATTTTCGTCATTCTCTTAGGTTTGCTGTTGTTTGTTACTTTTTATTTATTGTTTTTGTTTTTTGGATTGTTGTAGGCTGTCTCGGTGCTTAGGATCAGCCTGGGGTGTGAAACTAAGTTCTTCTCAGGCATTTTCTGAGCCTGTGTCTTTCCCTGAGCATGTGTGGTTACTTTATATTTTTCTTTATATATACAGTTGTGTTTTAATGCCCTAATACTTAATATATGAATCCCAAAAGAGGAAAATGAGAAAAATGAAGGATGGTGTGTAAAGGGAGCTAGTCCTTTAAAGCCCCTGTCACTTCAAATAGAGGGGCAGGAGCTTGTGCCATGCCAGGAGTTTAGGGGGCATTAATAGTTTGGAAACACTGTAAATTAATTAGTAATTTAATTTAATTTAAATTGACAGCCTTTTCTCTGTCTGTTAGGCTATGTGCACCTCAATGTAAATCAACAGAAGGGTTTGACTAATTGGTGAAGCAACATTTATTGCAGTCTCTGGTTTGGGGATGAATGCAGAAAGGCTTTGCTTCTGGTTCAGCCTTACCCTGGAACAAGATATACATATGGCTCTACAGGTTAAACAAAGCCAAAACATCATGGTTTCCATGCTCCTTAGAGTTCCTGATTAATGAGAAGAGCATCTCATATTCCAATACTCCTCCAAATTGTGTGGCTCTAGAATTTTATTTCTAACTTCTTTATCCCCAAGATCATTAAAACTGAATTACAGAAGCTATTATCCCAGTGTCCTACAATAGGTCTGACAGCTGTAATTCTGTAGCCCTTTAGGAAAAAAACAGTCTTGGTAGGACTCTTAGAAGCATGGCTTGGAGGACTGCAGGTTTGCCATCTCATCCATGGATGTAGAGTGGGATGGATGACTTGGCTCTTTACTCAAGGCAATTTTTGTTATTAGGTGAGGTCAAGAATTGGCTACTGTCCTCAATTTGATGCCTTGCTGGAATATATGACTGCTCAGGAAATAATGATTATGTATGCCAGAATATGGGGAGTCTCTGAGCCCCAGATTGGGCTGTATGTGAACAAATGTTTGAATTCACTGGAACTGGAGTCTCATGCTGCCAGGCTTATCAACACCTACAGGTAAGTCACTATGCTACTGCTCTTTTCTGTTGATGCTGCTAATATTGAGGTTCTTGCTGTTTGAAATGAAGCTTACAGCTCCACCTAAGCTCCTCTTCCCACAATTACCTACTTGTGAAACTATCTAATGTTCTGCTAGGCTTCAGATGCCAGTAACAAGGCAAATCAATACAGTTCCACATCTTCCCTTTTCAGAGATGAAACGCAAAGTCTTGGTTCTATTTGAACTATATCCTCTGAACCTCAAAAAAAGGAGTGTCTTCTCTTCCTAGTGTCCCTATAGTTCTTTGTCTACCAAGTAAGGAGGAATGTAGGCCCTTTGAATTATGATGTGATTTATGTGTCTTGGAAACCATAACACTCTAAGAACATGCCACTGATAATGCTGCCAAAATTAATTACATAAAAGTCACTCCTCGATATCTCAAATTAAAATGAATTGATATAGACGCCTGTAATTGGGCCTGCTACCTAATCAAAGTCACATATAATCAGCATTGGGACATCCATGTTAAGTGTTTGCTGGGACTCTCAGCATTTGGGAAATTTGTACTAACTCTTTCCTATACATAGCTGATATGTATAGCCATTTTTTCTCTCACTTTTTCTCTCCTTCTTTGGCCATGAAGTGAAGGAAACAAACGTAGGCTGAGTACTGCTATTGCCCTAATGGGAAGGTCTTCAGTCATCTTCCTGGATGAGCCATCAACTGGCATGGACCCAGTAGCCAGACGCCTGCTCTGGAACATGGTGACAAAGACACGTGAAAGTGGAAAAGCCATCGTTATGACCTCCCACAGGTATGGCTCATTGGGAGGCTTGGTTGAAGGCTAGCAAGAGTTTTAGTGGCTATAAGAAGGAATTATTTAGGCCCAGTGGATAATATTGGACACTAAACTTGCCTGAGTATGTTAGCTCCTCATCAGGAATTAGGATTCATGTTAATCCTAATAAATCAAATGGCCAAAAATCCTCACTGAGTTTAAAAAAAAAGTGAGGAAAAGACAGGACTTCAGAAGATGTTCTATTTGAAAATTGAGCGCTGTGTTCTTTTTCGTTTGAAAAATTCCCACTTCCCATCTATGTGCTTTATGATTGGAAAAATACAAATTCTGATTGAAAATAGGGTCACAAAATTCTGGCTCTGATTGAACTACACAATGTCTTCCAAAAGAGAACTTTTTATTTTTACCCTTACAACATTCTGCCCTTTTGTTTTCCAAGTATGGAGGAATGTGACGCCCTCTGTACCAGTCTAGCCATCATGGTGCAAGGGAAGTTCACTTGCTTGGGCAGCCCTCAGCATCTCAAGAGCAAGTTTGGCAACATTTACATCCTGAAGGTCAAGGTCAAGACTGAAGATAAATTAGAGGATTTTAAATGTTATGTTGCAACAACATTTCCAGGTAAATTAAGTTGTGCTACCTTTGTCAGAAATGTATTAAATTGGCCGGGCGCACTGGTTCACGCCTGTAATCCCAGCACTTTTGGGAGGCTGAGGTGGGCAGGTCATTTGAGCTCAGGAGTTTGAGAAATGTGTTAAATCATATTTGTTGTTCTCACCATCCATATGATTTATGTCTTCAATACCAGTTTTCTGTGAGTTATTGATAGGTATTGATTTTCTATAATGTTCCTTTGGCAATGTTTGATATTATAGTCTCTTATGCCAGATTATGCTAAGTTTCACAAAAAGCAGAAGTCCTCACAAACTCTTACATCACCTAACAAGGCACTTTTATGTTTGTGCTGTCCATATAAATTAGTTGGGCGCAGTAGCTCATGCCTGTAATTCCAGCAACTTGGAAGGCTGAGGCCAGAGAATTGCTTGAGCCCCAGGGTTTAAGGCTGCAATGAGCTATGATTGTGCCATTGCACTCCAGCCTGGCAAGACCCCATCTCTAAAAAAATTAATGATAATAAATAAAAACTAAAAATAAATTATATATCTAAAGTCCTATTTTAGCATAATTCTCAATTATTTTTACAGATTATTCATGCCAAATTTTAAGGTTTTTTCCTTCACACTGCTCATGCAACTTTATGCTTTTGCTGTCTCAGCTAGGATATGGTATTGAAATGCAAATAAGAACTGGTATTTCTCTCCTTTCAAGAGTAGTTTGGTTTCTGAGTGCCGTTTCTTCATGCTAAATTCAGTAAGCACCTCTCCGCCTACATGGAACAGTACAAGAGAGAGCATGCATTTCGATCTCTTATCTCTCTTTCCTTAACCTAAAGCATGGGCAATGGCAAGGCTTTTAATAATTCTGGTTTTTCATCTTAGTTTCCACTTTGTTAGGCTGAGCAAAATACCGCAGAAGTTCCCGTTGTGTGTTAGGCTAAGGGGTTGAAAATTTGTCTCCTAGGCAATGGAAAATAGCAAAATTGATTACACAGTAAGAATGAAAATCAGGGCCGGGCACAGTGGCTCATGCTTGTAATCCCAGCACTTTGGGAGGCTGAGGTGGGCGGATCACCTGAGGTCAGGAGTTTGAGACCAGCCTGGCCAACATGATGAATCCCCATATCCATTAAAAATACAAAAATTAGCTGTACATGGTAGCACACACCTGTGGTCTCAGTTACTCAGGAGGCTGAGGCAGGAGAATTGCTTGAACCGGGGAGGCGGAGGTTCCAGTGAACAGAGGTCATGCCATTGCACTTTAGCCTGGGTGACAGAGAGAGACTCTGTCTCAAAAAAGCAAAAAGAGAAGAAAATCAGAAAATAGATACGAAATGGATGGTCAAGCATATGTGGAGAACGAGCTGTGTAGAAAAATTATCACCTCGGTGTTGGTCATAGTGTTTATGGTGTGCCCTTGACACATGTAGATGGATATGTCCATTAAGAAGTTGAATATTCATTTATGCATTCATGTGGCAAATATTTTTGAGGACTTATTGTGTCAAGAGTTCTATTTGATGTGATCAATAAATCACTTTAGGAAAGCTCTATAGGCTGGGCACAGTGGCTCACGTCTGTAATCCCAGCACTTTGGGAGGCCAAGGCAGGTGGATCACGAGGTCGGGAGTTTGAGACCAGCCTGGCCAATATTGTGAAACCCCATCTCTACCAAAAATACAAAAATTAGCCGGGCATGGTGGTGGGTGCCTGTAATCCCAGCTACTTGGGAGACTGAGGCAGGAGAATCGCTTGAACCCAGAAGGTGGATGTTGCGGTGAGCCGAGATCGTGCCACTGGACTCCAGCCTGGGCAACAGAGTGAGACTCCATCTTAAAAACAAAAACGAAAACAAAAAGCTCTGCACACTTCAAGATAACACAGAAAAACAATTCAACAAAATCGGGTAAACAATAAATGACCCAGACTAGTAACTTAATAGAGAAATTGAAATTACTTTTTAAAAAATCAAACAGAAATCATGGATATGTAATATACAGTGAATAAAATGAATAATGCAGTAGAAAGCATTAACAGCAGAGTTTATCAAGCAGAGAAAAATATCTCAACTCAAAATAGGTTTTTTGAAAATATACAGTTAGATGATTAAAAGAAAAATTAAGAGGAATGAAGAAAGCTCATGGGATTTATAGAACAGCATCAAAAGAGCCAGTGTTTACATTATTAGAGTTTGTGAGGAAGAAGAAAAAACAAATTGTTGGAAAGCTTAAAGAAATAAAAGCAGAAGATTTTCCAAATACTAAGAAAAACATAAATATCCAGGTACAAGAGGGTCACATATCTGCATTCGGATTCAATACAAACAAGGCTACATCAAGACATTATAATTAAATGGTCAAAAATCAAGCACAAAGAGAGGATCTGAAAGCAGCAAGAGAAAAAAAAAGCAAATAACATATAAGGGAGATTCCATAAGGCTAGCTATAGGTGTCTCAACCAGGACCTCATAGGCAAGGAGAGAGTAGGATGACATGTTCAAAGTACTGAAGAGAAAAAAACCCTGCCAACCAAGATACTGTATCCAATACTATGTTGAATAGGAGTGGTAAGAGAGGACATTCTTGTGCCAGTTGTTCTTGTGCCAGTTTTCAAGGGGAATGCTTCCAGCTTTTGCCCATTCAGTATGATATTGGCGGTGGGTTTGTCATATGTCATGTCATGGCTCTTATTAGTTTGAGGTATGTCCTTTGAATATCTAGTGTATTGAGAACTTTTAACATGAAGGGATGTTGAATTTTATCGAAGGCCTTTTCTGCATCTATTGAGCTAATCATGTGGTTTTTGTCTTCAGTTCTGTTTACGTGGTGAATCACATTTATTAATTTGCATATGTTGAACCAACCTTGCATCCTAGGGATGAAGCCAACTTGATCATGGTGGACAAGCTTTTTGATGTGTGGGTGGATTCAGTTTGCCAGTATTTTATTGAGAATTTTTGCATTGATGTTCATCAAGGATATTGGCCTGAAGTTTTCTTTTTTTGTTGTATCTCTGCCAGGTTTTGGTATCAGGATGATGCTGGCCTCATAGAATGAGTTAGGGAGGAGTCCCTCCTTTGGTCACCAGCCTACATGTACCTGTAGGAGGTAGCTAGAGACCCCTATTGGGAGGTCTCACTCAGTCAGGAGGAAAGGGATCAGGGACCCACCCAAAGCAGCAGTCTGGCTGCTTATTGGTAGAGCAGGTGTGCTGTGTTGTGTGGGACCTTTCCTTGTTCGGACTGCCTGTATTCTTCAAAGCTGACAGACTGAAGCAGCTGAGTTGACCAAACCACAGAGATGGCAGCTGCGCCTCCTCCAGGAACTTGGACCCATCTCAGGGAGACTCTAACTCACTGCCATTTGTTGGCTGGGATTCCAAACCAGTAGGTCTTAACTCGTGATGTGACGTGGAAGTGGGGCCTGCAGAATGACACTGCTTGGCTCCCTGGATTCAGCTTCCTTCCTAGGGATATGTACAGATGGACCTCTCACCTTGCCAGGGATCCCAAGGCTAGAGTATATAAAACTCCTGGGTCTCTGTGTGTGCCTGAGTGGATGCTCTGTCAAGACTTCACACAGCTCTGTGTATCAGACCCAAGGCCCTGGTGGTGTGGGCTCATGGGGGGATCTCTTGATCTGTGGATTGCAAAGATCCATGGGAAAAGCGTGGTTTCCTGGGCAAGGTCTCACCATCACTCACTGCTTCTCTTGTCTAGGGGTGGTGGTTCCTTTGGCTCCGTGTAGCTCCTTGGTGGGCCATCTCCACTCCCTGCTCTTCTTTGTTCTCCATGGGTCGAGTTTTTAGCCTAGTTGGTCCCAATGCGAGAACCTGGATATGTCAGTCAAAGGTACTAAATTCACTCACCCCTCTCCGTTCCTCTCCATGAGTGCTGTGAACCGCAGCTACTTCTAATAGGCCATCATGGATCAGGTCCCTCTGCAAACATTAGACTTTTAGAAGGCTCAGTTTTCTTACATTGGGCATGTCAGCTGATAATTTATTGTACCTCAAATCCTGCCCTCAATAATTGCTATGAACTCCACATAATAAGATGATTTCATGAGGAATAAATCTGAAAGCATGAACCGTGTCATGGATACCAAAAAGAGTGGGTTAGCGGGTTATATCTCCTTTCGTATTGACCTCCTCTATTCACCCCTCCACAGTATATAATTAAGTAAATTCCATTATTACTCCATATCCATCAAGAGAATGGGAACAGAGAATGGCTTCCTCTCACTTTCTCAATTCTCTGTTCTTCCACCTTCTCACCTCTCCCTTCTGTGCCTTTTGTCCTCCAACATACACTTGATAGGAATTGGGGGAGTGGAGGAGAGGCTTATCTGAGTTGGGGGCTGAAGGGGAGATTGCAATGGTAACTGTGTTTTTGTTGCTGTTGTTAAAGGTGTTTGGCATTTTGGAGGAAGCTAAAGAGCAATTCGATTTAGAAGACTATTCTGTCAGTCAGATCACACTGGAACAGGTCTTCCTGACCTTTGCTAACCCAGAGAAAGCATCCAGTGATGATGAAAACGAGGTGCCATGAGATTCAGTTACAACCAGTGACCCTTGTGTCTCTCATAGATGACACCTGGATGCATGGGGGACCTTCCTGTGCATGTATATCTTGGTGTACATATATTTATGTAATAAAGCTTTTCCCAAAGAAGAAAGTTTGTCCCCTTCATTGCAGATTTAGATGAGCGGCCTGTGTATCCAGCATGCTCAAATCCAAAGACATTTGGTGAAATTCCCATTTTCTCTCCTTGAGATATGAAAGAGCAGCATTTATCAGGGTTGGGACAGGAACCTGTTCCTGAGTGTTCTGGACATTTGAACAGAAAGATCCAGTAATGATGGAGCTGTCAGATGGGACAGCCCAAAGAACAAGAGCTTTATGTTTCAGCAGTTGAGTTATGGATAAGAAGCGCATAAGGCCTGGATCACATCAGCTTTCCTATGGATACACACACACACACATTCACACTCACACACGCGTGCAGATATACATGCATATACACATATATCTAATATAAATTCATCAATGTTGGAGGGCTGAGTTGGGTTACTATTTCAGACATCCAAAATAAAGTTCATATGCTTCAGTTGAAAGAGAATTTTTGCACCAAGAACATTTGGGATCCATGACCAGAAAAAAAAGGATTATTTAAAAATAGTGTGTTTTCTTTTCTACAATTATCTCACCTCTAATAAAGAAGAAGGAGAAATAAAGTGGAGAGAGAGGGACACAGAGATATTTTCTTCTGATTCTTGCCTAGGTAGATAGATGGAGTCCCCCATAAATAATATGAGAAATCTAATCACCTTTTCAGGATTCATAGACAACTAGGATGGTTCTTGCAGAATTGCAAGATGAAGAGAGTCTATAAAGGTGCTCTATTTTGGGGTGGCTTGTTCAATGTTTTCAAATCCTTAATTGGATATTGTTTATTATAAAGTGACACCCACCAGATGCTTACTGTTCTTTTTTTTGTTGTTGTTAGATAAAGAGGGAATTTGAGTTTGTTTCTATGAAGTGTCTAGGAGCATACGAAGTCTCCAATTAAAACAAAATTGAGCCGGGCGCGGTGGCTCATGCTTGTAATCCCAGCACTTTGGGAGGTTGAGGCGGGTGGATCACCTGAGTTCGGGAGTTCGAGACCAGCCTGACCAACATGGAGAAACCCCGTCTCTGCTAAAAATACAGAATTAGCCAGGCGTAGTGGCACATGCCTGTAATCCCAGCTACTAGGGAGGCTGAGGCAGGAGAATTGCTTGAACCTGGGAGGCAGAGGTTGTGGTGAGCTGAGATCGTGCCATTGCACTCCAGCCTGGGCAACAAGAGTGAAACTCTGTCTCAAAAATAATAATAATAATAATAATAGAATATAGCTCTTTCTCTGGTTCATAGGCTATGCTCACCTGAGTGTAAATCAACAGAGGTGTTTGACTAATTGCTAAAACAATACTCATTGCAGTCTCCAGGTTGGCAGGGTGGGGAAAGGCTTTGGTTCTGGTTCAGCCTTTATATGGACAAGATGTTGTACAGGTTTAACAGTGCAAATACCTCCATGGCGGCCATTCCCCCTGGAGTTCTTGATTAATGAGAAGACCATGTCATAATCTAGTACTCCTCCAAAATGAGTAGGCTGTGGAATTTCATTTCTAACTTCTTTATCCCCAAGATCATTAAAACTGAATTATGGAGCCTACTATTCCAATGTCCTACAATAGATCTGACAGCTATAATTTTGTAGCCCTTTAGAAAAAAAATATCTTGGTAGGACTCTTAAAAGTATGGCCTGGAAGACTGCAGGTTTGCCATCTTATCCATGGTTGTCTAGTGGGATAGATGACTTGGGTCTTTACTTAATGCAATTCTTGTAATTAGGTTAAGGTCAAGAATTGGTTATTGTCCTGAATTTGATGTCTTGCTAGAATATATGACTGCTCAGGAAATAATGATCATGTATGCCAGATTATGGGGAGTCCCTAAGCCCCAGATTCAACTGTATGTGAAGAAATGGTTGAATTCACTTGAACTGGAGCCTCATGCTGATGAGCTTATCAACACCTACAGGTGAGTCATTATGCTGCTGCACTTTTTGTTGATGCTGCTAATGTTGAGGTGCTTTCTTTTGTCCCTGCTGTTTGAAATGAAGCCCATAGCTCCACCTATGCTCCTTTTCCCACAATTACCTAATTACGAAACTGTCTAATGTTCTACTAGGTTTCAGATACGAGTAGTAAGGCAGATCAATGTAGCTTCACGTCGTCCTTTTGCAGAAATGGAACAATAAATCTTAGGTTTTTTTGAACTGTAGCTTCTGAACCTCAAAAGGGATCAATTAAGAGGGAGTTTAGGATTGCTAAAGCAGCTAGAATTTGAAGAGCAGGGTGATGATAAAGACGAAGCGGGGGCCCAGAAATTTGAATGGGGTTTGCTGTGAGTCATGAGCTGGCCTGTGCCATGTGCAAAGGGAGAGATGCTGTGAGGCCTATCAGAGAATGGCACCTGCTAGACTGAGAACTGAATGTGTTACCGGTGGACGATATCTGAGTTACTGGCGGTGAATCTGTGTACATCTGCAGCTACCTCAATTCTTGCCTCCTCAGAAGAAAGAAATCAACAGAGGGGCATAAGGCAGAAAAAGAGACCAAGGCAAGTTTCAGAGCAGGAGTGGAAGTTTATTTAAAAGGCTTTAGAACAGGATAAAAAAGGAAAGGAAAGTATGCTTGGAAGAGACCCAACCAGGCACTGAGGTCAAGCGCTCTGTTTAACAGTAATCTTTATAGGCTGGCCCCTTTCTCATGATTCTTCCCTTAGGGTGGGCTGCCCGCATGCCTGGTACCCCCCTCACCCGTTGGAGGTGAGCATGCGCAGCGTGTTTAAGAAGTTGTACCCATGCCCATCTGAGACTTTCTTCCCTATTCTGGTGGAGTAACCCTGGAAAGTCATACTCCGCCATTTTGTCTCTTAATGCACATGCCCAGGAAGTTGCTTCTCCCTGGTGTCTGCATTCAATTAACACTGTTAATTTAGTGCAACGGGTGTGGACTATCAGGAAATGGCCTCTCCAATTTATCTTTTTTTTTTTTTTTTTGAGGCAGAATTTCGCTCTTGTTGCCCAGGCTGGAGTGCAGTGGCGCGATCTCGGCTCACCCAAACCTCCGCCTCCTGGGTTCAAGTGATTCTCCTGCCTTAGCCTCCCGAGTAGCTGGGATTACAGGCACCCGCCACCATCCCTGGCTAATTTTGTATCTTTAGTAGAGATGGGGTTTCTCCATGTTGTTCAGGCTGGTCTCAAACTCCCGACCTCAGGTGATCCGCCCGCCTTGGCCTCCCAAAGTGTTGGGATTGCAGGTCTGAGCCACCGCGCCTGGCCCAATTTATCACTTAGAGAGGCAATGTGATAACTGCCAAATCATCACCCGACATTCCTGGTGGATGGGGGGAGAGCCCTCTCCTGTCCCGCTCATACCTGTCTAACTACCTGTAACAAAGGTAGACCCAGAGTTTACATAGTGCAGAAAATGTCGGAATTCTTACTGAGAGCCACAGTAGAGATACCTTACTGAGCACCCCTTACAGTTATAACTCCAGAAAAGCCATGCCTTAGAAGTAAAGATCATGTCCTAGAATAAGATCAAAAACCTAAATAGACCCACCCTAATAAAGAATAAAATAAAAGCCTGACAGAATCAAAGGGAGCACGCAAAATATACGAAAGCTGGGAAAAGACGTTTACTTCTGTGAACCAAAAGTATCTGAGACAGGTCTCAATCAATGTGGAAAGTTTCCATTGCCAAGGTTAAGGATAAGCGCCTGAGAGGTATGTCTATGCCTTTCTCCAAAGATGATTTCAAGGGCTTCAATATTTAAGGAGAAAGGATTGATATGGGTGAAAAGGAAGAAAATTTGAAATCTTAATTCCAGCTCTTTGGGAGGCCAGTCCAGTGGACTGCCTGAGGTCAGGAGTTTGAGACCAGCCTGAGCAACATGGCAAAACCCCATCTCTATCAAAAATACAAAAATTAGCCAGATGTGGTGGCATATGCCTGTGGTCCCAGCTACTCAGGAGACTGAAGTGGGAGGACTACTTGAGCCCAGGAAGTACTGGAAGCACTCAAGCGTGAGTGACAGATCAAGACCGTCTCAAAAAAAAAAAAAAAAAAAGAAAAAATTTAAAAATGTGTGGGTATACAAGAGACAAAGGGTTGCATCCCCTTGAGTCTTTGATCAGCCTTTCACTGAATATACAATTTACATGTGAGAGGATGGGCAGAGGAATACTCACTTATGTCATTGTCTGGCTCAGAGAATCTTCATTTTTTTTACATAATACAATGTAAACAATAGGGCAGAGGAAGCCATCAGATACACATTTGTTTAAGATGGACTTTGAGTTCTGTCCTTTGTCCTGCACCTGTGAAAATAAGCTATCAGGCCTGGTGCGGTGGCTCACACCTGTAATCCCAGCACTTTGGGAGGCCGAGGTGGGTGCATCACCTGAGGTCAGGAGTTCGAGACCAGCCTGGCCAACATAGTGAAACCCTGTCTCTACTAAAAATGCAAAATTAGCCAGGCATCATGGCACATGCCTGTAATCTCAGCTACTCAGGAGGCTGAGGTGGGAAAATCTGCTTGAAACCAGGAGGTGGAGGTTGTAGTGAGCTCAGATCATGCCATTCCACTCCAGCCTGGGCAACAAGAGTGAAACTCTCCAAAAAAAAAAAAAAAAAAAAAAAAAAGAGGGAGGAGGGAGGGAGGAAGGGAGGGAGAGAGAGAAACAGAGAAAGAGAGACAGAGAGAGAGAGAGAAAGGAAAGGAAGAAAAGGAAAGGAAGGAAGGAAGACAGCTATCAATTTACATTGCCAGGGTGAAATTCAACAAAACTGTTTTAGGGTAAAGATCCTCAGATCCACATGGAATTGCCCTGTGGGCAAATTGTAAGGTAAGTTATGTAGCTTTTTATCCTTATAGCTATCTTATTTAGGAATAAAACGGGAGGCAGGTTTGTCTGACATCATTCCCAGCTTGAATTTTCCCTTTGGCTTAGTGATTTGGAGGCCCTGAGATTTTTTTTCCTTTCACACTTCCTAACTCATTTTATCTATGACAGAAAAATGCATGAATGGGGGGAATGAAAGTGAAAGTTAAAGCCAGTATCACTCTGGAACATAAATGCACAAATCCTAAACAAATAAGTAGCAAATTAGGTCTAGCAATATATTAAAAGAATAAAACATCCAGACCAAGTTGGGTTTATAACAGGAATGAAAGGTTTATTTATAATTTGAATCAATCAATATAACTTAACACAGAATAAGACCAATCTGTTCACCTCAATACATGGAAAAAGTATATGTGACCAAAAACAATAATTATAGAATATTAGAAATTGATATGAACTTTTTTTTCCCCCCCGAGACAGAGTCTCGCTGTGTCGCCTAGGCTGGAGTACAATGGCAGTGATCTCGGCTCACTGCAACTTCCGCCTCCCAGGTTCAAGCAATTCTCCCTGCCTCAGCCTCCCGAGTATCTAAGATTTCAGTCAACTGCCACCATGCCCGGCTAATTTTTGTATTTTTTTTTCAGTAGAGACAGGGTTTTGCCACGTTGGCCAGGCTGGTCTTGAACTCCTGACCTCAGGTGATCCACCCACCTTGGCCTCCCATAGTGCTGGGATTACAGGCATGAGCCACTGTGCCTGGCCCAGGGAATATTTCATCAGAGATAATACCTGACAGGGTAGGATTCTGAAAGGAATGGGGAAGGAAATGCCAACATCGAAATTATGCATTGGGGAAGCCATGATTAATGCCTCTGGCCCTAAGATGGCAAGGTAATGTTGTTCCCAAGTATAAACCCACATCACCTTCCTCTGGTGTGTTTTACTCCTACTGTTGCCTGCTTTCTCTTTACATTCTCCCACCCCATACTCACCGCGAGCGCTCAGGCTAGGTAGTTAGGCTCCATAGAGTCAAATTGGACCCCACATTAACGAAACTAACAATTCGAGCTTTCCAGCAATGAACTCATCTGCTCTTCCATGTCTACTCTTTTCCTGTCTGCTGGTTTCCTCTCCCAGGGCTTTCAGTGTGTTCTACGCAGAAACCAGTTCAAGGACTGGGTTTTCTTCTGCAATAAAATGCTGGAGTTGTGGCAGAGACCTCCACAGTGAGAACAGCCACGGAGTTGGCTAGGAGGTGACATGATGTGGAAGTGGTGGATGTGTCCACAAGATGGCACTCCTAATTTGTAGCTTAATGCTTAATAGGACATTTTGCAATTGACAAACTTGGGATTTTATGATTTATGTAGCTGATATCATGAATTATGTTTCAAATCCTGCCACATTTTGAACAGAATTTATTTTTGCCCCTTTCTGATATTGGGTCATAACCTAAGAATGAGAGGACATTATAAGCAGGTGTGGGTGTGTGTGTGTGTGTGTGTGTGTGTGCACTTGAGTGTGGAGACTTTTGTGTTCCTCCTACCTGACCTGAACTGTTGAATGATGAAGTTACAATGATTGGACTCAGGGGTGCAGCTAGCTAACTTGGGAATTGGGGTTTTGAAGTACTGGAGACAGCTTTGTATGCCATGTTAATGAATTTGAATTTTATCCTGAAAAACGTGGCTGTCGTTGAAGAATTTTAAGCAGGCAGGTGGCTTGATCAGAGCACTGCTTCCCAGATTTCACTCAATGGTACCTGTATAACACATTCATGATTTTTGCTGTATCTCCGTATCATCAAGTTACTTAACGTTTTTACACCAACTTTTATTATTTTATAAATGTACTTAAAGAGGAAATTCACTACTAGCATTGCTTGCCATAATCAAAATAAATATATTATTAAAATGGAACAGTGCTAAATAAGGTGTACACATGGACATAGAGTGTGGAATGACAGACAATGGAGACTCCGAAAGGTGGAGGGGTGGGAGAGAGGTGAACGATGAGAAAGTACTTAATGGGTACCATGTACATTATTCGGGTGATGGGTACACTAAAAGCCCAGACTTCACCATTACTGCAATATATCCATATAACATAACTGTACTTGCGCCCCTTAAATTTATACAAATTTTTAAAAGGAAAAAATGGAAGTGTTCATCTATGTACCAACTTAAAATCATCTCACGCACCACTAGTGTTAAATCTACCACATGTGGGGAAACTGTGTGGTATGAATTGGGTTGAGGGCGTCCCCAGCAGGCACAGAAATTGGGTTGGTGCCAGGTTCTTAATGCCCAGATCTTAATTAGAGAGCCCAAGTCCGTTGTAGGCCTGGAGCAATTCAGACACAAGGCAAAAAGAAAGTACATTTGCCTATGCCTTGTAACGTCTACACCACCAGCCTTTCTGAAACTATTGTGCATACGAAGTCATCCCAGGATCTTGTAAAAACACCGATTCGGATCCAATATGGGACCTGGAGTTCATACATTTCTAATCAACTCCTAAATGATATTGATGCTGATACTGTCGGTTTCCCAACCAAGCAACGTAGCAAGGTACGAAACTCTAAAGTCCCTAAAGGGCAGGGACCACGCCTCTCGCGTTGGCATAGTGCCTAGCTCAAGGCACTTTCTGGGTTAACACTCGCTGAGGACCGGAGTGAACGCCCCCGCCCCAAGTCGTCACGTGACTGACTTTCTCCAACTGCCGGTTTCGGCTCACATAACACACCTACTATCCAAAACATTTCTATTTTCCTAACACAAAAACTATAGCTAAGTTTTTATATTCTATGTAGCCCCAGCCTAGGACGTAAATTCCACGAGACCAAAAGCCTTGTGATGATTCCCCGAGGTTGCTGACCCTCCCGGTGTGTCCCGGGCCTGCTCTGGGGGACACAGCGGCGAATACGTTGAACGAGGCCCCTGTTTCACGGAGCTAAAGATCCAGTAAGGACTTCACCCAGCGAGAGGCAACTACGCCGGGCTTCGATACCCAATACCTCTGCAGAAAGGTGGAGTGGCAGGAATCTCCTGAAGCCTCCAACGTCCAGGAACGCGGAAACCCAGGGCCTCCAGTGCAGGTGTCATCCCGGAGGGCGCATGCGGAGTCCCAAGAGAGGCGCGTCCCATTGGACAATGCTGAGCGGAAGAGCCCAAGATAGCGGGGGGAGTTGTGACAGGCTGCTGCAGACGTACTTAGAAAAGGGGTGCATACTGGATATTCAGGCTAGGAGAAGAACGCAAAAAGCAGTGACGTACATTATTCTCTGCATATATTTACTTGGGAAATTGTGCGTCTCCCTATTCTGAGTCTTGGAGGAATTGGACTGGTCCAACCTTATAAAGAGAGCAGTAGAGCGCGGCAGTATAGAGAGTACCTCACGAAGGGGACGTGGGAAAGTGTTAGCGGGGAACGCTGGGAAACTCCCGGCCTCCGCCACCATCTTGCTTTCCTTTAATCCGGCAGTGACCGTGTGTCAGAACAATCTTGAATCATGAAGCTACTAACCAGAGCCGGCTCTTTCTCGGTGAGCTCAGGTGGCGGGTTTGGGAAAGGGCTGGGGAGCAGTGTGTCGACAAGGTGATACGAGGCGGAGGTGTCTGGTCTGGGGTCTGGGCCTTGGGATTCGGTCTGCCCTTCAGCTGAACCCTGCGGGCCAAGTGGGCTGCAGACTGGGTCAGGCTTTGGAGGCCCAGCTCATGCTGTGAGCACAAGAGACCTAACACCGGGAAACCTGAAGAGAGGGGCAGGACGTGAGAGCGGAGTTGAAGCGAGTCCTTGGAGAGACTTCTGAAGGTCACTCCGGTACTCAAGTGCTGGAGAAAGAGACCGTGAAACCCAGGGGGAGCGGGAGGACGGCGCACTTAGCCCCCCACCTTCACTTTATCCGCTGCAGCCTCTGCTCCTTGGTTTATCACGGAGCGTCAGTTTCCCCAGCGAATAAAAGTATAAGAAAGGAGCTAATGCAGATAGAACACTTATTACAGTACCTGGAACTTCATTGTTAAATACTATGGTGTCTTAGTAGTCTAACGTTGCTTTTCTTGATCGTATGTTAGACGGTTCCTCCAAGACGTCTCTGTTTGTCCTCAAAAGCTCCTTAATTAAGTTTCCCCTTCAAGCCTAAATTAAACATAGCTGTCACTTGGGGAAAACTCACACATCAGGGTTATATCACTGTGGGACAGTGGTTATTAAGAGGGGTAAGGGGGAACACTTAAAAAATCATAGCGAGGGACAGAATGCCCCCAGGGAACCGGTGGCGATGTTTGGAGACATATTTAGTTGCAACAACTTGTAAGGAGGGTGCTATTGGCATGGAGAGGCCAGGGATGCTGCTAAACTTCGCCTTACAGCAAAGAATTATCTAGCCCCAAGTGCCAGTAGTAGTACCTGTGTTGAGAAACCCCCCTAGATGGAGATGCAGAAGACCAGACCTGGGCATGGAATGTTCTTATGCTTTATGTTTACATAAATGTGCTGTGGGCTATATCGATTTAGGCTGTAATTGCATTAACCTTCCAGGTATACCTAGACACACCAGTGATTACCCTTGGAGGGAAGCACGGTTAGATTGGCAAAAGACCCCAACATTTCCTTCTCCATTCTATTTTGCAACAGAAAAAGCTCAGAGAAAACAGTTGGAGAGGCCCAAAGTAAACAAATTGCAGTAAACTTGAAAGCAATTATTTATGTGTCTAATTTTAGCACTTTATATAGGAGAATAAACTTAGATATATCTTGTTATTAGAACAAAATAATTTAGAAGATTGCATGACAGTTACTAGGATAATTTGCTGATTTGAATGGGACGATTAAGAAGCACATTACCGGCGGAGCGCGATGGCTCACACCTGTAATCCTAGCACTTTGGGAGTCAGAGGCAGGCGGATCACTTGAGATGAGGAGTTCGAAACCAGTCTGGCCATCATGGTGAAACCCCGTCTCTACTAAAAATACAAAAAAAAAAAAAATAGCCGGGCGTGGTGGTGGTGGGCGCCTCTAATCCCAGCTACTCAGGAGGCTGAGGCAGGAGAATCTCTTGAACCCAGGAGGCGGAGGTTGCAGTGAGCCGAGATCGCACCGCTGCACTCCAGCCTAGACGACAGAGCGAGACTCCGTCTCAAAAAAAAAAAAAAAAAAAAATTACCAACAAAGAGTTACTATTTGGGCACATTTGGTTGGAAAACACCTAAAATCTCACTTGGTAACGGAATTATAGATTATTCATATTTGAATTGCTATGCCCATATATCTTAAAAGTTTACTTTTTGGAAAATTATAGGCCAAAATTACAAAGAAGGTTAACTATACCATACCCAGCAAACTAAATTGATGACGATAAAGTAAAGCTAATTGTAATTCATAACTGAAAAGCAGTACTAAAAGCAAGTGATAACCAGCAGCCAACCTAGTACAGCACTAATGATGTACAACAAACAGCCTTCTGGACAGCACAGAGTGGAGGCATTGCAGACTGTGCAGGGATGTCCGGGAAACTCCAGTGAGGAGGTGTTCATTGGGTCTTGGGAGCACCAAATTTTATTCACTCATCATCTCCTCTAATAACCTCATGAACTTTAGTCATAATCAGAATGATTTGTATGGCATTGTATAACATTTGCCAAAACAAACTGAATAAAATGAATGCATTTTGGGTCCATTATCTAATATTTAATGGGACCCTTTCACCCTACCAGTAACTGCATTTTATATATTGAGAATCTGATGTGGATGAAGCCATTATTAATCTCAGGATGACATACATGTCATAAATGTTTTATTTAGTCAAAAAAACTAAGACCTTTGGTTGTGTGGTCTTAATACAGCACACAAGAGTGAAGATACAATGGAAAATATTGAGGGCTTGGAGGAAGTTGGTATATACTTTGTCTTTTTCTTTTTTTTTTCTTGAGACGGAGTTTTGCTCTTGTTGCCCAGGCTAGACTGCAATGGCACAATCTCGGCTCACTGCAACCTCCGCCTCCCGGATTCAAGTGATTCTCCTGCCTCAGCCTCCCCAGTAGCTGGGATTACAGGCATGCATCACCACGCCCCGCTTATTTTGTGTTTTTATTAGAGATGGGGTTTCTCCATGTTTGTCAGGCTAGTCTCGAGCTCCTGACCTCAGGTGATCCGCCCACCTTGGCCTCCCAAAGTGCTGGGATTACAGGCGTGAGCCACCGCACCCGGCTAGTTTGTCTTTTTTAAAGGTTACTAAGATGATTAAGGAGATGAAACCATTTCAATTGGAAATTAGACTGAACGGATGACATTCATTGGGCAGATAAAAGAAGCAAGAAGCTGAAACCTATAAAAGGTTGTGGACACAGGCCAGGTGTGGTGGCTCCCACCTGTAATTCTAGCACTTTGTGAGGCCGAGGCGGGTGGATTGCCTGAGCTCAGGAGTTTGAGACCAGCCTGAGCTATGGGGTGAAACGCCATCTCTACTAAAATACAAAAAATTAGCCAGGCGTGGCAGCATGTACCTGTAATCCCAGCTACTTGGGAGGCTGAGACAGGAGAATCGCTTGAATCCAGGAGGCAGACATTGCAATGACCCGAGATCGCACTGTTGCACTCCAGCGTGGGACACAGAGCACGACTCCAACTCAACAAAAAAGGTTGTGGATGGGGTGATCTGACACTTTTTCAAAAAATGCCAAAGCTTTAGAACTACACAGAACCATGAAACTTTTATAAGGTAACTGAAAGATAAGAAAATACAGTGATTCTTTACATCATTTAAAAAATAAGCATCAAGAACTCTATAAATCACTAATAAATAGAGGTTTAAGAATGGCTTGGGTAAACTGGTGGGTTAGTAAGTCCATAATAAGTTATGCAGCTAGGCGGGGTGCAGTGGCTCACGCCTGTAATTCCAACACTTTGGGAGACCAAGGTGGGCAGATCACTTAAGATCAGGAGTTCAAGACCAGCTTGGCCAACACAGTGAAACCCCATCTCTACTAAAAAATACAAAACAAAAACTAGCTGGACATGGTGGCACGCACCTGTAATTCCAGCTATTTGGGAGGCTAAGGCAGGAGAATGGCTTGAACCCAGGAGGTAGAGGTTGCAGTGAGCTGAGATTGCGCCACTGCACTCCAGCCTGAGCGACAGAGAGACACTCTGTCTCAAAAAAAAAAAAAAAATGTTATGCAGGTAAATCCTCCCATGGAGGTGGTTATTGCTCCTTCCACCCCCGAACACCCTCTGTCGCTTGGGTACCCTAAGATACCATGCTTTTATATAAAGCACTGTTCTTGTGAGAAATACGTGTAACCTGTGTTTTTTATGTTTAGAGATTTTATTCCCTCAAAGTTGCCCCCAAAGTTAAAGCCACAGCTGCGCCTGCAGGAGCACCGCCACAACCTCAGGACCTTGAGGTTAGTCCCACTAACTTGCTCGCTGGAAGCTATACATGCCTTACTCTCCTTGGTAATACGAAGACATTCATTATATCTCTACTTTATTTTAAATACAGTTTACCAAGTTACCAAATGGCTTGGTGATTGCTTCTTTGGAAAACTATTCTCCTGTATCAAGAATTGGTTTGTTCATTAAAGCAGGCAGTAGATATGAGGACTTCAGCAATTTAGGAACCACCCATTTGCTGCGTCTTACATCCAGTCTGGTGAGTATCTTCACTTCCTCAAGTGTTTGGAAATGCTGTGGTATCTTGGTCCTGTGAAAAAGAAAAACTAAGATCAATGTCTTTATATTTTGATTCCTTGACCTGCCATAACAAATTACCACGGACTGGGTAGCTTAAACCAAATAAGTTTATCCTGTTACAGTTCTAGAGGCTAGAAGTCCAAGTCAAGGTGTCTAAGCCAAGCCAAGATATCAGCAGGGCTGTGATCCCTCTAAAGGTTCTAGGAAGGCACAAATCCTCCCCTGCCTGTTCCTAGCTTCCAGCAGTTGCCCACAACCCTTCATGTTCCTTGACCTGCAACTGCATCACTGCAGTCTCTGCCTTTGTTGTCACATGGCCTTCCTTCTGTCTGTGTCCACATTTCCTCCTGATAAGGATACCAGTTACATTAGATTTAGTGCCCACTATAATTCAATATGATGTCATCTTAAGTACTTAAATCTGCAGAGACCTTATTACCAAATAAAGTAACATGCAAATATTCTGGCTGGACATAAATTTGGGGGGGAACACTGTTAAACCCAGTACTGTCCCCTAATGTAAAATGAGAAACCACAAGATATTTGCCACAGAGAAGCACTAAATTAGTATCCATATGAATGTTGATGTTAGAGCATAAGAAATCAGTAAACAAATTTTTAACAGGAAGTGCCGCAAATTGAAAGAAAATTAACTCTTTTTTTCCCATATACAAGTCTCTTTCAGAATAGACTAATGAATCCAGTAAGCTTGTATTTGACAGTGGAAATTTTACATGAATGTACTTAATGTAAAAATGTATACTTAAGCTTTTTGTTGAGCCTTGTTTTATAATTCTTAACTAAAAAGGATGCAGGAATTTAGTAAAATTCTTTTTAAATCTGCTCACAACAGATTTTGATATAGTGTGATGTTTGGCAAACTTGGCATTGAAAAGCTACAAAGATAATCATTCTTTCTTTTTCAAGACGACAAAAGGAGCTTCATCTTTCAAGATAACCCGTGGAATTGAAGCAGTTGGTGGCAAATTAAGGTTTGTTAAATAAGTAATAGAAAATAGTGAAAATGCCAGAAAATATTCAATTTTAAGGGAACTTTTCTCTGTTATCAAGGAGGTTGAGGATTTCTTAAGCAACATAAGAAGGAAAAGACTGATGAATTTGAGTATATCAAACTGTAAAACATCTTTATGTCTTAAAGTAAAAATTTAAGTAACTGTCTGGGAGTAGATATCTGCAATATATAGGCATACCTCAGAGATGTTGCAGGTTCTGTTCCAGACCACCACAATGAAGGGAATATTGCAGCAAAGCAAGTCATAGGAATTTTGTGGTTTCCCAGTGCATATAAAAGTTATGTTTACACTATACTGTGGTCTACTAAGTGTACAATGACATTTTGTCTTGGAAAAAAAGTACATAACCTTAATTTTAAAATATTTTATTGCTTTAAAAATGTTAACAGTTATCTGAATCTTCAGCAAGTCATAATCTTTGCTGGTGGAGGGTCTTGCCTCCACGTTAATGGCTGATGACTGATCAAGGTGGTGGTTGCTGAAGGTGGTGGTGACTGATAATTTCTTAAAATCAGACAACAGTGAAGTTTGCTGCATTGATTGACTCTTCCTTTTGTGAAAGACTTCTCTGTAGCATGAGATGTTGTTTTTAGCCGTTTACCCACAGAACTTCTTTCAAAATTAGTCAGTCATCTCAAACCTTACCACTTTTTTATCAACCAAGATTATGTAATATTCTTTTTTATCATTTCGACAGTGTTCACAGCATCTTCAACCAGGAGCAGATTCTATCTCAAGAAACCACTTTGTTTGCTCATCCATAAGAAGCATCTCCTCATCTGTTCAAGCTTTATCATAAGATTGCAGCCATTCAGTCACATCTTCAGGCCCCACTTCTAGTTCTCTTGCTACTCCCACCATAGTTGCAGTTTCTTCCCCCTCTGAAGTCTTGCCTCTCAGAGTCATCCATAAGGGTTGGAATTGGCTTCTTCCAAACTCACGTTAATGTTGATACTTTGACATCCTCCCATGAGTCACAAATGTTCTTAATGGTGTCTAGAATGGTGAATTCTTTCCAGAAAGTTTTTTAATTTACTTTGCCCAGATCCATCAGCGTCTTCACTATCTGTGGTAGCTGTAGCCTTACAAAATGTATTTCTTAAATAATAAGACTTGAAAATAAAAATTACTCCTTGATCCATGGGGTGCAGAAGGGATGTTCTATTAGCAGGCATGAAAACAGTGTCAATCTCCTTGTACATCTGCATCAGAGCTCTTGGCATTGTTGCAGTAATAATTTGAAAGGAATCTTTTTTCTGAGCAATGGGCTTAAAATATTCAGTCAACCATGCTATAAACAGATGTACTATCATCCAGGCTTTTTTGTTCATTTACAGAGCATAGGCAGAGTAGATTTAGCATAATTCCTAAGGGCTCTAGGATTTTGAGAATGGTAAATGACCTCATCCTAAAGTCACCAGCTGCATTAGTCCCCAACAAGAGTCAGCTTGTCGTTTGAAGCTTTGACGCCAGGCATTGACTTCTCTAGCTACGAATGTCCTGGACGGCATCTTCCAATGTAAGGCTGTTTTGTCAGCATTGAAAATCTGTGGTTTAGTGTAGCCACCTTCATCGATGATCTTATGTAGATCTTCTGGATAACGTGCTGCAGCTTCTATATTAGCATTTGCTGCTTCACTGTGTACTATTATATTAAGAAGATGGCTTCTTTCCTTAAAGCTCATGAACTAACCACGGCTAGCTTCAGACTTTTCTTCTGCATCTCACCTCTCTCAGCCTTCATATAATTGAAGAGAGTTAGGGCATTGCTCTGGATTAAGCTTTGACTTAAGGGAATACAGTTTGATCTAATCCAGACCAGTAAAACTCTGTATTATCAGCAATAAGTCTGTCTTGCTTTCATATCATTTATGTGTTCAGTGGAGTAGCACTATTAGTTTTCTTCAAGAACTGCACTGGTGCAAGAGGCCTAGCTTTTGACCTGTATCCGTTTTTAACATGCCTTCCTGACTTCCTTAGAAGCTTAATCCTTTCTAGCTTCTGATTTAAAGTGAGAGACATGAGACTCTTCCTTTCACTTGTATACTTAGGGGCCATTGTCGGGTTATTCATTAGCTTAATTTCAATATTGTTGTGTCTCAGGAGTAGGAATATCCAAAGAGAGGGAGAAAGACTTGGGGAGCAGCTGGTCAGTGGAACACTCAGGACAGAAACAGCATTTCTTTTTTTTTAATTAATTTATATTAAAGACAGGGTCTTGCTCTGTTTCCCAGGCTGGAGTGGAGTGGTGCAGACATACCTTATTGCAGCCTTGAACTCCTGGGCCCAAGCGATTCTTCTCCCTCCGCTTCCCAAGTAGCTAGGACTATAGGCACATGACTCCATGCCTGGCTAATTTTTTATTTTTTGTACAAATGGAGGTCTCACTATGTTGCCCAGACTGGTCTTGAACTCCTGGCCTCAGGTGATCCTCTCACCTCAGCCCAGCATGCTGGGATTGCAGATGTGAGCCACTGCACCCAGCCCAGATTTTTTATATATTGTGTTGTCAGTGGTAAAGATGATAGAGAATGTCTCATTCTGCTGATAGGAGTATAAATTGATACAACCACTTAGGAAAGAATCAAGGAATATCTGGTAATATTGAAAAACCCCACAGTTTTTAATCACATTCACAAAGGTATTCTTTATAAAGACTGGAAACGATCTAAGTGTCCATCTTTAGGGAAATGGGTAAAGTATGACAGAGTCATGATGAGACCACTATACAGCCATTACGGAATGAACTAGATCCATACGTCAACATAGCACAACTGAAGGGCAAAATAGAGTGTGAACAAGCAAGTTTCAAGATTTCTTTAAGGTATTTTAATTTTTTAAGCAGAAAAATACTATGTAGTGCTTATGATTGTGGTTTCCAGAGTGGGAGAGAGTGAGGGAATTGGTCTTGGAAGGGTACGAAAAGATCTTCAACTTTATTTGCCATTTTAAAAAATTGTGGTCAAATGTATATAACATAAAATTTATATATATATATATATATATATATATATATATATATATATATTTTAGACAGTCTCGCTGTGTCGCCCAGGCTGGAGTGCAGTGGCATGATCTTGGCTCACTGTAACCTCCGCCTCTTGGGTTCAAGCGATTCTCCTGCCTCAGCCTCCGTGGTAGCTGGGATTACAGGCGTGCGCCACCATGCTTGGCTAATTTTTGTATTTTCAGTAGAGACCATGGTTTCACCCTGTTGGCCAGGCTGGTCTCAAACTCCTGACCTCAAGTGATCCGCCCACCTCGGCCTCCCAAAGTGCTGGGATTACAGGTGTGAGCCACTGCGCCCGGCCCAAATTTATCATTTTCTTAAGTGTGCAGTTAAGTGGCATTCAGCAACCATCACCAACATTCAGCTCCGGAACTTTTCTATCTTCTCCCACCTGAAATTCTGTACCTGTTAAACAATGGCTGCTCATTCTCCCCTCCCCTCAGCCTTTGGCAACTGCCATTCTCTTTTCAGTCTCTACAAATTTGACTACTCCAGGTACCTCATAAGTAGAATCATACAATATTTGTCCCTTTGTGACTGGCTTATTATCCTTAGCATAATGTCCTCAGGGTTCATCTGTGTTGTAACATGTGACCAGATTTCACTCCTTTTAAGGTTGAATTATTTGCTGGTTTTTAAAAAAATTTTGAATTTTAGTTGGTTAATATGTGGAGTTTTGTTATATTATTGTTCGCACCTTTTATACTTCAGAAATTTTCTTTCCAAAGGAATTGGTTGATAGAAGATTATAAGGGAAAGCTTACTATCCTGATTCAGATGATTTACTCTAGTTTATTTTCCGATTCAGTGTGACCGCAACAAGGGAAAACATGGCTTATACTGTGGAATGCCTGCGGGGTGATGTGTAAGTACCTGTGTGTGTTTAGGACTTCTGCTTTGAAAGAAATACTAAGCTGCTCACTTCTGGTCTTTGTAATGCGTCATTATGACCTCTGACTTCCATTTTGGATTATTGTTCATAAACTGCTCAAAAACACTGCTTACCACAAGACCTAAAGTTTCACATTGAGAGCATTACAGCTATGTAGAATCTCAAATGTTGGCTTTACATTTTTGACTCATAATTCTTATCTCGATGTCTTCTGTAGTGATATTCTAATGGAGTTCCTGCTCAATGTCACCACAGCACCAGAATTTCGTCGTTGGGAAGTAGCTGACCTTCAGCCTCAGCTAAAGATTGACAAAGCTGTGGCCTTTCAGAATCCGCAGACTCGTAAGTACATTTCCAGATCACATTTGATTCTAAGATACTGGGTTTTTTAGAAGATCAATTTATAGAAGAAAAAAAATTGCTGTCAAAATTTTTATTTTTATTTTTATTTATTTATTGTTTTGAGACAGAGTCTCACTCTGTCACCCAGGCTGGAGTGCAGTGGCACGATCTTGGCTCACTGCAACCTCCAGCTCCCGGGTTCAAGCAATTCTCCTGCCTCAGCCTCCTGAGCAGCTGGAATTATAGGTGTGCACCACCACACCTGGCTAATTTTTTGTATTTTTAGTAGAAACAGGGTTTTGCCATGTTGGTCAGACTGGAGTTCAGTCTTGAATTCCTGGCCTCAAGTGATCCACCCACCTCAGCCTCCCAAAGTGCTGGTGTTACAGGTGTGAGCCACCATGCCTGGCCAAATGTTTTACTCCTTGAATTTGAAAATATCTTTTTCAAAAATTTGTTATTTAGATTTATTATTCTTTTGTTTCTAAACATTTATAATCATTTTTCATGTTTGATGGTAAGTAAATTGTTTGTAAGATCCTAGAAGTTTTTCCTGTTTCCTTCCCAATGTTTTGTTTTTGTTTGTTTGTTTGTTTGTTTTTGAGACAGGGTGTTGCTTGTTGCCCAGGCTGGAGTGCAGTGGCACAATCTCACTGCAGCCTGAACCTTCTGGACTCAGGTGATCCTCCTACCTCAGCCTCCTGAGTAGCTGGGACTACAGGCACACACCACCGCACCCTGCTAATTTTTATTTTTATTTTTTTATAGAGATGAGGTCTCACTCTATTGCCCAGGCTGGTCTCGAACTCCTGGGCTGAAGTGATCCTCCCACCTCAGCTTCCCAAAGTGCTGGGATTACAGGCGTGAGCCACTGTGCCTGACCCCTAGTGATTTTTAAGAGTTGTTTTGCTTACCCCAAATCCTACACCAGTTTATTGCTGCTGCTATTATTGCTTACTATTGTATTGCTATTATTGTTTAGCCATCTCCTCTTTATTGAGTCTTTCCAAAGTAAGTAACTTAATTTTTTTAATAGGAATCTTTTTTGCATTCATATTTTATGTTTATATAATGTCTAATTATATAATCTTGACAAGTACAACTGGTAATACAAGTCTGTAAGCAAGCGCCGCTGACTCTTGGGAGTCATACAACTTCTGGTGGGAGCAGAAATGTGCAGGAAGAGCAGAAATAGCTCAACTCAGTGGTTCAGCATGGGACAGGCTCCCCTCCACATGCAGGCCTGGGGACTGATGTTATTTCATGATGATGCTTGGTGTCACAGAGGAGCATTATCTTTGTTGCTCAGGATTTCTACTGAAGAAATAGATAGAATAGTACAATTTTAGAAAAGATGACCTATGTGTCCAGAGTGGCTTCTTCCCCACTGGCGGCAGTGAGGCACCAGCCTGCATCTATTCTGCCTGAACAGTTACTGTGTAGTCTCCTGGCTGGTGTCAGCCTCCAGGTTTACGTCTTGAGTCCATCTCCCACACGGCCATTACAGTGATCCTTCTGACGTGAAAGTAAGCCTTCTTATTATCTATGGGATAAAGTCCAAACAGCATATACGTATATGGCCTTGCGTGATCTTACCCCAGCCCACTTCTCTTACTTTATGCTCTACCCTCTTCTCCTTCCAGCTGCAATTCCCATTTGAATCAAATTATTGTTATACTTTATGCCTTTGTTTTGTCTGCTTCCTGTGCCTAAAATGCTGTTCCCAAATGATTTCCCCTGGGAAACACCAGCTCATTCTGTAAGATGGATCCCACATATTACTTGTATTAATTGTTTTCCAATTCCCACTGCCCTTGCCTTGTACCTCTACTGCACTTTTGACACACTGCCGACATTGCACCCATAATACTTTATTTCACAGTTTTTCCTCTTAAAATTTGAGGGCAGGCATTGTATGTTCCACATCTCTGTATTTCTAGCACCTAGCACAGTGCCTCGCATAGGCAAGTTGCCAGGTAATGAGCAACTGAAGGAAATACTGCAGGCAAAAAGGCATTGAAGCAAGAAAGCAGGGAAAGCACCAAGCACCACAGAGGAGTAAGTCCCAGTGGAAGCTCCCATTGGTCCCCTGAAAGCTACCTGACAATCTCCTTATTACCTAGAGAGGAAACCTAGGAGTAAGTAAAATTCAGATTAAATGACTTGTCCAAGGTCACATGGCAAGATGGCGGCAGAACCATAACTAGATGGGGACTTCCCAAAACCCAGGCCAGTATACCTTCCAAGTGATACCAGCTAGGTTAAAGTTAGAAAAGTGGTTTAGGTGGACTCCAGTATATAGAAGCTGCTGCCATGTAATCTTTTTTATTTTTTTCTCAGCACATTCTACTGGCAGAAACTGGCAGTTACTAGAGGTTAAATAATAATAAATTTTAAGTCCTCTTAACATATGAATGCCAGAAGATGACCAAATTTGTATAGGCTTGTTGCTTTCTAGGTTTTAAAAATGTTGTCTTTACTGAAAGTGCATTTCCCTAAATGCTTCTTCACTTATCTCACAGATGTCATTGAAAATTTGCATGCAGCAGCTTACCGGAATGCCTTGGCTAATCCCTTGTATTGTCCTGACTATAGGATTGGAAAAGTGACATCAGAGGAGGTACCAATAAAACATATTTTGAAATGTGCTTGTTTTTCACATTAAATTGAACATCTCCCATTTCAGGTTTGTTTGTTAATTTTTCCTTTTATCTTCTAACTTTAAGAAATTCAGCGTGCTAGCTTTTTCATCCACCTGCTTTTTAACTAAAATTTTATCTGAACAATTTTTGTGTCTCCTTTAAGAAATGTTTTCATGACTAAAGGGACATGATCATTACAGAAAAATTAAAAAGTAAAATCAAACAAAATGAAGGGAAAGAAAACATCTCACATACCTAAAGGCACTCAGTGTTAATACCTGGTATATTTTCTTCTAAACCGTTTTCTGTGTGTATGTATCTTTTTTGTTTGTTTGTTTTAAATACGGGGTCTTGCTGTGTTGCCTAGGCTGGTCTTGAACTCTTAAGCTCAAGCAGTCCTTCTGCCTATGCCTCTCAAAGTGCTGGGATTACAGGCATGAGCCATTGCACCCAGCCTGTGTATCTTTTTTAAACAGTATTTAAATGTTTAAGTATCATAATAGGGGCTGGGCCCAGTGGCTCATGCGTGTAATCTCAGCACTTTGGGAGGCCAAGACAGAGGGATCACTTGAGGCCAGGAGTTCAAGACCAGCCTGGGCAACATAGCAAGACCCTGTCTCTACAAAAAAAAAATATATATATATGTGTGTGTGTATACATATATATAAAATAGGTCCTTTGACTAAAACTCTTTGGTCTCTCTGAATTTGTAAATAAGACTTGAGCCCACTTCCTTAGCTCCTGTTCCATCCTCGCTCACTCATTCACGTTCTTCAGCACACCAGCCTCCGTTTGCTGGCTATAGGGGTTTGTCACATGCCACAGCCATATGTGCATCTTAGAACTTTGTTTCCAAAACATGAAACATTGAATGCTAAATCTACAAGTGTAGATATGTGCGTATAATCTTAATTTCCTATTCCTACCACCCAGACCCAAAAACAAATTTTATCAAAAGACATTAAGAGAAAAATTTGTAATTATCAACACCTTCAAAGTATATCTGACTCAAAAATTCAAGGTTTTTATTCTCGTTTTATTCTTAGTTAGCTGTTACAGAAAACTAAACTGTATCCCTTGCTCTTTTTGACTTATCAATTAACAGTTTGATGCCTTTCATTCATATGGCACTTTTATTTAGAAATTTTAACTTACATCATCCAACTTGAACAGGCAGCCGTTTTCATAAGACTGGACTCTAATGAGTTTTGAAATTTTTCAGAAATCAAATTCACCCTCATGAAGATGTGTCATTAAGTTAGCTAAAACTTAGCAAAAGTTTATCTACAAGGATGGCTATTGTAATACTAGTTTATAATTGTGAAAAATTAGAAACAAGTTAATATCCAGCATTAGGGAACTAGTTAAATAACTTATAGAATGGAACAGTATTCAACCATTCAAAAATATTAGTTGATACATAAAACTCCACAGCATGTTGTCACATAAAGCAATTTATGGATTAGGACATACCAAAAGGTCCCTTTTTTTTAATAAAAGGTATGTATGTATGCATTATAGACAAATATCAAGATGTTAACTGTGATAACTTGGTTATCTCAAAGTTAATAGTATTTTTTAAATGTGTCCCTAGGCTAAAGGAAACTCTAAAGAAATTGGCGCTAGAATACTTGGAGCAATGGCAGCATCAATAGAAAAACATCAATAGAAAAAGAGTATGACTTTCCAAGGTTACTCCATAGGTACAGACACCATTCATTTTAGGGCACGGATTATGATAAATTGATTAAAAGTTCAGTTTCATTACTTTAGCCCAGTGATTCTCAAAACGTTATCACTTTCCTTCCTGAGGAGCCTTTCTAGCCATTTTTTTCTAAACCTCTTACTTTTAATACCACAGATAGAGTTTATGTGCTGTATATTTGTACTTTTTACATAGAAGTCGTAAGTTTTTTTTTTTTCTTAGTTACCCCAAACCAATTTTCACCCATCTGGAAAGGATAGCATTTCTGTTGAAAGTACATGTTTTAGCCCTACTTTTGTATATTAAGCCTAAGGTGGTAATATAAACCAGTGATAACCAAGTCTCACCAATCTTCAGATCGCCTGAGTGGTTGATTGGATGGATGGGTAGTTGGTCGGTTTTAAATAAGGATTCTAGGATTCCACATTTAATATTTTATATCAGTCTGTAGGGTAAGTCCCAAGAATGGGGGACAGTGACCGTTTTTGTTTTTCAAGCTGAGTAATTGTGATCTTACAGTTTCGACACCCTGGTATAGACAATGACTTCATGGTCAGAAAAGCTTTATAGAGATTGGCTTCAAAGATGGACGAGAAGGGTGTTGTGGTAAAACTCTGTTAGCCCTGTTATAGAATGTTAATAGTGCTTCATTACTACTTATATAAACACAAAAGAAACCTGACATACTACGTAAGCTACATTATAATAAAAATCATAGTCCACGTTTTCAAGTTTAGGCCAGTGTATGCTCTAATTTCTTTTTATTCCTTTTTTTTTTTTTTTTTTTGAGACAGAGTCTTGCTGTGTCGCCCAGGCCAGAGTGCAATGACACGATCTCAGCTCACTGCAACCTCTGCCTCCTGGATTCAAACAATTCTCGTGCCTCAGCCACCCATGTAGCTGGGATTACAGGCGTGCACCACCATGCCTGGCTAATTTTTGCATTTTTAGTAGAGTCAGGATTTCGCTGTGTTGCCCAGGCTGGTCTCAAACTCGTGGCCTCAAATGATCCGCCAGCCTTGGCCTCCCAGAGTGCTGGGATTACAGACATGAGCTACTGCACCCAGCCTCTTTTTATTCCTTTTATAAATAACAGCTTTGTTGAGATGTAATTCACCATACTATACAACCTATTTAAAGTGTACACAATTCAGTGGTTTTCATTATATTCACAGAGTTGTGCAACCATGACCACAATTAGGTTCTAGTTCTTTTAAGCAATAGTTTTTATAATAAAATCCCAGGGTAATTCACCTCAGTTAGTACCTTGTAGTTCATTACAGCAACTTATAAGGCCTTATAAGTATTTATTTTCTTCCAAACTGTACTTTTATGTTTTTACAGCTTTTTATATTTATGCTAATATAACCTAATAAGTGTTTTTAACTTCCTCAGTTACATTACTTCGTTCAGAACCATTTCACAAGTGCAAGAATGGCTTTGATTGGACTTGGTAAGTTTAGAGTATTGCCTGCCTGTCAGTTTGCTTCCTTAAGAGCAGTTCCTTAAACTGTAATTACGTGAACATAGGATTGAACAAAATTTGAAAACTTCGGCCTTCTATTTATGTCAGACAGGCAATATATCATAGGATTTTAATTGCTAGTCATTTGTTTTGGAAAGCAGAATCCAACATTTAAATTTGTAAACCACTGGCTTTAAATTCTTTACAGTATTTGTAAAACCTGTGACAAAGGTGAATTTCTCAAAGCAAAGAGCTTTTACAAACTTTTTTAAAAGGAAGTACAGCTTACTAGAAAAACAGGCAAAGGGCATGAACAGACAGTTCATGGGAGAAATATGTTTGTATATGTGTAGCCAACTATCTTTGTTTTAAATGATCAGCCTCACTAATAATTAAGAAAATTTTAATCTGTGATGTTGGCAAAATTAAAAGATGGACTCTGCCCAGAATTAACCAGGGTATGGAGAAATAGGCACTCTCACAAATTGTTAGTAGGAATATAAACTAGTACAACATTTTGGGAGATCTTTTTGAACATATCTGTTAAAATTCTAGGCTGGGCATGGTGGCTCATGCCTGTAATCCTAGCACTTTGGGAGGCTGAGGCGGGCGGATCACCTGAGGTCAGGAGTTCAAGACCAGCCTAGCCAACATGGCGAAACCCCGTCTCTACTAAAAATACAAAAATTAGTCGGGCATGGTGACACATGCCTGTAATCCCAGCTATCGGGGGGCTGAGGAGGAGAATCGCTTGAACCCAGGAGGCAGTGATTGCAGTGAGCTGAGATCGTGCCACTGCACTCCAGCAAGGGCGACAGAGTGAGACTCTGTCTCAAAAAAATACAATTCCAAATGTTTACACTCATAGACCCAGTGACTTTTAAGAATTTGTCTTACAGAAACATTAGGTCAAGTTTACAAAGTAGTTGCATGAGAATATCATTTGTAATATTTTTTGTTTTGTTTTGCAAATTACAGCTTAAGATATAATTTACATGCTATAAAATTCACCCTTTTGAAGTGAATAGTTCTGTGGTTTTTAACAGATTCAACTATTACCACTACCTAATTTCAGGGTGTGTTCATCATCCCCCCAAAAGCCCCATACCCATTAGCAGTCACTCCCCATTCTCATCTTCCCCCTGCCTGTGGCATCCACTAATCTACTTTGTTTTTGTTTTTTTTTTTAAAGAGATGGAGGTCTCATTCTGTTGCCCAAGCTGGAGCACAGTGGCACAATCATAGCTCACTGCCTTGAACTCCTAGGCTCAGGTGATCCTCCCACCTCAGCCTCCTAAGTAGCAATAATCTACTTTGTCTCTATAGATTTGACTATTCTGGACATTTCCTATAAATGGAGTCATACGATATGTGGCCTTTTGTAACTGGCTTTTCTTACTTAGCATAATGTTTTCAAGGTCCGTCCATATTGTAGCATGTGTCAATTCAATGTCTTATTCCCTTTTATGGCTCAAGAATACTCCATTACCACATTTTGTTTATTCATTGATTGGCATTTGGGTTGTTTCTACCTTTTGGCTGTCGTAAATATAAACATTCACGTGTACATTTTTCTTAGGAAACCTGTTTTTAGTTCTTTTGGTTATGTCTAAGAACAGAATTGCCAGGACATATGGTAACTCTGTTTAACCATTTGGGGAACTGCCAGACTGTTTTCCAAAGTAGCTGCACCATTTTACATTCCCACCAGCAATGCACAAAGGTTTTGATTTCTCCACATCCTCACCAACACTTATCGTCTGTCTTTCTGATTATGAACAACCTACTGGGTGGGAAGTGGTCATTGTAGTTTTGATTTGTATTTCCCTAATGACAAATGACATTGAACATATTTTCATGTGCTTTTTGTCCATTTGTATAACTTTTTTTGTTTGTTTGTTTTTTTGAGACAGAGGCTTGCTCTGTTGCCCAGGCTGGAGTGCAGTGGCGCAATCTCAGCTCACTGCAACCTCCACTTCCCAGGTTCAAGCAATTCTCCGGCCTCAGCCTCCCGAGTAGCTGGGATTACAGGTGCATGCCACCATTCCTGGCTAATTTTTGTAATTTTAATAGAGATGGGGTTTCACCATGTTGGCTGGACTGGTCTCGAACTCCTGAGCTCAGGTGATCCACTTGCCTCGGCCTCCCAAACTGTTGGGATTACAGATGTGAGCCACCGTGCCCAGTCAACTTTGGAGAAATGTCTATTCAAGTCTTTGCCCATTTTTAAGTTTTTTTTTTTAATTGTTGAGTTGTAAAGGTTCTTTATATATTTTGGTTACTCAAGCTGTTAGCAGATATATTATCTGCAAATATTTTCCTGCATTTCATGGGTCCTCTTTTTACTTTCTTGATACAGTGTTCTTTGATGGACAATGCAATGTTGTTTTAAGAGCTAACTATTAGAAACATGCTAGCGTCCATTAGGAGGGGATTGATCAAATAAATGGTGGTAGAGCCATAGAAAGGGATTCTTTATAACCATTAAATATTTGATGTAGACTACTCACTTAGAAATTTGTAAATTATGAAAGATAAGTTAGAAACAATATCAATAGAATGATACCATTTTAGAAATAAATTGAAGATAATATTAACTACACAGAAAATTCTAGATGAATAGTAATACTAAGTATATAGTAAATAGTTTAGTAATAGTAAACTGTAATTGGGTATCTCTGGGAGAGTGGCATTATGGCAGGAAGACTCTTATTTATTTTGTAGTGTTAGGATTTTACAATCGTATTTTTAAAACAAGGAAAAAATATTTTACGATTGTGTTTTAGTAATTGTGGTTCTAGCTTTGTTTTTGCTTCTGTTGAAACAGGTGTGAGTCATCCTGTTCTAAAGCAAGTTGCTGAACAGTTTCTCAACATGAGGGGTGGGCTTGGTTTATCTGGTGCAAAGGCCAACTACCGTGGAGGTAAGCATTTCATTCTATTAGGGTTAATTTATCAGAAGGGCGTTTCCCCACTAGAATAGCATATTGAGGTGGAATAGGCCTGAATATTTACTACTGAACAGTCTCGGCATAGAATTGGATGGCTTGGGTGTTGTATTTTGAGCATATGTTTTGTGTGTGTTTGGGGACAGGATGGCATGGGGAAAGCACCGAGCTGCAGAAAAGACTCGTGGGTTAATACTGTGTTGTAGGAAATACTGGAGAATGAAACCAATGGTGAACAAGCCATTTTCTTCTTCCCTCTATCCTTAATCTGGCCCCAGGTGAAATCCGAGAACAGAATGGAGACAGTCTTGTCCATGCTGCTTTTGTAGCAGAAAGTGCTGTCGCGGGAAGTGCAGAGGCAAATGCATTTAGTGTTCTTCAGCATGTCCTCGGTGCTGGGCCACATGTCAAGAGGGGCAGCAACACCACCAGCCATCTGCACCAGGCTGTTGCCAAGGCAACTCAGCAGCCATTTGATGTGAGTCTGAACAGTTGGTATCTCTCTTTTTGCTTTCAAAGGCTCAGTATTTAAGATATAATTCTGATAATCTACTCTTAAAATGTAAGACAAACACACAGAAAATCTTTGTACAATTGAAGAGATAGCCAGGCTTGATTTTAGTATCTTTGAAGGCCTATCAAAAACTCACTGGCTTTTCCACTTTGTCTATTACTTGTCATTAGTAATATAAAAAGAGGAATTGAATGCTTAGAAATAAAGGGAATCCACACATCCGTTCCCTTTAGAATAAAGTTGTAGATATTAAACTTTCCCCTAGATTCTAACTAGTCTTTTTTTCTAGATTTTCTTCTGTCCGCTTCTGTTCTTTTGGTTACTTCCTGAATCTCACTATTTGTTTTCCAACCAAGTGGACAAGATGAACACCAAGAAATTGTTTACAGACTCACTCATTCAGCTTGAGATTAAATTTGAAAAGAAAAATGAGAGGCTGGGCACAGTGGCTCACAACTAAAATCCCAGCACTCTGAGAGGCCGAGGTGGGCGGATCACTGGAGGTCAGGAGTTCGAGACCAGCCTGGCCAACGTGGTGAAACCCCCATCTCTCCTAATCCAATGAAGTAATTTAATAGAAATTCCTAGTTCAGAACTCAGCCAGAAATTTAGAGTATAAATAGGATGGCCTCAGAATTATAATTAAAGAAATTGAAGTCCAGGCCAGGCACAGTGGCTCACGCCTGTAATCCCAGCACTTTGGGAGGCCAAGTTGGGCGGATCACAAGGTCAGGAGATCAAGACCATCCTGGCTAACACAGTGAAACCCTGTCTCTACTAAAAATACAAAAATTGTCTGGGCGTGGTGGCGCACGCCTGTAGTCCCAGCTACTTGGGAGGCTGAGGCAGAAGAATCACTTGAACCCAGGAGGCGGAGGATTCAGTAAGCTGAGATCGTGCCACTGCACTCCAGCCTGGGTGACAGAGCAAGACTCTGTCTCAAAAATATATATAAATAAATAAATAAAAGAAATTGAAGTGCCTTCTTATGCTTTACGTGGACTGAGCCAATGGTTCTCCAAGTTTATTGTACATAAGAATTACCTGGAACACTTGTTAAAAATCTGGGCTTCCAGGCTGCATCCACAGGGACCTGAGTCAGTAGGTCCATTTTGGGAATCTGAAAGTTTGTATTTTTAATAAGAACTTAGATAATTTTTATGTAAATGGTCCACATAAACACTGCAAATCGGGTTCACCCTAGAGAGCTAAAAGCTCTGCTCAAACTAGATAACAATATCCCTGTTATTCAGAGGTTAAACTCTTGATAGCTTGGACATCTGGATAATGACCACTAAGCAGAAATTTTTCTCTAACTTTCTGACATGAGTGTATAAGAGAAATGAAAGTAAATTGGTGAAAAAGTCCCTACCAACAGCAGAGAGAAGAAACCTGGTCTGCCTAATGCCAAAGCCTATCTATATTATAATAATAATGTTTGCAGATTAGTGTTTGCATAAACCTTTAATCATCTAAAGCAGGTTAGAAAATACCCAGCATAAAGGAAAGGGAGCAGTCATTTTAGAAATATTTAAATGAAAAAACAAAGCCGTGATAGTTCTGAAAGAGGTAACCTATTTACAGAATACTTCAGTTCGTGACAGAACTGGCTAAGTAAAATATTAATCTATTTTGTTTATACCGTGAAGGTCCAAGTTTTTTCTAGGCAAACTTAAAGAAATCGTGCCCTGTTTTACTTGGTAGAATATCATACAGTAAAGTCTCATTATCTTTCAGGTTTCTGCATTTAATGCCAGTTACTCAGATTCTGGACTCTTTGGGATTTATACTATCTCCCAGGCCACAGCTGCTGGAGATGTAAGTTGCAAACTCACCAAACTTCTTTCATGAACAAGTTATTTCTCCCCCCCGCCATAAACATGTTTTCGGTTAAAATATGGAATGTTTGAATGCAGTGCAATGACTTATCAGAGCTCTGTATAGTATGATGTCATTGAAGCATTATCTGCTATAGGGAAATTTACACATGTATACTAATGCTTCCAGGAAAGAGGAGAGAATTGCCTCCTTCATGTTTTGGTTCTGGTTGGACAAGTTGCATTGAGTTGGCTCTGAGACATCTAAATTGAGAACCCAGGAGAGGGGAAGACCAGGAGGTTTATTTGCAAGTCTTCAGTGTAGAGATTGTGTTGAAATCAGGGATATGTGTGAATGATTGTAGGAAAAGAAAACTAAAGCTCAATTTCTGGGAAACAACACCATTTAAGGAGCAAGTGGCTAAGAAAAATGGCCCAGGTAAACAGAAAGAAAAAGAGAAGCTGATATATTTGAAGGATAGGAAAGAGAGTATGTTTAACACCATTTTGACCCACAGTGAAATAACATTCATTACCACTGAGAAGTCTGGTAGTTTCAGCAAGCTAGGACATCATGGGTGATCTTAACAGTTTTGACTAGAGTAGTGGAAATTGGGTAAAATGTGTAGTGATTAAGGAATGAATGACAAGTAAGAAATGAGAGGTTGGTGTGGGCTAGTGGAGCTTAGACATTCAAGGAGCAAGTTGTTTTAGGAGAGTTTACACTGAGAGATTAGGTTGAAAGAGACATACTGAGCAAAAAGATCGGAGCAGATATCGGAGATAGAAAATTATAAATGGCTCAAGTCTGAGAAAGGAATACTTGGGATCCAGCACACAAGTGGACCTTTTAGCCTTACAGACAGGCTAATATTGGAAGATATTGGGAAGATGGGGAAGTACCTCCTCAGTGAGACAGGAGGCTAAGTCATGTTTTGACAGACGTGAGAGGAAAGTTTAAAGAAAGTAGTGAAGTTTGGGACAGACAAATAGTGAGGTACACAAAAAGTGGGTATTCGCTGTAGTGTAGATGTATCCTTGAAATCAGCGACCACAAATTCATAGTACAGTCAGTCAGCACTGTCATGTAATTTTTCTTCAGTTGCATTCAGAAGCCTAATAGAGAAATGGAGGAGGTAGGTATTAGGGTTAATCCCAGGTTGGAATCCTGCAAAGTGGGCAGGTGAGAAGTATGAGGAGATAGCAAGGGAGTTGGGAGCATTGGCAAGAGTGATTAAAAGGATGATTCAGGGATCTAGGCTCAATAGAGAAGTGAAGCCAGAGGGGGCCTGATAAATTGAAAGACTGGACAAGTCAAGGAACTAGAGATCTTGATAAAGTGGAAGAATAAGGATAGTGAGATTAAAGACTGAGGTCGGGGTCTTAGAATTGAGGGCTTCAGAGGTATGCAAATTTAGGCTATGATCAGGTCTGGGGTGTGGCTCTGAAAATGGGCAGCTAAAATGAAGGGGAAACAGAGGTCCTAGAATTTAGGTGATCAGAGGGAAAAATAAGTAGCAGACCCAGCCAGCACTGGGATGGAGAAAATCATGGTCAGATTTATTTATTTATTCAACAAATATTTACCAAGTACCCACATCCCCGGAACTTTATTCTTTCTTTCTTTTTTTAAATACCATACAAGGATTCAGATTCCTTCTTGACCCTGGCTTACAAAGTATGGACAAGCCTTACAAATTGGCTGTGTATGGATTACTACTCTCTTCTTAGTGAATAGTAAGAGATAGCAGTATTAATGGCATGACACTGCAAGAGTCTGGGGAAGTTTTAAAGGTGCTTATTCTTTATGGGTGATTAGAAATCCATGTGTTTGGCCGGGTGTGGTGGCTCACACCTATAATCCCAACACTTTGGGAGGTTAAGGTGGGAGGATCACTTGAGCCCACACATCTCTACAAAAAAAGCTAAAAAATTAGCCAGGCCTGGTAGCATGCACCTGTAGTCCCAGCTTCTTGGGAGGCTGGGGCAGGAGGATTGTGTATAAACAGCTGCTTTATGAACATAGGAAGAATAAGGAACCCATAGTGATGACAGCATTCCGCATGGACACTGTGCTGTTTGTCTGGAACTAACCTTCCATCTGTGTTTTTGCCTCAGTAAAGAAGTGTGTCAGTGCTGCAGGAGACTCTGGTACTGACCACAGATGACCAACTTTTCTTATCTGTCCTAGGTTATCAAGGCTGCCTATAATCAAGTAAAAACAATAGCTCAAGGAAACCTTTCCAACACAGATGTCCAAGCTGCCAAGTAAGTCTCAGTATTAACTGTGTTTTATGTTTTTGTTATTTGAAAGTTGTATTCTTTTCAGATTATAACAATATTACAATCTATGCTCATAAGGACTGAGAAGTACAGAAAAGCGTAAAAAGGGAAACATACCCATATCCTACCACCTAAAGATATAATTGTTAACATTTTGGCCAGGCACAGTGGCTCACTAATCCCAGCACTTTGGGAGGCCAAGGCAGGTGGTTCATTTGAGACCAGGAGTTTGAGACCAGCTTGGGCAACATAGCAAGACCTCGTCTCCACCAAAATTAGAGAATAATTGTTAACATTTTTCTTAGTTTATTGATCATGCATTTTTAAACATAATTGTTAATATTGTATATATAGATGCTGCTTGACTTACACTGGGGTTACGTCCTGAGAAATGCGCATATCGAAAATGCATTTAATACCCTAATAACCCAGTCATCCAGCCAAACAAACATAAGTCAAACCATCATAAGTTAAGTTAGGGACCATCTGTATACTTTTTTATCTTATTTAAATAGCATCCTTATTATAGAAGTTTGAAAATTACAAATAAAAGACAAAAATGATCTCTGATTTCCCTAGCAATGATTCTGTTTCCATTGATTCAAATTACTAAAAATTTAAACAATATTCATTGGTGTGTCAAAATACACTTGTGCATTTTCTGCAGTTATAAAGATATCTTTGGGCTTAAAATATTTTTGTGTTTCGTATTACTTTCTTGGTGTAGATTCCCAACTAAGTTAAGAGTTATAAACATAACGAAAGACTCCATGTTAGAGTGTGTGTATGTGTGTATGTTTAAATAATACATTTGACTAGGCGCAGTTGCTCATACCTGTAATCCCAGGACTTTGGGAGGCTGGGGCAGGAGGATCACTTGAGGCCAGGAGTTCAACCAGCCTGGGTAATGTGGCAAGACACTGTCTTTACAAAAAGATATTTAAAACTAGCCAGGTGTGGTAGTGTGTGCCTGTAGCCTCAGCTACTCAGGAGGCTGAAGAGGGGGGATTGCTTGAGCCCACGAGTTTGAGGCTGCAGTGAACTAAGATCACGCCATTGCACACTAGCCTGGGCAACAGAGCAAGACCCTGTCTCTTAAAAAAAAAAAATGTATTTCTAAGTCACAAATCTAAAGAGATTGTACCAGTTTATAATCATACCACCAGTATATAAGAGTACCTATTCTACAATAGTTTCTTTCTTCATAACTAATTTATACCCAAAAAAGATCTGATTTTGTTTTGTTTTATAAGAAAGACTAAAATACTTGTCTGCTATTTGGCAATTTATAAATCCCCACTGTCCAGATTGAAAGTGCTATCAACACTCCTAATTCATTAGTAGTTCGAGGGTTTCTCTAAAAGAGACAGACTTGGGACAAAGTTGGAAATCAACCTGCATTTTCATACAGCCGCTTAAGACATTTAAGTTTGACTCCATCTACTTAGAACAATTCAAAATGTGAATCTTGCAACTCCAGTGGTCGTTATGATCATTTAGTATTGCCCACAGGGGAAGCAGAATTACAACCCAGGATGGAACAACCTTTTGGTCATTTCTGTTCCCATTAGTATTGTTAGTTTTGTTATGCTGAGCACACTACAAAGTTGCATCTCTTGTATAAGTACAACACAATTTATTAAATATTGTATACATAGAACCAAGAATCGATAGGATGCAGGGCTGCTTGATTGTACCAGAAACAAAACATGATGAGAATACATTGAAACACTGGATTTACTTAAGAAAAACCTAAGTTTTTCAAATCTAATTTATTTAAGAAAACGTATTTTCTTAATAAGTGTAACACAGTTCTTACAAGGTATGGTAATAAGCAGAAAGTAGAATTTTGAATATTAATGTCAAAGTATGTTTTCTGCCATTTTGATGGAGTTGATACTTTTTCTTGTAAGTTCTTCCTGTAGTGAAAGAGAGAAAGTGAGGTGTCATTGCCGAAAGGACACACTAATAACCTCTTGGTAGTTTATTGCAGGTAAAATCATTTTTTAATTAAGCTGACAACGTGGTAAAACTGCAGCATTAAATTGTAATTATGTTTAAATGGAAGTCTTTCTGTAGAGTGTTAAAGGATGATAAACGTTTGAGGTTCAAATAACTCGACTGTCTTATCAAACACCATGTCTATAAGTAATAAGTTTCTGGGAGAATTGTGAATTGGATTTTGTTTTATTTCAAGTGGATGCTTTTGTGCCCATATTTAAGCTGCCGTTGCTTACAAGACCTGTACTGCCCTTCCCCACCTGCCTTTTCCATCATACCCTATGCTCACAGACAAATCTCAGCAAGAGGCAGGAGTTGCTTCACTAATCAAAACCTTACATTAAAATAGTTTTACCTAGATCTAAGTTCTAGTCCCAAATCAAAAAGCAATCTGTGGAGTTTTCAGTATAATTTCGTACTGACAGCTTTCCAAATAGTAACGTAAACGGTTCACGTACTTGGTGAACTGAAGAAATAGAATGGAGGCCATTAGCACTGTAAGTTGTTAGTTTGCCTGTTTACCAAAAATATGTTGAGTTTCGGGGCACATACCTTAAAATTGCCCTGTTTCACTGTGTAAGAGGAACTGGCTTGACTACTTCACCCTTGGTGAAAACAAACAGGCCCTAAAAGAGGCAGCAACAGCTGAAGTGGATATCACAGAAATAAACAGACAGCAGAAGCTCTTCAGACACCCCCGAAACCTGCCAAAACTCACAGGTAATACAAGTGAAACGATAGCATAAGAAGAAAATAAACATGAGAATCTTCAAACTACAAGCATTGAACGGTATCCTCCATCCAAGAAGAGAACCCACTTCATACAAGGAAAAGGCAAAAGGAAAAGGTCAAGACTGTGACCTTTATAACACTGTGACCCCAGCTGTGGGCCAGGTGGAGTTGTCTGTGGTGACACCAAGTACAGGCCTGACACCCTGGTTTGACAGAAGGCTCTTCAAGATCCCTGGTCTTCACACTGTAGCAGCCAAAAGGTAGGTTTACAATATACACTGTCCCCAACTTGCCATGGATCAATTATAATTTTTCAACTTGACTATGGAGGAAAACCATCGCAATTTCAGCTTCCAGTCATGGGTCACATAACGATGGGGATACATTCTGAGAAATGTGGTGTTAGGTGGTTTCATCACTGTGTGAACCTCAGTGTTCAGACAAATCTAGATGGTATAGCCTACTACACACATGGGCTCTATGGTATAGTCTATTGCTCTTAGGCTACAAACCTGTATAGCATGTACTATAGTACTGAATACTGTAGGCAGTTATAACACAAAGGTAAGTATTTGTGCATCTAAACATAGGAAAGGTACAGTAAAAATACAGCACAAAAGATAAAAAAATGGTATGCCATTTTTATGGCATAGCTCCTGCTTTCGAGTGAGTCAGTGAGTGAGTGGTGAGTAAATGGGAAGGGCTGGGACATTACTGTGCACTGCTGTAGATACTAAACACTGTAAACATAGGCTACGCTAAATTTATTTTTTTAAAATTGCACTACAACATTATGTTGTCAGTAAGTAATAGGAATCTTTCAGCTCCCTAATAATCTTAACGGGACCACCATCATATATGTGGTCCATCATTGACCAAAAACATCATTATGTAGTACATGACTATACCTTGAATTTCGATCTTTTCCTAGGCTAGTGATATGCAGTACATGAGATAATCAATGCTTCCTTACAAAATGGGCTTATGTTAGAAGACTTTTGCCCAGCTGCAGGCTATTGTAAGTGTTCTGAGCACATATGAGATAACCTGGGCCAAGCTATGATGTTCGATACGTTAGGTGTATTAAATGCACTTTTGACTGCCATCTCAGTGGATGACAGCCTTCTCACTGACAGCAGAGAGATCTTCCTCACTGTGCCAGTGGGCAGGAGAAAGAGCATGCTGCGACTGGCCAGTGACATGCAGAGGATCCAGATTGCACAACCGGATCCAGAGGCCTTGGGAAGCATTAGGGAGCTCTCCAGCTGTCTCACTCAAATCTGTAGCAGCATATGGACCCACAAATGGAGGCCAAAGTGGGCCCTCAATTGGACACTTTGGCAACCCTGAAGAGACTTCTTCCCTTCAGACTTACTGTTTTAGTATGTTCCAGAGAAGGGAGTGGCATTCTTCTTGGGGAATTCAGGAAGAGGGAGACACGCTGTTACTCTATCCATTAAATAAAGCTTTGATGTTCACAGCCCCCCGCCACCACTCAGAAAAAAAAAATAATTGCCTTGCTCTCTAAAACTGACTTCTGCCTTTTATTGGACAGGAACAAGCTGAAAGCTGGATACCTAATGTCAGTGGAGTCTTCTGAGTGTTTCCTGGAAGAAGTCGGGTCCCAGGCTCTAGTTGCTGGTTCTTACATGCCACCATCCACAGTCCTTCAGCAGATTGATTCAGTGGCTAATGCTGATATCATAAATGTAAGTAAATGAAAACTTAACGATTTAACAACAGAGAACTTAACCTTAATGATCCAATTTCAGAAGGATGCATAAGCGTCCTTGGGCAGTGTATTATTCTTATGTTTGGTGCTCATCTACTTAATGTGGAGGCAGGAGGGCTCATTCCCATAAGATCCGCAACAAGCTTCCCTGTCAGCTCGAGTATATGTATCTTCCTCCTTCAAATAAACTACCATTAGGTTAAACTGTGATGTCAGTAAGAGGGCTGCCATCCACTGAGATGGCAGTCAAAAGTGCATTTAATACACCTAACGTATCAAACGTTAGGTTAAACTAATGGTAGTTTATAAAATGGGCTTATGTTAGATGACTAGAAGTAAAGAAGAGTCAAATATTAGCAGTTTCATATGATCCAACCTAAATAGTGAAGTTTGCTATTTTTCCTCTTCAGTCCTAGCAATATTTCACCATCTAGCATCTTAAGATTTTCTTTACTCTTCTCAGCCTAGGACATTCTCTTGTTCTTGCTAATTTTTTTTTCACATATATTATTGTTCCCTACAATATTGAGCTGTTTTGAGGGCAAGGACTATGTCATGTACTTCTTTGTGTTCCCTGCTGTGCCTAACAAGCACATGACCTACAGAATTAATCCAAAGTAAGTGGGTTTTCCCCATTTTCTACATTAAACTTGCCAACTTGCTTTCTACTGTAGATGTCTCGGCCATCTTCTCACCAACAGGTCTACCTTGTATAGGGACAGTGGGGATAAGAAAAAATAAAAAACTAAGCTGGGTGCAGTGGCTCATTCCTGTAATCCCAGCACTTTGGAAGGCTGAGGTGGGCAGATTGCTTGAGCCCAGGAGTTCAATACCAGACTGGGCAATGTAGCAAAACCCCATCTCTACAAAAAAGTACAAAAATTAGCTAGGCTTGGTGGCATGCGCCTGTAGTCCCAGCTACTCAGGAGCTCATGGGGCTGAGGTGGGAAGGTGGCTTGAGCCTGGGAGGCAGAGGTTGCAGCGAGCCGAGATCATGCCACTGTACTCCAGGCTGGGCAACAGAGTGAGACCCTGTCTCAAATAAAAAAGAGACAAGGCTATTTTAAGATAGTAACCCTGACTTGATTTCACTTCGCCCCAATCGTCATTTCATACTCTTCTTTTTTTTTTTTTTGAGACGGAGTCTTGCTCTGTTGCCCAGGCTGGAGTGCAGTGGCGCGATCTCGGCTCAGTACAACCTCCGCCTCCCGGGTTCACGCCATTTTCCTGCCTCAGCCTTCCTAGTAACTGGGACTACAGGTGCCCACCACCACGGCCGGCTAATTTTTTGTATTTTTAGTAGAGACGGGGTTTTACCATGTTAGCCAGGATGGTCTCGATCTCCTGACCTCGTGATCCACCCGCCTCAGCCTTCCAAAGTGCTGGGATTACAGGTGTGAATCAACGCGCCCAGCCCATTTGGTACTCTTTTAAATGGCTGTCTTCATCTTATATCCTATCATTATGTGCGTCCCAACCCGACTGCTTCCACCACCACCTCTCCTTCATAGTAATAAGATAAGCTGGCCTGACAGAATATGGGGGCTGCTGCTCCACCTACACCTGACTCATGATACTACACTTAACCAGCCTTTGAACTTGGAAGTAGTGGCATAAAGAATCCTCTAGGGTATCAAGTTTTACTTTTAAGTTAACAATCAATGTATTTTTATTGACCCAGACTATTTGCCATTGTAATACCGAAACAGGAAAGTATATCCCTGCCTGAAGCCACACTACTCTATTTGACAGTGTCAGTGTTGTTTTCCTTATCTCTCTTTGAACAGCTACCCTCTTACCAGTGTTGCTCTTGCTTGGTTCATTACACATACAATGGGACTTTCAGAGAAACAGCTAAGCTTTTCCTCCCACACTGTCCCAAATTAAAGCACCAGCCATCTCCTAGTTAATTTTCACAACAGCTATTATAGTAATTGCTGGCTTAGAATGTCCTATCGAAGGCCAGGTTGGTGGCTCACGCCTGTAATCCCAGCACTTTGGGAGGTTAAGGTGAGTGGATCACTTGAGGCTAGGAGTTTGAGACCAGCCTGGCCAACATGGCGAAATCCCGTCTCTACTAAAAATACAAAAATTAGCTGGGCATAGTGATACATGCCTGTAATCCCAGCTCCTTGGGAGGGTGAGGCAGAGAATTGCTTGAACCTGGGAGGCGGAGGCTGCAGTGAGCCAAGATCGCAGCACTGCACTCCACACTGGGTGACAGAGCGAGACTCCACCTCAAAAAAAAAAAAAAAAAAAAGAATGTCCTATCCATAAATTCTTGAAATGACAAAATAAGTTCGCCTGCTTGATGATATATATTTTTATTTTTGTTAATTTTGTCTTTTGTTTGTTTCTTTAAAGGCGGCAAAGAAGTTTGTTTCTGGCCAGAAGTCAATGGCAGCAAGTGGAAATTTGGGACATACACCTTTTGTTGATGAGTTGTAATACTGATGCACACATTACAGGAGAGAGCTGAACGTTCTCTCAGCCCAGAGCAGCAAACACATGAAAGTCAGAAGTCTCTAATATATCATTTGTCTTTTTTCCAGTGAGGTAAAATAAGGCATAAATGCAGGTAATTATTCCCAGCTGACCTAAAGTCAATAAAACATTCTGTTTAAGTGTTTTTCTTACGTTTTTCTCAATGAGTTAATCAACAAGTATTTATTATGTGCTGATATCTTTGTTTTAGATGCTTTAAAGGAGACAGGAATATAATTATTGAGTATAGAAGCATCAGAAACTATTAAAATTAAGGCTAAGTGGCTATCGGGGTAAATAGTGCCAGATTACTATTGGTGGCGTTTAAGATGAAAGCAAGTTCAAAATTTGTCATTTTGGGTGTCAACAGCTAAATGGTCTGGTTTTTACCCCTGTTTTGCCTTTTTTGCAATAAAATTATTTCCAAAAAACATACATTTCCTATCAATCATATCCTATATTCCCATTCATTCATTTTTTTATGTCTGATTTATCTTCATTGACAGAGTTTTGTTTTTCTCTCATCTCCTGTCTCTCCCTTATCTGTTACTATCCTGTCTCTTCCAAATAATTAACTCTCAATTCAACATTTACAGTAAAAGAAGGGCTAAAAAGGGGAAAAAAAAAGAATTCTAATGTGAATAACTAGCCAAAGAATTATGTCTCTTAGTTATTTTAATTATAGTACTTGAAGTTTACCAAAAAAAAGAGAGAAACTAAATATTTAAAGAAAAATGTAGTGTTTACATAAAGTGACATTCTCTACTATGTTCAGACATTCTGATATTGGATTTCTCTACGGCATTTTCTAAAAGAAAGAAATTCTTCTCAAAAAGGAGGGTCTTATTCTGAAAATAAGATTTGTGAGGCCTGCAAGAACCCAAGGAAGTCTTTAGATAATCCTGTTGAAGAACATCTCTAAAGGCTTTATAACGCAGTCATAAGAGAAGAGAATTGGTGAGTCTACAGACAGTCCTTGATAAGTACAGCAAACTTGTGCCTGGTGAGGCACAAAACTTGGGTGTCTGCAAGATAAATGCTCATATGACCACAGATTTGCTAACCAACCTTTGATACCAGTTGGGCTTTACCCTCTTCAACTTGGGCACAATCTTCCAGCCAAAATGCATCTGAGGTAGAGGAGGTAGAGGAGGAAGAGCTTTCATTGTCTTGCTTCACCATTATCCAGTATGGAGAAGGGGCCCTCACTTCTTTCTTGTCGTCTCTGTGAATCATCACGTCACAATTAATGTCTTTTCCTACACTAATAGTATGGTTCTTCTTCTTATATCCATGCCAGTCTCTGGAGATGGATATTGGTCTCCTTGCAGGGTGATGCACAGTTGACCACGGATATCTATAATATTGAAGTCTTTTATCTAAATCTACATTTTCATTATCATCACTGCTTGTGAAAGATTCATCTTTTGCCAGCTCAATTTTCTTTGGTGTGCTGAAATGAAAAGAATAGTGAATAAAATAGATTCTTCATGTCTAAACATTTATGGTCCCCTAACAAGATGCCTTATAACTTGCTTTGACTCATAAAAGATACAATTTAGCTTTAGCATTACCTTTCTGTGTCATTGAAATGTTTCTCTTTTTTAAATCGTCTTGAAATCTTTTTCCATTTCTAAATGGAAATCAAATTCTGCCTTAAATTACTTCACCATACCTTAAAAAGTTTTGCACAGACTTATACTAGACTACTGACCAGAATATTAGGAGGTGTTAAAGGGTAGGTTAATTTCACTGCAGCTAAAGTGACGGATTCAACCTGGCCATCTCCTGAGAACTCTATTCTTGTGGCTCACGTGGCATTAACACAACATTACTGATTTCCAGAGGAGTCAGGAAGTCAGGAAATAGTGGGCCTTAAGGATCTTCAACATCCTAGTCATTAGTAAGTCTTAGAGTCTTTTTTTTAGAGAGGGTCTTGCTCTGTCACCCTTGCTGGAGTGCAGTGGTACAATCATAGCTCACTGCAACCTTGAATTCCTGGGCTCAAGTGACCCTCTGGCCTCTGCTTCCAAAGTAGTTGAGACTACAGGTGTGTATGCTGTATGCCACCGCACCTGGCTAATTTTTATTTATTTTTATTTATTTATTTATTTTTAAAACAGGATCTCCCTATGTTGCCCATGCCTGTCTCAAACTCCTGGCCTCAAGCAATCTTTACTTTGGCCTCCAAAGTGCTAGGATTACAGGCATGAGCCACTGTGCCCAGCCAGGTTTTTGTTGTTGTTGTTGTTGTTGTTTTTAACTTTCTCCAATTATTGACTTTCTTGATTGTTGAAACTAGGTGGTGCTTGCCTGCTAGCACCTCCAGGTCTCTGAACTTTCCTAATGCCTACAGTACCTGTGCTTGCTTTAACTTTCCAGAATGAATGCTCTGTCACCTGCTTTCCCTCATCCTGGTGCTATTGCCCAGCAGAACCAAAACTAGATCTTTGTGATTACAAATCTCTGGTACATTCTGCCCTGCTAAAAGGAAATAGGTTTCTTCCCTGCCAACCTGTTAAGACTTCTGGTGTTATCACTAATAACCTTGGCAGTCTGCCTGTTGTATTTGCTTCCAATAATTTGAATGGCTTTTCCAAAAGTTTATCTCTTCCAGTAATAAACAGTTGATAATGAGTAATTTTTACTGAGAGCCACTAGTCTTAAATACTGATTTTCTTTGTCTGATTTGCCTTCAGACACACCTAGGTCTTCCTGAACAGCACATGAATTTTTTTTTTAAATCCAAGTATTAGTAACTTTTTTTTTTCAGACTGCAGGGGGAATCCTTGGCAACTCTGATGGTTAGGTAACCATAAAGGACAGGTAAATTGTCATTAGGTAATAAAGCCACAACCCTGCAGAGGTCAGGATTGGCTAGAAACAAACTTTCTATACCACTTGGCCTACCCAGAGCGTTACATGGAGAATTTCTCCAGTGTGTATACCCAGTGCCATTTTCTCCTGGAAAAGTTTATACTAGCTTTGTGAAAGCATCTTTTTCCTTCTTCTTTCCCTGCCGCGTTATACATAAGTTACTAAAATGCCTCAGATATGGGTACTTTGCCTAATTAAGAAAGGGAATCAGCAGGTGCTTGGTATTGTTTGTGGGTTTTCGCCTCTTACTTAAGTTGTACTGTTCTATCTTTTCTTTGCTTTTGAATGGTCAGTCTACCATCCTTAGAATTTAATATTCTGGATCTCAAAACTCCTCCATGTAATGAAAATGCTTAGAACATAGTTGTTATGTAATCACATGAGCCCAGGCTTTTAGAGTCGTGCCCTCCAGTGTAGGAGTCGCTGAGTAGGATTTGATTGTGAGTTGTGATCGTGCTACTACACTCCAGCCTGAGTGACAGAGTGAGACCCTGTCTCAAAAATAAGACTTTTAAAATTAAAAATTAAAAACAAGTGAACCACTGACCACATGAAAGTCCTAGGGCAATTTTAGCAAAACAAGACAGACTCAGTCCCTGCCTTGATGGAGTTCACATTCTCCCAGGGAAACACAGTGAACAACTGATTACACAGATTATTTCATTAAAATTGGGATAAATGTGAAGGAGCGAGCTGTGAGAGCATATGTCAGGTGGACCTGTTTCTAGGAAGACCCCTTGGAGAAGTTACACTGGAGCCTTCAAGGGTGACTACTGAAGAGCAAAGTTACAAACATGTTGCACACAGAGAAGAGCAAGTGCAAAGACCCTGAGGCAAAACAAAAGGCAGAGAGCTGGAAGCTAAAGGGGGCTAGAGAAGGATGGGGAAAGCAGTATGAGTTGAAGTTGGAATGGTTTGCAGAGGCCAGCTGAACCCCATAGAGCATCATTGGCCAATGTGAGGATTTTGACATTTATCCAAAGAACAAAAAGTCTTAAGAGATTTTTTGCAGGAACATGCCAGGATCAGATTTGCATTACAAAAAGATCATTCTGGCCAGGCTTGGTGGCTCATGCCTGTAATCCAACACTTTGAGAGGCCGAGGCAGGCAGATCACCTGAGGTCAGGAGTTCGAAACCAGCCTGGCCAACGTGGTGAAACTTCGTCTCTATTAAAAATACAAAAATTAGCTGGGTGTGTTGGCATGCGCCTGTAATCCCAGCTACCCTGGAGGCTGAGGCAGGAGAATCACTTGAACCCGAGAGGCAGAGGTTGCAGTGAGCCAAGGTCACGCCACTACACTCCAGCCTGGGTGACAAGAGCAAAACCTCGTCTCCAAGAAAAAAAAAATACAGTTTTGGTGATAATACAGTTTGAAAGTAATTAGCATGTGGATAGTCATAGAAACCACAGGCATCAATGAAACTGGCTAGGAGAAAGGACACCAAGAGGAAATGGCCAGAGGTAACAGGAAAATCAGGGGAGTGTGGTGTCACAGAAGCCTGGGAAGTGCTATTTCAAGAAGAGAGTGGGTGGAAATTGTTAAGTGTCTAATGCTGCTCAGAAGCCAAGCAAGATAAAGACAGAAGAATCTAGTGGGATCAGAAGTGTGAAGGCTATGGGTGGCCCTGGGAAAAGGACTCAGCCAAGGGATGAAAGCAAAGCCTAGATTGAAGTGGGTGGAGGAGTGTCTGGGAAGTGGCGTCTTTCGAGGAAACAGAGGTGTCTAATACAGCTTTTAGCAAGTTGGGAGTGGATGCAAAAGACTCCAGTGGCTAAAGAGGGTAGGGAGAGGAGAGTGGACTGAAGATAGGATTTGCCAAGATGGGAGAAGTTTAAAAAGGCTTAGATGTTATTGGGAAGGACCCAGAGAACAAAAAGTTGAATACGGAAAAGAAAATAGGATTTGCAAGAAGCACTTTTTTTTTTTTTTTTTTTTTTTGAGACAAAGTCTCGCTCTATCTCCAGGCTGGAGTGCAGTGGTGCGATCTCGGCTCACTGCAACCTCCGACTCCCTGATTCGAGCGATTCTCCTGCCTCAGCCTCCCGAATAGCTGGAATTACAGGCACGCGCCACCACATCCAGCTAATTTTTGTAATTTACTAGTAGAGACGGGGTTTCACCATGTTGGCCAGGATGGTCTCGATTTCGTGACCTCATGATCCACCCGCCTCAGCCTCCCAAAGTGCTGGGATTACAGGCATGATTCACCACACCTGGCCCACAAGAAGCATTTTTAAGGGCTGACTCGGGAAAGAGGGGCACCATACAGGTAGGCATGGGGACAAAATTCCCAACCGATGACTTGTTTTTTAACTCCAGGTTGACTTCATCGTGCTTTCTCATATTAGATCCTACAGATCTAATACCAGAAACCCAGGAAATTACTCTGACAGTGTCACCAGTCCTCCTGTCATGATCCTTATCATTTGATAATTGTCACATTAAACCATCTATGCCTCACAGGCCCTGGGATTCTGTATTATAACAAAGAGTTCCTAAAATGAACTATTTACCTTGTTACTGGGAATTTGGCCTCAGGGATTAAATCATATATTTCTTGCCATTCTTCAGGAATGTTAATAAAATCTCGGTAAACCTTGATTTGTAGCACTGTTCCAATAGTGATATGTTGCAAAAGCTGTAAAAATTCTCGAAGAGTATATCCTAACACATTGGCATGGCCAACACTAATCAGAACATCACCTGAAGAGGGAAAAAATTATGTATCAGTAAAACTAGAGGTTTAAAGGGACTATATTGATTTCTGGCTTTATTGTGAGGTATTTCATTTTATGGGTTCATATTGTTGATTCTTTTTGAACCAAAACCAGGCTTCAGCCTTTTTTTTTTTTTTTTTTTTGAGATGAAGTCTAACTGTCACCCATGCTGGAGTGCAGTGGCATGATCTCAGCTCACTGCAAGCTCCGCCTCCCAGGTTCAAGTGGTTCTCCTGCCTCAGCCTCCCAAGTAGCTAGGATTATGGGCATGTGCCATCAAGCCTGGCTAATTTTGTTTTTTTTTTTTAGTAGAGATGGGGTTTCACCATGTTGGCCAGGCTGGTCTCAAACTCCTGACCTCAGGTGATCTGTCCACCTCGGCCTGCCAAAGTGCTAGGATTACAGGCATGAGCCACCGTACCCGGCCCAGCCTTTATTTAATAAAGATGTTCATGTCCATGATATGAATGTCCTTTGCATACTGAAGAATGTATGCAAGATGTTTCTTAATAGCAGTATATTGGTAGACATTATATGATGTTTTTGAGACGTTTCTGAAGTTCTTGGTGTGACAGAGGCTAAAAAACATTTATAATCGGAACCAGCTGTTAGGATTCTAAAAATAGATTAGTTTCAGATAAAATGAATGGCTATTACTAGAAAAGAAAAAACCACTTACACTAAGTGGTGAATAAATGACCTACTTTCTATTATACCTGCCTGGCAATTTCCAGTGCCCTCCACAGTTAATAGACCATATTAAACATAAAGCCTTTCATTTTAATTCTCTACCCTTGTGCAGTATTAGTTGAGCAAATAATTCTGTATAAAACATTGGGCAATTAGGCATGCTTTAACTGTAAGATGTGTATGCAGTGAGTATGTTGGTTTAAAGGGATTTGACAGCTAGGTTTCCCTACCTTAGGGCAACGCAGGATAAGGAAAGAAACAAGATGGGCAACCATGCAGCTTCCGAGTCCCTGGCAGGTGGGAAGAGGACTACATCTTGAGCACTAACCCCCGAAACCCCCAAATTGAAGGAAGCTAAAAAGACCAATTTTTCACTTGCTCCAACCTCCCCCATGTCCCCACCTCCAGCAGCTAGGTCATGGACCTGTGAGTGAGATCCAGCTACTTGACACTCCCACCTGGGTCACTGAACCTGGAGGAGGAGATGCAAAAGAGTGACAGGAGCTTCTAGTTGCTAGGGGTAGTTACACACAGCTCTTGGTTCTCTCACCATTTTCCAAGCCTGCTTCTCCAGCCTTTTGGGAGATTCTGTCAGACTCAGTATCCCAAATTCAGTGCATTAACAGAAGTGTTTTCTGTTTTTTGCAATGAGGAACCCTGGCTGCTACAACGGCATTCAGCAAGACTTCAGAAAGGAATACAAAGGATTTGCTTTTTAAGGACCAGCTCACATTGGGCAAAATCTTAAGTCTTCAGATCTTACTAGTACTGACCTTCTGGAGACCCTCAATCAGCCTCATTCTAAGACAGCTGAAGCCTAACCTCAAAGAAGAAAAGGGTCAAGAAGTGCCTTCTCTGATGCATGCACTGGGCTTCAATCAGGAATTACACTGATCCCAAAAGAAGCCTCTAAGGATGCCAAGGACAAATGTCCATAGCTCTAGATCCTATCAGAAACAAAAGTTCCCAGAATTCCAGAAAACAAATACTTACAAGGGTGGAGAAAAACCTTCTACTTTGGTCTTAAGCAGTAGCTGGGGGTAATACAATCAACCATGTATCTGAAGCTCACTTCAGAATGAAACAAGGCTACCTGCAGCTTGAGCAATATGAAACAGCTGCTCATCCTACTGAGGTTAATTACAATGGCAAAACAAAACAAAACAAAACAAAAACAAAACCCTCCCCGGATGAGCTTACTTACCTAATGTTAAAAGCAGTGTTTATAGCTGAAAGCTATGGCTTGGCATTCTGCTTAATTATGTTGTAAAAGTGTGACTTTTATCAAGAGGGCAGAAAATAAACAGCTTAATTTCCTGACCGTTCTGGCTGTAAACCAAACATGTCAGCATGTGAATGTGATTACTCTAGCAATAGATATTAACATTGCCCTTCATACAGAAACACCAATTTCGTACTTATGAACACCAACCTCATTACACCTTTTTTTTTCTGTTTTAATGGGCTATAGGATGACATTATATAAACTTTGTCTCGATTACCTACAGTAAATCAACTTTGCAGCAGCCAAGCCACTACTGAAAAATATTTTATCTTTTTCATCTCTCCCAACTAGGCTGGAAGTTCCTTAAGTTCCTCAAGGCTAAGGACCATGTCTGTGCCGTTCACCACTACACCCCCAGTGCCTAGCTGGGTGTCTGCACACACCAGGCCTTTAGGAACTGCTTAGGCAGTAGCCAGTCCATGACTTGTATTTACTGTTGAAGCTACATTAATTTCTTTTTTTTTTTTTCTCCTGAGACAGGGTCTCACTTTGTCACCCAGGCTGGAATGCAGGGATACAAATACAGCTCACTGCAGCCTCGACCTCCAGGGCTCAAGCAACCCTCCTGCCTCAGCCCCTGGAGGAGCTGGGACTGCAAGCGCATATGCCCACCATGTTGGGCTAGTTTTTGTATTTTTTATTGAAATGGGGTTTTGTCATGTTGCCCCAGCTGGTCTCGAACTCCTGAGCTCAATTTGCCCGCCTCAGCTTCTCAAAGTGCTGAGATTCCAGGTGTGTGCTATCGCACCCGGCCTACATTAATTTCTCAAGACTTAGAATGTCAGAATCTGTTAAGGCCATACTGCCCAAAAGGAACTAAAAGTTTAGCCAGAATAAACTAACACTAAACTAAATTAGGAAATCAAGGTGAAACCCTATCCTGAAACACCAAAGGAGAGAAATTTCAGCACATAGATAAAAGATAATGGGGCTGGGAGGAAACGGGGTCAAAGAAATAGCATGTTTCTACAATTATCATCTCTCGAGATCTTATCATCATTGTCTAAAACCACTGAGTTACAGATTTTAAAGCCTAGAATGATGCCGAGGAGAACTGGCAGGCTTGTCACGAAGAGATTTGGGGCTCTGGACTTCCTCTGTATTCAAATCTCATTTCTAGTTGTTAGGCAATTGACTAGAAAGGTATGGGCTTTCTAGGCACACATCGGTTCAAATCCCAGCTCTGAACACAGACTCAGTTGTGTAACTAAGATGAACAAGTTATTTCATCTCTCTACGCCTCTGTATTTCATTATCTACATTTCAGGAGTGTTGCAAACTTTAAATTAGATAACACGTGGGGCCAGGTGAAGTGGCTCATGCCTGTAATCCCAGCACTTTGGGAGACTGAGGCAGGAGGATTGCTTGAGCCCAGGGGTTCGAGGCTGCAGTGAGCTATGATTGCGCCACTGCACTCCTGCACTCCAGCCTGTGTGACAGTGAGACCATGTCTCTTATTCAAATAAAATTAAAAATTGGAGTTAAAAAAAGATAATAGATGGGGAAATATCTCCCACAATGCCTAGGACAAATATTTATTATTTATTTATTAAGCAAAGACATAACAAATGAGCCACTACTTTAGGTGTGACGGTTAATATTGTCAACTTGATCGGTTCAAAGGATGCAAAGTATTGTTTCTGGGTGTGTCTGTGAAGGTGTTGCCAGAAAAGATTAACATTTGAGTCAATGGACTTGGAGAGGCAGACCCAACCCTCAATCTGGGTAGGCACCATCCAATCAGCTACCAGCAAGGCTAGAAAAAGCAGGTGGAAAAAGGTGGAATGAGCAGACTTGCTGAGTCTTCCAGCCTTCATCTTTCTCCTGTGCTGGATGCTTCCTGCCCTCGAACATCAGACTCAAGTTCTTTGGCTTTTGGACTCTTGGACTTACACCAGTGTTTTGCCAGGGTTTCTCAGGCCTTCAGCCACAGACTGGAGGCTACACTGTCGGCTTCCCAACTTTTGAGGTTTTGGGACTCGGACTGAGCCACTATTGGCTTCCCTGCTCTTCAGCTTGCAGATGGAGGGGCAGAACAATATGGTTTGGTTCTGTGTCCCCATCCAAATGTCATTGCCGATTGTAATCCCCACCTGTGGAGGGAGGGAGGTGATTGGATCACGGGGGTGGTTTCCCCCATGCTGTCATGATAGTGAGTGAGTTCTCATGAGATCTGATGGTTTTATGAGTGTTTGACAGCTCCTCCTTCACACACTCACACTCCCTCCTGCCGCCTTGTGAAGAAAATGCCTGATTCCTCTTCCACTATGATTGTAAGTTTCCTGAGGCCACCCCAGCCGTACGGAACTGTGAGTCAATTAAACCTCCTTCATTTATAAATTATCCAGTCTCAGGCAGTATCTTTACAGCAGTGTAAGAATGCACTAATACAGTAGGTGAGTCCTGGATTTAAAAGATGAAATTCAAGACTGCTTCTAACCTCAAAGAGCCCACTAACTATAGCCGTGCCATGAGATTCTCTGTTGCCCACCTAAAAGCATACTCCTGTCCCACTCTAGCACCCTGGAGTATGCACCCGGATCATCACCCAGCATCTGTCACCTGACCTTGAAGAAGCTGAGAAGCAGCAGCTTCCCCATGGGACCTGTCCTGGAGTTCTTTTGTTCTGGTAAGTCCAGAACTCTCCACCGGCCGCCGTTTATTCTCCACCACCAAGTAGTGATGTGTGGGGAAAATGCTTTGGATTTTAAGGTATAGCAAACTGTTTCATAAAACCATTATGTATCTGCTTTCTTCTTTAATCCATTGCTTGGAACCCTTAGCTGCAAATTAGAATCACCTGAGGAGCTTTTAAAACATAAACTGCCCTGTCCCAGTCCAAGAACGATTGAATCAAAAACCTGTAGGGAGATAGGGACCAGGCATCTTGGTTTTAAAAACTTCCCAGATGATTCTAACAGGTAACCAGAGTTGCAAACCAGTGGCTTAATCCACTGGGACCCCCATACAGCCATCATTTTTTATTAAAACACACACATGCAAAAGTCTAGAGAATCTGTAAGAACAGCCTAAGAGATGATTGCCAATATTTCTGTAGCACTTCAGTTTTAAAAGCACTTTCATAAAAATTATTTCATCAGGTTGGGCTCAATGGCTCACACCTGTAATCCCAGTACTTTTGGAGGCCACATGGGAGGATTGCTTGAGGCCAGGAGTTTGAGACCAGCCTGGACAACATAGTGAGACACCACCCACCCACCACCTCCATTGCCCATGTCTACAAAAAAATAAAAAATAAAATAAAAATTAGCTGGGCATGGTGGTGCACGCCTGAGTCCCAGCTACTGAGGAGGCTGAAGCAGGAGGATCACTTGAGCCAAGGAGTTTAAGGCTGCAGTGAGCCATGATCAAGCCACTGCACTCCAGCATGGGTGACAGAGTGATACCCCATCTATCAAACAAACATGCATTATTTCATCAAATCTGCGCAACCTCTGACAAACACAGGAATATCCCAATTCAAAGATGAGGTGACTAAGGCCTGAAAGGTTAAGTGGCTTTGCCCAGGGTCACAGAACTAAAAAGTGTCAGACCCTGAGCCTGAATCAGGACAGCTAACACAATGTTTTTTCTTTCTCACCATGGCGCCAGCCCATTCTGCCTCCCCAACTCCTGGGCACAGTACTAGGCCCAGGCCAGGCACTGAGAAAACACCTCTTGAACTGCATGGAAAATTCATTCACCCAAAGACACGAGGAGCAGGGCAGTATTGGTAAAGCCCTTAGGCTCTGAAGTCTGACAGAGAAGGTTCAAATCCCAGCTCCTCAGAGTGACCATGGGAGAGTTACTAAACATCTGATTCCTTGTCTGCAAGGTGGTTTCATGCAGAATCTAGCTCAGGGATTGTGAGAGTGAAATGAGATCGTGCAGCTAAGTGTTAGCAATGCTTAATACTGCCTACGAAAGAAAATATCTTTACGCACTGAGAGCCATAGCTCTGGAGTAACATGGTCCCTGAATCCCCACTTAGGAGAAACAGGTGACCTGGACAAGGAACTCAATCTCACTGACCCTCATTAAGTAAATTTAATTTTTTTTTTTTTTTTAGAGGTAGGGTCTCACTCTGTTACCCAGGTTGGCATGCAGTGGCACAATCATAGCTCACTACAGCCTCGGCCTCCTGCACTCAAGTGATCCTCCCACCTCAGCCTCCTGAGTAGCTAGGATTACGGGCACGCACCATGCCGGGCTGCTTTCGTTTTGTTGTAGAAATGGTGATATGGTTTGGATTTGTGTCCCCGCCCACATCTCATGTTCAACTGTAGTCCCCGGTGTTGGAGGAGGGGCCTGGGGGGAGGTGACTGGATCACAAGGGCAGATTTCCCCCTTCCTGTTCTCGTGATAGCGAGTGAGTTCTTATGAGATCTGGTTGTTTAAACGTGTGTAGCACCTCCCCCTACTCTCTCTTCCTCCCGCTCCAACCATGTAAGACATACCTCCTTCCTCTTCACCTTCTGCCATGATTGTAAGTTTCCTGAGGCCTCCCCAGCCATGCTTCCTGTACAGCCTGCAGAACCATGAGCCAATTAAACCTCTTTTCTTATAAATGACCCAGTTTCAGGTATTTCTTTATAGCAGTGCAAGAACGGACTAATATAGACAGCATCTCACTGTGTTGCTCAGGCTGGCCTTGAATTCCTGGCATCAACGGATCCTCCCACCTTGGCTTCCCAAAGTGCTGGAATTACAGGTGTAAGCCACTGTACCCAGCCAGAATTAAATGAATTAATATGCCCAACAGTGATAGTTATATAAGTGATAGCCATTGGCTGGCCCATAGAAAGTTCTCAACTAATGTCATATCCTTTTTTTTTGAGACAGAGTCTCACTCTGTCACCCAGGCTGGAGTACAGTGCTGCCATCTCAGCTCACTGCAACCTCCGCCTCCCGGGTTCAAGAGATTCTCCTGCCTGAGCCTCCTGAGTAGCTGGGACTACAGGCGCCCGCCACTAGGCCCAGCTAATTTTTGTATTTGTATTTATTTTATTTATTTATTTATTTAATTATTTTTTGAGACGGAGTCTCTGTCACTCAGGCTGGAGTGCAGTGGCGCGATCTCAGCTCACTGCAACCTCCACTTCCTGGGTACAAGCGATTCTCCTGCCTCAGCCTCTCAAGTAGCTGGCATTACAGGCATGTGCCACCACGCCTGGCTAATTTTTGTATTTTTAATAGAGACAGGGTTTCACCATGTTGGCCAGGCTGGTCTCGAACTCCCTACCTCAGGATCCACCCACCTCAGCCTCCCAAAGTGCTGGGATTACAGGCATGAGCCACTGCTCCCAGCCAGTTTTTGTATTTTTAGTAGAGACAAAGTTTTACCATGTTGGCCAGGCTGGTCTCAAACTCCTGACCTTAAGTGATCCACCCCGCCTTGGCCTCCCAAAGTGCTGGGATTACAGGCATGAGCCAGCATGCCCGTCATATCCTTATAGTTACACTGAAACCCGGTGACCCGAGTCACCCTGCAGGCAGATGGGCAGGATGGGTGGTTGGGAAGCATGGCGAAAGGGCAATCACCTGGCTGGAGTTTCCCGTCGTTGGCTGCAGCCCCCTTCCTGATGAGGTGGGTGATCTGGAGGTAGGGTCCATGCTGGATGATGATGAGGCCTAATCCCAGGCTACCCACAGTGAGTTTGGTCTGCTGTGTTTTGCTCAAGTTGTGTACAGATGTTTTGACCTTGTTGCTGACTCCTCTTTCTAACCAAAAGAGGGGAACTTATTTCAGTCCTTCACCAAGACAGAAGCATGGCCATACCTACTGGGGTTCTGAAGCCAGATCCCTGGGACAGTTATTTAATCCCTGTTCCTCAGATTCCTTGTCAGTAAAATGAGGATAAAAATGTTCACCTTGGAGAGCTCTTCTGAAAATTAAATGGGTGCATTAAAGGGCTTTTGCAGAGTCTGGCATATTGTGAGTGCTTAATCAATATTAGTTAGTATTATCTGTTCACTTAACAAATATTTATTGATACAGTGTGCTAGGCCCTGGGTTTACCATGGTGAGCAAAACAGATGTGTTGGGTTTTTTGGTTTTAACAGACAATGTCTCACTCTGTTGCCCAGGCTGGAGTGCAGCAGCATTATCAGGGCTCACTGCAGCCTCGATCTCCTGGGCTCAAGGGCTCCTCCCACCTCAGCCTCCTAAGTAGCTGGGACTACTGGCATGTGCTACTATACACGGCTAATTTTTATTGTTTTTGTAGAGACAGGGTCTCACTATATTGGCCAGGCTAGTCTTGAACTCCTGGACTCAAGCAATCCTCCCACCTCAGCCTCCCAAAGTGCTGGCATTACAGGTGTGAGCCACCGTGCCTGGCCCACATGTGTTTCTTGTCCTCATGAATTTTACAGCCTAGTGGAGGGGACAGATATCAATCAGTCATGTAAATATATGTTGGATAACAAACTGTAACTCATGCTATGAAAGAAAAGGACGGAGGGCTCTGAGAATGAGTAACAGAGGGCCAAAGTCTCATCTGGGGATGGCGGGTCAAGCTTCCAGCAGGGCTAAAATTTGAATTAAGGCCAAAAGGACCAATAGGAAATATTTAGGCAAAGAAAGGTGGATCCGGAGCAAATTGTGTTAAGGTCTGAGAAAGGAAGGAACAGTCCCTGTCAGAGGAGGGGGAGGCAGGAGGAGCGAGGACCAACCAGACAGAGGCTGCTTCTCAGACTTCCTTAGTGAAAAGGCTCCGAAGTGAGTAAAGCTGGACATGGTTAGATGAAATGAAATGACATGAAAATGACAGGGTCCTGGCACATGTCATGGCAGTGACAGCGGAAATGAGCAGTGGATGGATCCAAAAAGCACATGGGGGAAAATCCGAAGGCCTTGGAGACAAGGGGTAGTGGGAGAGGTTGAAATATGTTTTCTACAGAACCAAATCTCACAAGAAAAATTTCAGGGACTAAAAGGACATTCAAAACAACAAGTTAATTTCCCAAGAGGAAGTTGCTAGGAAACTCCTTTTCGGTACACAGGAAGCTCCTGGGGAGATCTGTTTTCAGCACACTTTTCCAGCATTTCACACACAACTCCTTTCCATAAGGACAGGTGACACACAAGCTTGCCAAGTCCATGTGACTGTGGTGTTTTCAGGGCCACTGCTGAGGGAGAGGCTCCCCCAGCTCCCTACCTCTGGCTGTGGGGAGCTGGAGGGGTTCATGGCCCTTTCCTCTAAAGCAAATGTCCTTGCCCATCTCCAACCTCACCTTCCCCCAAACCACAGATGCTCTCTGTTTGGGAAAATAAAATAGCATAATATAAACAAGATACCATCTTCAGAGACCTTTCAGGGTTCTGGGAGCAACTGGGGGCAGGATACGCCCTGCCTGAGCCTCTGGTTCCTGAGCAAACAGAGAAGTCACATCTTGGGCAAGGTCCAGTGGTTCCTATCTCAGTTTGTAAATTCAATATGCTTATAAGGTAAGCTACCAGGAGCCCACTTTTAAAAGTCAGCAGGGTTAAGTAAAAGAAGCCAGACTCAAAAGGCTCCTTACAGAAGAAGGACATGTCTCAGGAGTTTGATCCAGACCTCTATAAGCAAATGCAGAAGTTCGGGAAGGCAAGAAACACAAGTACATCTTGAAAAAAAAACAAAAAAAACTTTGTGCAAGGCACGGTAGCTCACGCCTGTAATCCCAGCACTTTAGGAGGCCAAGGCGGGTAGATCACGAGATCAGGAGTTCGAGACCAGCCTGGCCAACATGGCGAAACCTGTCTCTAAGTTACAAAAAATTAGCTGGGCATGGTGGCGCGGGCCTGTAATCCCAGCTACTTGGGAGGCTGAGGCACGAGAATCGCTTGAACCCAGGAGGCAGAGGTTGCAGTGAGCTGAGATGGCGCCATTGTACTCCAGCCTGGGTGACAGGGCGAGACTCTGTCTCAAAAACAAAAAAAAATTATCTGGGCATGTTGGTGCATGCCTGTAATCCCAGCTACAAGCCTGGGTGACAGAGCAAGACTCCATCTCAAAAAAAAAAAAAAAAAAAAAAAAAGAGAGAGAAAAAAACCTTGACAAAGTGAAGTTGGATGTAGATTTTCTTGGAGCAAGTAAATACATGCAATCTCCTGTCTCAAATGCTAGCAACATACCAGACCACTCTGCTTCATTTTGGAGAGAAGACTTCTCACACTATGGCAGCCATCCATGAGAGCTTCACAGGTTATCAGCCATATGAAGTCACTACTTTAAAGCACTTACAAAACCCTCTGAAAAAACTAGTTGAGAAAGAAGAAAAGAAGCTCACCCAGCAGGAAAGCACAGATGTAACAGTGCAGGAGCTGAGTCAATTAATTTCATTAGAGGATGAAAACCACGACAAGGAAAACACTGAAGATGGAAAAGGTATTTTATGTGTTTTAGGCAAAGGCTCTTCACACAGTGCATGCTCAGGATGAACTATTAGACATGAAACCTGAGGAAAGTGCTCGCTAGGGCCCAGTGGCAGGGACCCTGGAACCCGAAGGTACTGACAAAGATGATCCTACTGCTGTTGAAAGTGAGATCTTCAATGCTTCCTCCCTGGAAAAGGGTGAGCTCAGAAAAGAGTGAGCTGCTGTGTTTGGGGACAACCAGGTGGAGGAGGCAGCACTATGGTCCTCGGAGAGCCAGACCCCAAGCACCAGACTAAAATATGAAAGACTTACAGGTTTTGCTACAAGGCTAGTCAGACAGCAATGTCAACCTTCCCAAGGACAAGCAGTCCAAATGACAACAGCCCTGCAGTGAAAAAGCCTAAGGCTGTCTGGCACCTGCCTGCCTAGTTCAGCCTCTTTGCCAACCTCAAGTCTTATCAAATCCTGATGCTGTGCGGAAAAAAGCCATAAAGAACAAGAATTGCTCAGTGCAGGAGTCTGCATCCTTCAGTAAGCCCACCTGGGGGCTAGCAGAAGTATAAAGTGATTAGAGCCTGGGCAACATAGTGACACCTCATCTCTTCTATTTAGGCTGGGCATGGTGGCTCACACCTGTAATCCCAGCACTTTGGGAGGCCGAGGGTGGGCGGATCACTTGGGGTCAGGAGTTCGAGACCAGCCTGGCCAGCATGGTGAAACACCGTTGCTACTGAAAACACAAAAATCAGCCAGGCGTGGTGGTTCACGCCTGTAATCCAAGCTACTCTGGAGGCTGAGGGGCAAGAATCGCTTGAACCCGCCTGGAAGGCGGGGGTTGCAGTAAGCCAAGATCATGCCGCTGCACTCTAGCCTGGGTCACAGAGCAAGACTCTGTCTCAAAAAAAAAAAAAAAATTAGCTGAATGTGGTGGTGCATGCCTACAGTCCCAGCTATGGGAGGCTGATGCAGGAGGATTGCTTGAGCCCAAGAATTGGAGGCTGCAGTGAGCCAGGAGCATACCACTGCACTCCAGCCTGAGCGACAGAACAAGACTCTGTCTCTAAAAATAAAATACAGTGACCCATATGCTATTTTAAGATTTATGTGCCCTTTTAATAAAAATGAAAGGGCCAAAGTCCCTATTTACATTGGTATAATTTTTTAAAGGCTCCTTACTATGTGATTTCATTTTTATGATGTTCTCCATGGAAAAGGCAAAAAAAAAAAAACGCTGTAAAAAACAGATGGGGGTGTGAGGAGCTGCAGTGGGGTGGGGTTTGGCTGCAACTGGGCATTGCAAAGTAATTTTAGGGAGTGGTGGAACTGTTCCCTATCTTGATGGAGGGGGTGGTTCAACGTGGGTATAGCTTGTCAAAACGGTAGCTGTACTTTTAAAAGGGGGGATCTTACTGCATGGAAATTATACCTTGATAAAAATAACGATGGCCAAGGCGGGCGGATCACTTGAGGTCAGGAGTTTGAGACCAGCCTGGCCAACATGGTGAAATCCCATCTCTACTAAAAATAAAAAATTAGCTGGGCATGGTGGCAGGCACCTGTAATCCCAGCTACTCGGGAGGCTAAGGCAGAGGAATCACTTGAGCCTGGGAGGCAGAGGTTGCAGTGAGCTGAGATCGCGCCACTGCACTCCAGCCTGGGGGACAAAGCAAGACTCCTTCTCAAATGATGATGATGATGATGATGATGATGATGATGATGATGATGATGATGATAATGATGATGATGATAACAACAACGATGGAGAGAGGTTATCTCCCAGGCCAAGAGTGCACCGTTGCCATTTTACAGAGGAGGAACATTGACGAAGGCTTGGTCCCCAGGGCTTCTTCACCCGCTTCCTTCTCCCCAGTTACCTTTTTTGTTTTTGTGGGAGGCCTTCTGCATGGTCCCGGGAGGTCAGGCAGCCCGGGAGGGCCTCCCGGAGCAGAGGCTGGAGTCAGTCCCAATGCCAACAGTTTCGAACCTTGCCCGCGGGCACTGCCCTCGGGATGGCCGCCAGGGGGCGCTGCGCCGCCACTGCCCAGAAATTGGGCGGCAGTGAGGTCGCCGCAAGGCTTCCCGTGGACCCTGCAAAACGTGGCGTGGGCATTGCACACCATTGTACTGTATGGAAACTTCTGCAGAGGTTAGCACCGTGCCTGACCCACGGTGGTTTCTTCATTCCTTCTTTTCTTTTTCTTTTTTTAAGAGACGGGCAGGGGGTGGGGGTCTCACTATGTTGCTCAGGCTCAACACAACTGTTGCACTATGGGCTCAAGCGATCTGCCCGCCTCAGCCTCCCAAAGTGCTGGGATTACAGGCATGAGCCACCGCGCTTGGCTTCTTCATTCATTCTTGGTGAACCTAAGAAATAGGGAGGGGGAGAAGGCACAGAGGAGGGTGTCTCAAAGATGTGAGGTGGTCTGCAGAGGAAGATCACAGCCAGAAGATCACAGGAGATCACAGAATACCTAGAAGATCAGAGAATCCCCCGCTGCACTTCTAATAATGGTATTTTAAAAAAATTGTTACATCAGTAGCTCCAATGCTTTGGAACTGCACTTTTTTTCATGAATGTTTTGAATAAGAAAAGGCCCCAGGGTGGCCTAAAAAAAAATGAGTCACTATTAGGAGAGGCACTATTAATGCTTCCTTCTTTTTTCCAAGATAATTCTTCCTCCCACACACATTCACTCATACAACAAGTATTTACAGGGAGCTGTTCTGTCATTTACTGATACTGGGGACACAACAGTAAGCAAGACAAACACAGAAACACAGGCTCTATCCTCTTGAAACCTGTACTTAAAAAACAGATGAAGTGGACAATTTTAGGAAAATATAAATTATTAAAAATAAATTCTAGGCCAGGTGTGGTGTCTAACACCTGTAATCCTAGGTACTCAGGAGACTGAGGCAGGAGGACTGCTTGAGCCCAGGAGTTTGAGATCAGCCTGGGCAACATAGTGAGACCCTTTCTCTATAAAAAAAATTTAAAAATTAGCTGGGCATGGTGGTGCACATCTGTAGTCCTAGCTACTCAGGAGGCTGAGATGGGAGGATCACTTGAGCCCAGGATTCAAGGCTGCAGTGAGCTATGATTGAGTCACCACCTTCCAGCCTGGGTGATGGAGCAAGATCCTGTCTCAAAAAATAAAAATGAATAAATGAGTTAGTAAATTCTAGAAGAAAGAGAAAACCTAATGAGGTAGGCCCTGGTGTTATCCCCGGTCTGATGAAACTGAGAGGCTAAGCACCTTGCCCCATCCCTTCAACAAACAGTCATTAACCACCTATTAGGTGTCAGGCACTGTGCAAAGATTTCCATGGTAGATCTGGTTATGTCCAAGCTTATTCTGTTGTTTCTGTGGCTCTACACAGACAATAAGCCAGGGCAGATTCCTCTTTAGGTTCCTTTTTTTTTTTTTTTTTTTTGAGATGGGGTCTCATTCTGTCACCCAGGCTGGAGTGCAGTGACAAAATCTCAGCTCACTGCAACCTCCGCCTTCCAGGCCCAAGCGATCCTTCCACCTCAGCCACCAGAGTAGCTGGGACCACAAGCCTGTGTCACCACGCCCAGCTAATTTTTGTATTTTTAGTAGAGACAGGGTTTTGCCATGTTGGCCAGACTGGTCTCCAACTCCTGAGCTCAGGGTGATCCACCCGCCTTGGCCTCCCAAAGTGCTGGGATTACAGGCGTGAGCGCCAGGACAGATTTCTCATTAGATAAAACCTGTGTCGTAGAGACCAGTACAAAGGGCTATTCTCCACCTCAAGTCTCCTGTGGGTGACTTCTTGTGACAGGTCACCTTTCCTCTTCCAAACAGTCTGGCAGGGGTCTACATAGATACCAACTTAATTCTATCATAAAATACATCTTTTTCCTCCATCTTCCTACCAGCAGGGGAAGGGTAAGAGTTTGTGGGAATAGAGCCCATCAGCATATATGGTTCTGTGATGGAGCATATCAGTGCCTGGCCTCCCCTTAGTCTTCCCTCCACCCCAGGCTAAAAAGTGTCTTTAAAGCGGAGGTCTCTACACTCCACCAAGCCAAGTAAGCCAAGGTCACACTGATTGGTGGAACTGCAGGATACAAACTGTCCTGGGTGCTGTGCTGCCCAGATCCCCCTTCAGGGCTGAAAGACTTACACTTCCCACCCTCACTACTACTACTGGCTGGAAAGAACGCCTTGCCCAAGATCTCACCTTCCTAGATTAACTAGCATCTGGTGACTGGTCAATGCAGGGCCATCCCAGGTTCAGAACTCCCCACGTGGTCCACTGCAGCCTTACTTTTCCCTCTGCCCTGTCCTGCTTCATTCCTTTTTTTTTTTTTTTTTTTTCAGAGAGAGTCTCACTCTGTTGCCTAGGATGGAGTGCAGTGGAGTGATCTCGGCTTACTGCAACCTCCACTGCCCAGGTTCAAGCAATTCTCGTGCCTCAGCCTCCTGAGTAGCTGGGATTACAGGCACCCACCACCATGCCCAGCTAATTTTTGTATTTTTAGTACAGACAGGGGTTTCACCATGTTGACCAGGCTGGTCTCAAACTCCTGACCTCAGGTAATCTGCCCGCCTCAGCCTCCCAAAGTGCTGGGATTACAGGCATGAGCCACCACGCCCGGACCCTGCTTTATTCCTTCTTCCAAAGAGTAGATGCTAGGATGGATCACCTAATACCCAGGTAATAATGAGGTGCCCATCCCTGGTACAGGAGGAGCATAGCTAGCCTCTGGCAGAGGGAAACTCTAAGATGGCTAATTTTTTACAGGCAGTAAATGGGATGGTATACCAGGGGGAGAAAGCAGACAAGAGTATTCAATTACCGGGAAGGAATCAGGCTGAGACTTCACATCAGGGCAGGGAGGAACATTGGGCACCCACGTGATCTATTTAGGTGTCTCTTAGTACTCCTTTGCCCTATTTGGACAGTAAATGGACAAATGCAGCAACCACTGCCTGAGAAGTGCACAGCAACTAGGTGCTCAGGCTCTCTAAGGATGGAGGTCTAGACCACCCCATCACGCAGGCCACCTAGATCATCTGAGGTGCTGGCAGAAGGGAAGAGGTTTCTAGGATGGATAGAAGAGGGGACTGAAGGGTATGTTCGTTATGCCTCTAGATGAGCTGTAGCGGCGGCAGGAGCTGTAGTTCCCACTAACCCTCCTCTATATGTTTCCCACAGGAAAAGATTCCCCAGGGTCCTGAAAGTGCTGCTCTCCAAACTTAAGTAGCAAATGAGAGGCACAGCACCATGTGGGCACTATTGCAAATGCTGCACTACACTGCCTCGGTCAGGACTGAAGGACTATTCCCCGCCTACCGGGTGGGTGGTAGGTTGACAGATCTCAGCTGTCAGCCCTCTTGAGGAATTGTCTTTGTCTAAAGAGAGCTGCCCTCCAAGCTCCATGGCAGGTCAGTGCAGGGATGAAAAGACTTGGCCCATTTACTCCAACTCAGGCCAACTCAGCAGCTATCCTAGTTTCAGAACTCCCCTGGGGGTCTGCCAAAGCCTCCCATGACTGCAGCACAGACTGACTTCTCCCTCTTCCCACCCCTGCTTCCCTTTCCCCATAGGACTTGATTCTCAAAGGCTCTCTAATAAACTTTCTGCACTAATCAATAATCGCATTTCTGAGTCAGCTCAAAGGGAACCAATCCATGAAACAAACTGAGATTTGAGCCCGGGCGCAAGCTGCTAACTCTGGATTTAGTTTCTTGTGTCTTCTCTAACCCCAGAAACCCCAGGTACATGTGTGGTGCGTCCACCATGCTCTTGGCCCACGAAACCTAACCCCTAGGGAGACAGTGTGTTTATTGTCAGGCTGAAGATACTCCTTAAAGAGAAGAGTGATCACACAGTCCCTTCCACAGCTTTGCCCGTGGTCCCATCTGGATTCAGCCTCTTCTGGCCAAGGCCTGCCATCCATCACAATAGAGCATGCCATGTTCATGGCCCTTTAACAGCTGCAGAATGGCTGTTTATGACTTCAGGCTGCACAGCATATCTCCCTCCTGGAAGCCTTCTATGTTCTTCTGGGTCCCCAAGGCTTTCTGCCATAAGGAGTCTTGTGGCTCATTTCTGAAAAGTCCCAGCTGCTCTGCTTAGGGGTGGGTGAGAGGATGGGACGCTTCTGTCACCGAGGCCAGGAGTCTTGTTAGGCCAGATGGGGGTAAAAGGCCCAGAGAGGTGACATGGCTTTCCCAAGGTCAAGTCAGGAGCAGGGCAGGAACTAGAACATAGTTCTGTATTCTCTCTGCTTCACTCCATCACCTCTCCCAAACCCTTAGGGTTTGCCTCTGCTAAAATCTAGACTGAGATACAGAGAGAAGGGGACTGATCTGTCCTGCAGACCTCAGAGACTGGGGACTCTGAAACACCAGCCAGGCACAGTGGTGTGGGCCTGTAGTCCCAGCTACTTGGGAGGCTGAGGTGGGAGGATCACTTAAGGCCAGAAGTTGAAATCCAGCGTGGACAACATAGTGAGACCCTATCTCTGACAAAAAAAAAAAAAAAAGGAAAGAAAGAAAAGAAAAGAGCTATAGGGATAAAAAGAGGGATTAATGGGAAATCTGTAAACAGTTTGGCCCCTGCCAACCCCACCTCCCATTCTGGATGGTAGGAAGGTTTGGGATAGGTGACTATTCTCTGTACTGATGTGCAGCCATTAGTATGATAAAAATGTTTTAAATTCTTTTAACTCAATACTGGTTGTTCTTGTGCTTTAATCTTAGACCCAGAACCATTTGTAAAGGGTAAAAGGAAGAACTGTATTATTTATTTATTTTATTTATTAGAGACAGGGGTCTCACTGTGTTGTCCAGGCTGGTCTTGAACTGCTGGACTCAAGTGATCCTCCCACCTCAGCTTCTGGAGTAGCTGGGATTATAGGTGCAAACCACCACGCTTGGCTACTTGTATTTATTGTAAACACAAGAACCCAATCATCATCATTCTATTCAGCTGGAGTTAGAATATGTGCAAACTGTTCAAACATTCAGCCCTAGGATTCTTCTAAGCTGGCCAGTAGAGAACATCAGTGGATATTATCTGGGAATTTAGTCCTGTATAGTTACAGTTTCTTCTATCACTGGGCAATAGAAAACCCCAACAAGAAGCCAAATATGACTCAATTAAATTTCTCCAGTACTTATTTAAAAAAAGAAGAAAAGAAAAAAGAAACTGAAGACTATTGCAGTAATGTGATATGCATTATATCTGGATCCTTGGAGTATATGAATTATCTTGTGTCAATTTCTGTGGCAGAGGAAAAATAAATTGTATAATAACAAAAAAAAAAAACCTTTCCCCCAAGAGACCAATGTTTGGACAGAAAAGTCAATATAGACCAGCAATCAAACCCTTCCTTCTCCCAGCTATGTAGTGACACTGATACTCTGTTGCACATTTCTGCAAGGCTGTTGGATTTGGTGGAATTTGAAACCTCCTGAATTTTGTGGACATGTAAGCATTCCAAAAATAGAGACAGATGTCACTCTTCTAGGTCCTTCTAGAGACGACCTATGTGGCATTTAAGGAGAAAATGAGTGTTTCATCTCCATCTGCTGCACGGAGTACCATTAGGGAGAGCTGGATCAAACGTCAGGGTTAGTGGTGATTCGGCCCATGAGCTGTGGAAGAAAAGAAAACCTCCACCATAGCATATGCTGACAAATTATGCAAATGCCTTATTTTCCTGTTTATTCATCCAACTTAAGACGCTGCACACACAACTCAGTAAACGGGATCATAACACCTGGTTGCTCAGGTCAAAAACTTATTCTTGAGTTCTCTTTCAACTCCTTCCCCATTATCAGCAGGTCCTTCCCTCTATCTACAAAACATCCAAATCTGTCCATTCCTCTCCATCTTCACTACTCTCACCCTAGCCAAAGCTACACTTCTCTCTCGTGGACTACTTGGCCTCTTAACTGGCGTCCCTGTTGTCATCTTTGCCTTTCCCCCATACAAGCTACACTATGGATCTTCACAGATTAAGTAAGATCATGGGATTCTGCAAACACCCTCCATTGCCTTCTCATTGCACTCAGAACAAAATCCAAGGCCCCCAAAGCCCTACACCTAGCCTCTGCCTACCTCTTGTCATACTACTCTCCTGCCACACAGGCCATTTTGCAATTCCTTGGACACGCTGATCTCTTTCTGCCCCCCTCCCCTAATGATCTTTGCATTGGCTGTTCCCTCTGTCTGGTCTTGCGCCAGGTCTTCAAAGTGCAGATCTTTACGATCGTGATGGTCTCAGCGGAAATGCATCCTTCCCTATCGCAGGTATCGCTCCGACTCCCATCACACTGACCTCCATTGAATTCAGGGATCTGCACCTGAAATTATCTTTATTTTACAGATAGGTTCTTAATGTGTTTCTGTCTCTTCCCACCAGAACGTGAGCTCCCCAAGAGCGGGCGCCTTGCCTCTGTCCACTCCAGCACCTCTGCACCTACAACGTCTGACGAAGAGGGGTTGTCGAAAGCTATTTGCTAAATGGGGCAATCCTGGGAGCTGACGGCCGCGGAACGGGCAATGAGAATACAAGGTGACAGGGACCGCGCGGGGCCCGGAGTCGCTCGGCGGGAGTCGGGGCCCGCCTCCTGCTGGAAGACGGGCAGCTCCCCACTCTCATTCCAGTTTTGCTTCTGAGGGGCTCAGGAGGGGCCGCAGCCTGTGCCCAGTCATCAACATCAACAATCTTATTAGTGGGCAGAAAGCCAAGAGGTGGCGTGGCCTGCCAGAAGAGACCGGGACCCGGGCAGGGACCGGAGCCGGGCCGGTCGGGTCCGGGTCCAGAACGTAGAGGCGGGCGGTGCGGGGAGGGGCCCAGGGCGGCCGGCCGAGCCGGGAGGACGGAGCTGGGGCGCGGCGGCTGGGGAGCCGGGACCGGCCTCGCCAACGCCGCGGCTTCGCTTCCGGGTGAGGGGCGGGCGGGCCGAGCAGTTCCGGGGCGGGCGGCGGTTCCGTCTGTGCGGGCCGCGCCGCGGCTGCTGGTCCCGGGCGCGCGGAGGGCGCGAGCGGCGCGCGGGGGCCGAGGGGGCGCGAGGCAGCGGCGCGGGGACTCCGGGCCCCGGCGGCGGCCCATGGGGCGGGAGGCGTGAGGCCGCTGCCTGTCCGGGGCTCGGGGGGTGGGGGGAGCGGGGCGGGGAGATGGATAAACTGACCATCATCTCAGGATGTCTCTTTCTGGCCGCCGATATCTTCGCCATCGCCAGCATCGCCAACCCGGACTGGATCAACACCGGGGAGTCTGCGGGTGAGCCGCTGGCGCGCCGGGCCGGGCGGGGGATTGGCTGAGGGCGACGCGAGAGAGGGGAGACCCGGACTGAGGAGAGGACGGGGTGGAGGGTCCCGGCCGGAGGCTAGCCTGAGGAGACCGGGGGCGGAGGGGAGACCCGGGCCGCGGAGGAAAGGGATGGAGGAGAGGAAGCCGCCGGGCGCCAGCGGGACCCCCGGGCTGAGGGGAGAGGCGCCCCAGGCCGGGTGAAAAGTGGCCGAGGAGACCTGGGCTGGGCTGGCAAGTCCCGGACCGGGGAGGAGGGGAGCAGCCCTCCGATGTGAGGGATCGCAGAGGAATGAGCTTCGTTCTGGATTAAAAAAAAAAAAAAAAAAGTCAAGGTGGGAGACGGGAGGAAACTGAGGCTCCTGCAAGGGAATTAGAAACCAGGCGGAGAGGCTAGGGCTGAGAGTGAGGCAGCCTGCGGGGCAGTGCGGGAGCCACTAGAGAGCTGGTGGGCGAGGGGAGGCCGAGAGGGATCAGGTCCGACCCCAGACCCTCCACCACCAGAGGAAGCTGCGGCCGGGGGCGAGCCCGGGCTGCGGGCGCTGACCCCACCAGGCAGGGTGAATGGTGGGTGCTGGGAGAGCTGGTGGGGTTGGTGGGAGTGGGGGGCGCCGGATTGGAGCCCCTCTGCACCGCCGCCCCCGCCCATCCCCTGCCCGCTTGGCAATGTTTGAGAAGCTTGTGGCTTCGGATTTTCCCTTTGAAGTGTGTATGTGGTTATAATTCTGCTTTATTTTAGGCCCGGGAGCTATAATACTACTAATAATAAACCTCATTTTATGGAGCGTCTTTCATTCCAGCGCATCACAAAAACGCTGGAGAGCTCTTAATAGTAGTTACAAAATTAAATAACACATTACAGTTGCAGGCAGCCCGGCAGCGGGAGCAGTGCTTGCTGTACCACCACGGAGCTGTGGGCGGGAGAGGCAAGGTGGTGCCCTCGGGAAAGAGGCGGGCATCTTTCTGAAGGGTACCCCAGGTGAATGCGCTTCCAAGATTTTTCTCAGCTTGGGCCACTTCTTTCCCTGTTACCTCTTCTCCCTCCCCTCTTCCCCCGCCTCTCTTTCTCCCTCTCTCCCAGACCTGTGAGACCAAACCTTAATTAATGTAAACAGCTGTCAGGAGAGCTGCTCCGATTTAAGGAATGGTCTTGTTTTTTAACTGCTTGTTCAGTGCAGGTGAAGGAACTTTTGGAGGGTTGGGAATGTCAAGCTCCCTCCATGGATAATTTCTTATAAAAATGCGGCCGGGCGCGGTGGCTCACGCCTGTAATCCCAGCACTTTGGGAGGCCGAGGCGGGCGGATCAGGAGGTCAGGATTTCGAAACTAGCCTGACCAACATGGCGAAACCCCGTCTCTACTAAAAATACAAAAAAAAAAAAAAAAAAAAAAAAAAAAAAAAAGAGAATTAGCCGGGCATGGTGGCGTGCACCTGTAATCCCAGCTACTCAGGAGGTGAGGCAGGAGAATCGCTTGAACCCGGGAGGCAGAGGTTGCAGTGAGCTGAGATTGCGCTACTGCACTCCAGCCTGGGCGACAGAGCGAGACTCTGTCTCAAAAAAAAGAAAAAGAAAAGCATCACTGTGCTGTCAAAACTTAATTTTTAAGTATTACTTATGGTTCTGTATTTATCCTGCAATATTTTTAGCTCTTAGAAAAAAAGTGGTAGCTGGGACATTTGTTGCTTCCTCCTCCCTCCCTTCTCTCCCCCAATCTAGACCTAGTAACACAAAATCATGCTGTCATATTCACTGGTTATTAAAATAACACTCTAAAAATTCTGCTACTTTTCTTGCCCATAGAGTTTTAGCAGAACTCTTAATTGTAAAAGATATGAAGAATCAGGATGGTTTCGAATTTGGTGGTACTATGGGCTTTGTTTATGAAAATATTGTTGCTGCCCGACAACTTAACACGGTTACATGTATGACATCCAGTTCGTGACCTGTTGATGTTTTTATCCTACTTACATGTGTATTGACTCCTTTTATGAGACTTTCAGGCTTCACGTACTTAGGGGAAAAGGGGTTTCGGTGCTGTAGCAGAAGGAATCTTTTTACAAAGAAGTTTTAGATAGAATCCCAATAGATAAAATAGACTAAATGACCATGCAAAAGATATAGTTGAAAGAGAAGAATTGTTACATATAAAAGAGAAGAAAGATAAGTGATAGCATAACGTTCCTAAGATGGAAAAGGGCATAGCCGGGCGTGGTGGCTCATGCCTGTAATCCCAGCACTTTGGGAGGCCAAGGCGGACGGATCACCTGAGGACAGGAGTTTGAGACCATCCTGGCCAACATGATGAAACCCTGTCTCTACTAAAAATACAAAGAAGTTAGCCGGGCGCGGTGGTGCATGCCTGTCATCCCAGCTACTCGGGAGGCTGAGGCAAGAGAATTGCTTGAACTTGGGAGGCGGAGGTTGCAGTGAGCCAAGATCACGCTACTGCACTCTGGCCTGGGCGACAGAATGGTACTCCGTCTTAAAAAGAAAACAGAAAAAAAAAAAAAAAGGGCAAGCTCCTCTTGTATTCAGAAGAAAGCAAGGATAGAATGAGTATAACTCTTTAAAATTTGGAGGCAAAATTGGCTGTGAGTTGCCATGGAGATAGGAGCAATGGATGTCCAAGGTCTGAGGAAATAGAAACTGTTCGAAATAATTGCAGAGAAAGCTTGCCAACGGTGATAAGTAGGTTTGTCTAGCAGCACTGATGCGTCGTGGAAGTTGATGGTCATGAACATACAGTGTGATAACCTATCTGCCCTCTTGACCTTTTCTAGTAGTGCTATGTCATTTTGGTACTAAGGTAGGTGAATTTTCCAAGTGTTCTTGGAAATAAGGAAACATCAAGAATAATGTAAAAGCCTCATATACAATAATGAATAATAAAGAATAATGTGAAGGCTTCATTCAAGGTTGGGGTTTGCCAGATACATTGCAACAAAATGACAGAGCAGCCAAGGTATTTAGGATAGTGGCCAAAGTATTGTAATGATGGCTTATGGAGTGTCAGCTGGATAAAGAGTGAAAATGAATAAAAACTAATGGATTGTTCAGTCGAATAGCAGATGGTACAATGGTACATGGCCAGTAGAATAGGGGACCCAATAAAATTGAAGACCAGTCAGAGTGGGAGTGATCAATCCAGCAAAGTGGAATGGCAGGGGATCGTAGGCACAAGGTCCAGAGTGTAACAGTGACAATGTGTGGCTGATGTGGGATCGAGGAAGTGATTGTTTTTTTTCTAAAAGTTTTCCTTGCCATCTCAGGATACCACTCCGTTAAATATTATGGCTAGAAAGAGGAATAAGAGATACTAGGAACATAGGAAATTTTTAAAATTCTTATCTAGCATGTATTTCTTACCTTACATATGTCAGGCAGTAAACCCCCCAAAACATAAAACGAATGGGACAGTATGTTCCTTGGTTTACCGTTGTGCTTGAGCTTGTATGCTGTACAGTCTCACCTGAGCAGGCAGATGTAGTCCTGAGTTAAAAAAAAAAAAAAAAAAAGTGCAGAGTTACACCTTCCAAATCAATGAAACATTTACAAGAAGTTCAAGTAAGATCTCAGTGGTGACAGGTCTAGCTTATTTCAAGAGCTGCACAAAAGCCACTTAACCTGGCAACAAAAAGTTAATGTGTTGGTTCCCTTTGGTGTATTATATTCAGTCTATTAAAGTTTTGATTGTGATGTTTTCATTGCAGTTTTTATACCGGATAAAATGTATTTTAGAAGTAGAACTTTTGGAGCTGAAATAGTCTGCAGAATGTAGCTTGAAAACCACGGCAGTGAACTACTAAGGGAAAGTTTCAGAATTCAAGTCTAGACTTCATCACTTCGTAGCTCTGTAGCTTTAGGGCAGGTTCTTTAGCCTCTCTTTGTCTCCGTTTCCTCCTGTGTAAAGTAGGGATAATAAAAGTATCCATCTCACTGGGATATTTTGATAATTAACTGAGTTAACCCATGTCAAACATTTAGAACAGTACCTGACACACAGTAAATGCTCAATAAAAATTACATATTGTTATATTGCTGTTCTAGTTTATAAGAACAGGTGTCAGAATCCAGTTTTGAAATGAAAGCCCAGAACTGTGAGAAATGATGTTTTTCTCTATTAGATGTTCTAGGAAATAAGGAAACATCAAGAATAATACAGCCATGCTTAGAACAAGTTAAATATATGTCCCTCTTGGCTTTGGACTTTCTCTGTCACTTCCGTGCTGTTCTTCCTCTTCCAGTCTCTCCATACTCTAATCTCTGTTCTCAGCTTCTACTTGAACTACCATAGAAGGAATAGAAAAAAAAAAAAAAAAAAGAGTAACTTCCTGAAGTCCCTATTGATAAACTGTTACTATAAGATTATGGACCATACTTTGGACAGCAGAGTTTTTCATGTTTTTATTGTCTTGGTCTAGATACAGAGAAAGTACATCCCTTTTATTTTCACCTGTGTGATTAACATTTCATCTACTTCTTGTAATGGCTTGTGGATTATGCACAAACTTTTGAAGATCTGAAACATATTGTATGTATGGGGGAAGGCACTCTAATGAAGACTGTTTGTGTTAGTGTAACCAGAAATATTAAATGTAGATGAATACAGTGGCAAAATTACATAATTCTGCTATGCTAAGGTCAAATTTCTGCTGGTTACTGGAACTCAACACCAATAGGAATATCTTTGATTTTATATAATGCTTCATAGTTTTTGAAGCACTTTGACATCCATTACTTGATCTGATTCCTTAGGATGTTTATATTTGGCCAATGTAAAATAGTCATTTTCACATTTTCCCCCACATGGTAGTGCTTTGCATGTGAGATTTGAGTTTCAGTGCTGCAAAGATTCCATTGAAGAAAATTCTTCACTGAAGTATTACCTATATGTTATTTATGCACACCTTTTACTTATCTTAAATGAAATTAAAATTCTTCAGTGGCTGGAGGTTTTCCCAGATTACAGAAGAGGGAAAGAAGGAGACTTGGGGGTCTTTGCTTTGTACAAGCTTCTTAATTTCACTGTCACTCTCTTCTCACCCCTGAAGAGACTTTTTGTCAGGGGGAAAAATTAGTGTTAGTTAATTTTAACAAGATAAACAGTTAAGTAAAGCTGCGTCTCTGATAAATATAAATGGTCTGCAGATCCCTTTAGTGAGGAAGGCATTATCCCCTCACAGCAAGGATTTCAGTGACCGTAATCCTAATCATCCTAGATAGATTTGCCTTATGTTCTTTATGAAGATTTCCAGATGTTCCCCAAAAGTCTCTTTCAAGTAGCTGAAAGAACTTCTCCCTTATGTCTCGTCAAAATTTCCCTAAAGTGGTTATCATATTCATGTTATAGTTTGTCATAACGAAGTTAAGGTTAGTGTATTCATTTCTGAAGATATTTTCATTCTTGTTGTTTTTAAAATTGTCTAGATGGGATGTTACTGTTTGGGGGGGGGGAATCTCAAAAACTGACATGTTTTTCCCTGCTTGTATTCTGAACTAGTTGAGGGGCAAAAAAGAAATAAGGTATTTAGGGGCTAAAATATTATTTTATTACTAAGAAAGAGGATATTGGAGAATGTCACTTACATTTGGGGGCACGTGACGTCCTACTCCTGGACCTTAAAATTGAGCAGACTTAACAATCCAGTCCCAGACAGAACTGGGGGAACTGCCCCTATAACACTTCCAGCATGACAGAGGAGAGATGAGTGCTTCCAAAGACAAAATGTTGGATCACATATGCCCATTTTCTCCTAAACTACCAGTCAGATGAAGTCAGTCCTTGTGACCTGACAAGGATTGAGTGAGGAGACACAAATGAGCTAAAAGTATTATGCCAACAGGATTCTGTCCTCTCCCCCGGTCTCCATTGCTCATGGATAATAAAATCGGGAATAAGGAGAAAGCCTTATGTGTTTAAAACCCACTATATGTCTAGCATTTTGTGAGGAAGAGTTTTCATTTTCTTCAGGTCTAAAGATTGGCAGGTGTTCAGGGAAGTGAAAGCCTTGGTGAGGGGTATCATTTCCTATTCTGCTACCTCCTACCTACTTCATAGGAAAATCTGGTAAACCTCAGATAAGGGACTGTGGTGCTTGACATCTATCTCATAAGGGTTCAAGATCTACAGGTAGATCCCAGCCTATGCACTGGGGATCCTCAGTTTAAAACACTAAAATTACAAGTTGCTCAAGCAGACCTGTTTATTAAGTAATAGAAAATGATTAAATCATTAGTCCTTTCCCTGGAACTGTAACAACTTCAAAGGTCACAAAGGTACTTTGACATGAAAGAACTCTGTAACATCAGTTGTTAAACAAACCTATCTCAAACTTTATTTTATTAATCACTTTGGACATGATTTATAGAGGACAGGATTTGGTTACCTAAAAGGGCAAACATTTTGAGATTGTGTTGTCCTTGAATTTAAAAAGCATTAATAATATTTCTTCATTGGCCTTTTGAGCCTATTTCCAGTAAATTTTTTTTAAAGAGCTTTATTGAGATGTAATTCACATAATACTAAAATTCATCCATTTAAAGTATACAAATAAAGTATTTAAAGTATACAAATCAGTGGCTTTTAGTATCTTCATAAAGTTGTGTGCTACCATCACCATAGTCCATTTCAGAACATTTTCATTACTCCAAGACCAGGCTAAGAGGTGCCTCTTAGCCTCCTAGGCAACCCCTAATATGCTTTCTGTCTGTTGATTTGCCTATTCTGGACATTTCCAATCATAGAATCTATGTGATCCTTTGTGACAGGCTTCTTAAACTTAGCATAATGTTCTCAAAGTTCATACATGTTATGACTTTTTTTTTTCTTTAAGAGACAGGCTCTTGCTGTGTTTCCCAGGCTCAAACTCCTGGGATCAAGCAATCCTCCAGCCTCAGCCTCCCAAGTAGCTGGGACTATAGATGCACGCTGCCACACCTAGCTATGTATTTCTTTTTTATTGCCAAGTATTCCATTATATGGATAGACCACATTTATTTAGCCATTCATCAGTTGGTGGACATTTGGACCACTCAGTTTTTTACTTCCAAGCATAAAAGTCTATGAAGATAAAGTGATTAAAGATGTTTTTTAAATGTGATTTTTTAAAAAGTGACATTATCAGTATAATCTATTTCAGCATATCAAGTAATAATTATCAATAAAAATTCAAAAACCGGTCTTTTTACAGTACTCACAGGACATGCTTAAAGCTTGAGATCATTTATGATACTGTGAATTCCCAGAGTGGACTAGATTTTCCAATAGGAAATTAGATCTCCTGAACAAAGCATTAATATTTCCTTTACAACCTTAGTTCCAAACATCATCTCTTTTATCATTACCAACAGAGATGGAGCCACTTCAGAATTAAGACTATAAATAAGCCTAAATGTTTTTGGAGAAGGGGAATTTAGGATGAAGAACATGAACAGCAGGCATGAGTAAATGGAAATCACTAAAAGAAGGAAATTCAGAAGAAAAAAAATTAGAGTAAAGACTGCTGATGCATTTGTTAGATTGGCCATACTTATTGAGTCCTTCCTTATTTGGCTGCCAGAACCCCTTTCAAATTTTGCATAGTAATAGTTACATATATCAGTTCTCCACTGTTCTGCTTAGTGTGACCAAAAACATCATTGTTTAATCCCTTTCCTGGTAAATACTGAGTTTGTATTGGAGTTGCAGTATAGTAAAATGGTTCTGTAGGATTTGGAGTCAGGCATATCTCTATTTGATTCTTGGATTCCTTTTTTATTAGCTTTATGATTTGGGGCATGTAATTTGATTTTTCAGCTATAAAATGGAGACAATACATTTACCTCAAAGGATAGTTGTGAGGAGATAAAATGTGGCATATAAGAGATTAGCACATTGTCCGATACTTAGTAAATGCTCAAATGTTAGTCATTTATTACATAAAAGCTCAAAACATCTGGATTTTTAGTGTTTCCCTTTTGTACTGTCTGTCTTATTTATTTACTTATACCTGCCTTGTTCCAGAAAGAGATTTAAGGCAACATAATGTGTCTGTATTTGAATGTTCGTGAACCCAGCTGGGTCCAATCTGGGAAGAGAGACTGCATAGTCAGTTGTTGTGGTAATACACACTTATGGGACACATGTAACTACCAAAACCAAGGAGTACTTGGGTTTTTATGTTTCTGGAACAGATTGAAGAGGTTTTCTAAGTGAAAGACAGCCTAGCATAGTGGAAATGGCACACGGGCTTTGGGGCAAACCAACATGTAGCCAAGTCCCTGTCCTACTATTTACGAGCCGTGTAATTGATCTTAGACAAGTTGCAGTTGAGGGTTTTTATTAATGAAAATTATATCATTCAGACCTGATTAATACCTCTTTCAGCACTTCCAATAGTTATGCAGGTTTAGACTCCAACTTTGTTCTCCTGTGGGTTAAAGAATATTAACCACAGTGTATTGTTAAGATCATTTAGTTCAGAGGTTAGTTTTAAAGGAATTTAAGAGCTGGTAGTACAGTTGGAGTATCAAGTCAATTTTTCTCACCTCAAAGTGTGAAAATAAGTTTGAAATATATGAGATAGTTGGTTCTTTATAGAAACCTGGCAAGCGATATAGCTGAAGATTTAGTTTATGGAATAAATTTTTTTCTAGTTACTAGCTTCTGTAATGCAACTGTGAGTTCATTTTTTCCATAACCCATTTCAATGCATACTTAGGTGGTGGGCCATATTGCATAATCTTATAGGGGAAATTTAGACATGTAATGAAGTGTTCCTGTTTATGAAATTGTCACCATTGAATTATAAATAAGAACTTGTTCGTGCAACCTGAATGCATAATTATTTACATAGTGACCGTGTTTGATATGCTTCTCTAAGAGACCCAGGAAATTAGGTTGTACGGTGACAGCAGTGACAAGTATATAGGTATAAATTTCATATTTACAGCTTTACCTTTGTGATGGTTTATATAACATGACATTCATGTCTTTTTGGTTGTCAGAATGTTGTATTTTCAAGTTCTGAAGCTACACCTTTTTTTCCAAGTACTTTCTAGAATTCCCCGCCCAACTAAGCAGCTAGCAGCTTTATAATTAGAAAACCTGATCCGATTGATAACAACAGATTGAAAGTAGCAGTTATTTCATCCTTTATCAACTACAAACTGATGAAAAAGTAATGTTGGGAAAGCTGTTGTAGAAATCCTAAAGAGGCTTAGATAAGAGCCATGAGGAAACCTGAAGATCTTTGAATATCAGGATACCTAAAAATAGGTACCTGGATTAAAACCATTTTTCAATAATATACCCTTACTGTGTATTTCACCTAAATTTACTGTGTTTGTAAACTTTACTGTGCATTCTCTTGTTAACTGCAAATTACACGGAGGAGAATTCTTGCCAAATATGCAATGAGCAAGTAGAATGTGACGTTCCTTTGGGGTTTATTGCTTTAGAGTTGACAAAAAAAAAGAGCATTTGGGTTTGGGTGTTGCTATCAATGGTACTTACATGTATTTGTGAATATGTACCAACTAACATGTATAGTTTGCTTAAGGGAAGTTTCAGTGTGTGACTCCAGTTCACTTTTGAAGCAAACTGACAAATCTTTGAATCACTGCTTTTTTTTTTAATTAGCAAAAGGCTGCACTTTGTGTGTCTCATTATACTAGCTTTGCTATAAATAAAATATCACATTTGGCATTTTGACACTTGCCGTTGTATATATTGAGCAAAAAGGCAGCTGTTGACTTTTAATATAGATCTGTTCAACTAGGGACCATATTCTACTATAGTTAGAGATTAAACAGGAGTAGAAAAAAATGCAGTTGGGTGGGTCAAGTAAGAAAAAGGAAGAACAAAATTTCATTATTGCAATATATTCACAGTAAGTTGTTTACCTGGAACATGGTTGGGTCCAATTTCAGCCATAATAATAGAAGTTCTTTTCAAAAATAGGCCATGTTCAGATCAGTTCTGCTGACCAGGCCACTGACCTCCAAAGACAAAAATCTTTAAGGCCACTTAGACTGTCAAAGAGATATGACCATTTGATTTATAAGGTACCATCATTTTGATAAAAGAAATCTTTAATTTACTATGAATATTTTAAAAATCTTCCCATAGATATTCCCTATGCGATTGGACTTCATTCCAGACCATCTTGCAACAAATGCTATTGACGTATTTGTGGTCTGTAAGGAATCTGTACTGAAATAATCAGAGAGATTATGTTTAAGCAAATGAAAAAAGTCCTTGAGGTACCCTATACCCTGGGAAGATAAAATTGTATCTTGCATGTCTTACATCTTGTGAGTATGTACCAACATATGCATAGGATCAGGCAATCAGAGAGGAGGTGGAATTTGAGCTTAACAGATGATACATTTAATAATGAGTAATAAGGAAGACTTGGGTGGTTCTTGTTCTTGAAAAGGGAATGGCATGAGTAAAGGTAGAGAGGAGGCAGTGAAATTTCTATTCCAGTCCATTTCTCTGTATTGCAACTTACTTTATCTTTCTAAAGAACAAATAGAATAATAAATACTTGTATAGCATTTACTTTGTGACAGATTCTTTTCTAGACACTTTACATGTGTTAATTGATCCCCACAATGCCCCTGTGTAAGTGCTGTTATTTAGACAGCCTCATGAAAATACAGAGAAGTCACTTGCCTAATGTCACACAGTGGATCCTGGCTCTTAACTATTGCATGTGCTTGTACCAGAAACCTTCAGTGACTTCATCTTCCACAGGACAAAAGACACTCAAGGATTTTCACAATCTGGCTCCAACTTATAATACTTTCTGGCCTTAGATCCTGCTTTTTTCCCCGCATGAATGTACATTCTAGCCCCTCTGTATTACTTTCTGTTTCCTGTGTGTAATCTGTATTCTCATCTGTAATTCTTTGGTCCTCTCACTCTCTCCAGTCCCTGTTTTATCAGTATCCTACCCATCTTCCGAGCATATCAGTTGCTATCTTCATAAAACCTTTTTTGATCCCTTACCTAAAGTGATTTTCCAACCCCTTGGTAACACTTTGCACATTTTTTATGGTAGCATATCTGTGTCATGGTTATTTGTGTGGTACTTGCCCTATTTTCTAGTATAATTTTTTTGTAGTATAGATTTTTTTAAAGTTCTTTGAGAGCAGGGAATATGATTTGTTGATCTTTGTATCTTAGGCAGCATTCAGTCTAAGCTTGCACAGGGCAGGAAAGAGGAAATGTTATGGTTAACACTAAGATTTTGAACCTGGGCTAGGGAATAAAATTGGGAATTTAGAGAGTGAGGTGATTGTAAAAAGTGAGGAGTTGATTTAGACATGTTCTGTTTGAGGTGATAGTAGGATATGCAAGAAGAAAGGGACTAGAGCTCAGAAGACAGGAATATTTGGCACTCCCAGTCTTATCTCATTTTCACAAGTATGATACTTAAATTGCTACATATCAAATTAGCTGCATATCCATAGAATTCAGGCTTCTTTTTTTTAAAAAATGTATCAGTTGGGGCCAGGTGCGGTGGCTCACGCCTGTAATCTCAGCACTTTGGGAGGCCGAGGCGGGCAGATCAGCTGAGGTCGGGAGTTCAAGACCAGCCTGACCAACATAGAGAAACCCCATCTCTACTAAAAATACAAAATTAGCCAGGCGTGGTGGCACATGCCTGTAATCCCAGCTACTCAGGAGGCTGAGGCAGGAGAATCGCTTGAACCCAGGAGGCGGAGGTTGCAGTGAGCCAAGATCGTGTCATTGCACTCCAGCCTGGGCAACAAGAGCGAAAACTCCATCTCCAAAAAAAAAAAAAGTATCAGTTGGTTTTTATTTAGAAAATGAAGTCCAGCTACTATATAATCATTCCTGACTTTAATTTTTTTTTTTTTTTTTTTTGAGATGGAGTTTTGCTCTTGTTGCCCAGGCTGGAGTGCAATGGCTTGATCTCGGATCACTGCAACCTCCGCCTCCCGGGTTCAAGTGATTCTCCTGCCTCAGCCTCTCAAGTAGCTGGGATTACAGGCATGCGCCACCACGCCCAGCTAATTTTTGTATTTTTAGTAGAGACAGGGTTTCTTCATGTTGGTCAGGCTGGTCTTGAACTCCCGACCTCGGGTGATCCACCCGCATCGGCCTCCCAAAGTGCTGGGATTACAGGCGTGAGCCACCGCGCCCAGCCCTGACTTTAATATTATAAGATGAAACTTAATTTGTAGGTTGTTTTGTTGATTCTCTGGGTCAATACGGAAGTTAGATTTCTAGGCTAGCCCACAAGTCCATGTTGTAGTTGAAATACTTACTTCTGCAACAACAAAATAGTAGAAAGCAATACAGTTGCTTTACTATTTGCATTTTCAAAAGATAAAAAGGAACAAGAAAGTGCAGCTTATTTTTCTTATTCTTGATCGGTTTGACTTCAAAGCTTACAGCATTCCTCCTATGTGATATAGTTGTTCACTGAGATTCTTCTTATATATGTCAACAGTGTTTTGGGTTTTCTGGCCCTATCAGAGGAATTACGGAGATTGTATGTGTAAGAGGTTTCCTGAAGTGGAATAACCTGTGGTAGAGTTAACTCAGTAGAGCTGAGGAAGATACGTATGAGTGAATGCAAGTGCATATGATATGTGTAGTTTGCTGTGGTGGGGGTGGGTAGGGGATGGTGAGGAACTTGTAATGGGTAAATAATCTCTCCCATGAGGAAGCAAGATGAAATGGAAGAGGTTGGATCCAATGTTCCTCATCTGAGCCCACGGGAAGGGCCATTGGTCTGGTCTAGAATGGTTACTGCTCGTTGAGGGGACCTCTATGGTTGGATAGAGTAAGGAGAAAAACAGTATTTTGTATGCCAGTTTAAGTATGATAAGGTGCAGATTAAGTCTTTTATGTTGAAATCTGGGTTCTGATTCTGGCTTTCCCATGGTTGTTTTGTTTGTGCTTGAAAATTTACCTAAATTTTGTTATTCTGTATTTTCCCCCAACTGAAAAATAGTTCCTGTCCCCCTTCATCTTCATGAATATCCTCTTACTTGAAAATAAAAGTGAGTGTATATGATATGTTAAATTCTTAGGAAAGTATTTTATTCAGAAAGTTAAAAGAGTATGGGGGCTGGGCTCACACCTGTAATCCCAACACTCTGGGAGGCCGAGATGGGCAGATCGCTTGAGCTCAAGGAGTTCGAGACCAGCCTGGGCAACATGATGAAACCCTGTGTCTACAAAAAATACAAAAATTAACCCGGCGTGATGGCGTGTTCCTGTAGTCCCAGCTACTCAGGAGGCGTAGGTGGGAGGATCTCATGAGCCTGGGAGGTGGAGGTGGCAGTGAGCCGAGACTGGACCACTGCACTCCAGCCTGGGTGACAGAGTGAGACCCTGTCTCAAAAAAAAAATATATATATATAGGGGAGAAGTCAGAACTCAGTTCAAATTCTGGTTCTGTTGTTTACCAGCTGAGGGGCTTTGAGCATGTTTCTTGGCCTCGGAGCTATAGCTTTTTCATGTATAAATGGGGATAATACTTCTTACCTTGAAGGGTGGTTGTAAGAATTAAAGTTAATATATCTGAAACATCTACCACAGTACAGGCACACATGGTAACTGCTGTTATTGTGGTTAAGCAACTAAATGGATTAATCTCTTATCACATTTGATACATGGAACATAAACATTGCAGTTGATTGTTTGCCCACTATACAGTTACTGAAGGCAATCTGATGTTTTTAAAGTAGGATATATCATTGTTTTATCCTTGGCTGCCCGTATCACTTTTTTTTTTTTTCCATTAAAAAAAGTAGTCTCGCTATGTTGCCCAGGCTGGTTTCAAACTCCTCCTGAACTCAAGCAGTTCTCCCGCCCTGACCTCCCAAAGTGCTGGGATTACAGGCATGAGCCACTGCCCAGGCCCTGCCGGTATCACTTTCACGATGTACATTCTAACCATGCCCCTGATACCTGGATTGCTATCTTCTTCCAGCTCAGTGCACTAAGAGTATCAGACAGCCTATCCAAATGTTTATATGCAGGTGCTGTGCTGCATATCAAAGGTAATGTGTATTTGGGGATTTTTCAAGTGTGATGACAGATTGTACTAAGCCACTAGCATCCTTCAACCTTCCTACACTAGCCAACATTTGCTAACTGGGTTATGGATGTAATCTGTAGTCCTAGGGTAGATTTCCCTGACTGGCTAGGTATGTAAACCATAACCCTAACCTCATTAGTTGAGGTTAGTCACTATCATGGACTGAATGCACCCCTCCTTCCAAATTCACATGTTGAAATCCTGACCCCCGATATGGTAGTATTAGGCAGAGGGGATTTGGGGAGGTGATTAAAAAGAGGTCTAGCCCACTTTGTGCTATATGAAGATACAGTGAGAATTTACCAGTTTGCAACCTAGAAGACCCTCACCAGAACCGGACCTTGCTGGCACCCTGATCTCAGATTTCCAGCCTCCAAAAATGTAAGAAATGAATTTTAATTGCTTTTAAGCCACCTGGTCCTTTGTTACAGCAGCCCAAATGGACTAAGACAGTAACCAAGTGTCAGTCAAGGGTTGTAAATGTAAAGGATGATTGATAATCACAGGTAGCCTACAAGATAATTTATGGTATAATCTTATTCATCTTCTTATGATGAAACGTAAAATGTGAGACTCTGTTTTTTTATTCTGTAGACAAAATACTTTGGGTTTAAAAATTTTTTAAATTGAGTCACTTAAGAAACCATAGCAAAGAATCTTACTAAGACAAATGTAGACAGTCATATATCAGCCTACTAAATCACCTTTTAGACTCCCACTCTGGATAAGATTTAGTGGATTAGGATTAGAAGACAAACCCTTTTATGTTGATATGTTGCTAATATAGGACTAATCCTAGAAACCTCATACTCTTTCTGAGGTTCTTACCATTCAGTAGGTAGCTATTATCGTGTAACCATTTAGAATTGCACCATTAGTTAAGTAAGATGTTGGCTTTAAGTGGACCACCCTGTATTGAAGATTTAATTATCCTTTATTGTGACTATCTTGACAGTTATCAGGGATGTTGGATACATTATGGGTTTTCCCTACTGTGCTATTTCTTTTATTTTTTGCCTCTGTAAGTTGCTGGGCACTGCTTTTTTTCTCTTTTTATTAGCCTAGAATTAACTAAAAGATTGTATCTCTTATCCATCACCTCCTACTGTGCTCTGCCCTTCCTCTCTAGGAGCCTCTTGTGGCAAATCTCCAACTTGGCCATTCAAGCAGTTCATACCCAGATGAAAAAGTTCAAGGTACAGATATCAGCCATTCTCAGTGGTCAGTTTCCATTGTCTTTACCAATAGCTCTCTGCTGTGCTCAGCTCCTGTTTCTCTGAGCTTGGGGTTTTACTGAGTTTTTTTTAGAAAATCCGTCAACTTATCTAATGAAGAAGACTCTTGTCTTTTGACTGTATTGATACAGGCTACAGAGGTACTTACTCCTTTTCTGTGAACCTGTTTTCTCTTGTATAGATTCAAGAAATTCTTCAGTGATTCTGCTTTGTTGATGGTATTCTTGTCATTTTCTCATGCTGCTATAGAATTTTGTACAAATTATATATATATATATATATTTTCTTAAGAAACTTAGTTTATCCAACAAAAGGACTATAACACTATTTTACATTCTTAATTCTGATATAAAGCACATTTTCAAATTAGTTGCCAACCTTTGTTTTAAAATTATATTGAAATCCTGGATCTAGATCTTCTAGACAGTTTCTTTGGTATATTATATTGGTCATTTCAGTGGGGTTTGGAGAAGACAGGAGAATAAATTGACTCACTTTACCTCCCAGCAATGTTTAATGAATGTTGATTGAATGAGTGAAATTAGTGGTTAGGTAGAGCAGTTGATTTGGCCTAAATAATATTTACAAATATGTATAGGAGATTTAGTCTACAGCAGTTGATTATCTTTGAAAACTTTTTTTTTTTTTTGAGACGGAGTCTTGTTCTGTCACCAGGCTGGAGAGCAGTGGTATGATCTCGGCTCACTGCCACCTCCACCTCCAGGGTTCAAGTGATTCTCCTGCCTCAGCCTCCTGAGTAGCTGGGACTATATAGGCTTATGCCACCACACCCAGCTAATTTTCGTATTTTTAGCAGAGACGGGGTTTCACCATGTTGGCCAGGATGGTCTCGATCTCTTGACCTTGTGATCTGCCCACCTCAGCCTCCCGAAGTGCTGGAATTACAGGCATGAGCCACTGCGCCTGGCCGAAAACATTTTTAATAGTGGGAAAGTTATGATACAATAATTTTCTTAAGGTCACACATTTAAGTAACCAGAAAAGGTTTAAGTTTTATGGCTCCTATTTATGGCAGGGACATATGTGTAATCAGTTAGAATGCAGGAGACATTATATTAAAGTGGCTAACAGGACAGACTGTAGAGCCTAGGTTCAAATTCTACCTGTTCTGTCTGGACATGACGGTTCATGTGCCTGTAATCTGAGCACTTTGGGAGGCTGAGATGGGAGGATCGCCTGAGCCCAGGAGTTTGAGACCAACCTGGGCAACATAGCAAGACTTCATCTCTACAAACATTTTTTTTTTTAATTGCTAGTCATGATGATGTGTGCCTGTAGTCCTAGCTACTCGGGAGGCTGAGGCAGAAGGATCGCTTGAGCCTAGGAGTTCAAGGCTGCAGTGAGATATGATTGTGCCACTGTACTCCAGCCTGGGCAATGGAACAAGACTCTGTCTAAAAAAAAAAAAAAAATTCTATCTGTTCAGCTTACTAGCAGCATGATTTTGGGCAACATACCTCAGAGGTCTGTTTCATGTATATAAAACACTTACAGTGCTTGGCACATAGCACTATGTAAGTGTCAACTAAAGTTAATCAGACTAACTTTTGAAGATCCTTAGCTATAGTCTTTTCGGGAGCCATAGGCAGTTATCTTAAAAATTGATCATAAATACTTTATTGTAATAAATATTAAGTTGTAGATATAAATGTTACCATACCGATTCTACTGTTTACATATAAATTCTAGTCCATGGACAACTGGCCACAGTGTTTACCTCATATGAATAGTACCACTACTGTAAAGAAGAGTAGTCTTACTGTTGAAAAAAGTAAATTTCAATATTGAATACAAATTGAAATCAGTGAGCCTAACTGTACATCAAATTAATCATGTAACCATCAAGGAAAAAAGGAATTATCAAGTAACTTTTCAACATAAAACTCTGACTGTGCTCTCTTAATGATGGGATATAACCTAAGGACAAAAAGAACTGCAAAGAAATACTGATCTTAGTAGGTAACAAACCCCCTACAACAGCTCTGCAGGGGAAATGTCCCCATTTTGCTGTTGAAGAAGCATATTCAAAGAAGGGAATGATTTACCTGGCATTAAATGATGCTGGAGTCATACCACACTGCTGTTTTTATAGTGTGCTGTTTCTGATGAGTCCTGTTTTAACCATCCTGGTTTGTTTAGTACCTCTCTCTTATTAACACCCTCTGTAATTATTAGAACCACATTTTCAAGAACTTAGTAACCATTTGAACCCCCTTTTTTCAATAATTTCATTCCATGTAATCAGGCCTAGTTTTTTGAAATCTGCTTTCCTAAGGGGTATTTGACCTACCCATTCTTTACAAATTCTGAGATGACCTAGATGACCTAACAGCTTTTTTCCTAATTCCTCCTGCTTCACCAATAACTAGTTCCTGGAATATTAGCTAGTGTCCAAGTCACAATTATTTATGGTCTGTATGATAACTAAGTCTGGAAGTTGGATATGAGAGAATTGCATTCTTTTTTTTTTTTTTTTTTTTGGAGACAGGATCTCACTCTGTCGCCCAGGCTGGAGTGCTGTGGTGCGATTTTGGCTCACTGCAACCTCCACCTTCCGGGTTGCAGTGATCCTCCTGACTCAGCCTCCTGAGTAGCTGGGATGACAGGCACGTGCTACCAAGCCCAGCTAATTTTTGTATTTTTAGTAGAGACAGGGTTTTACCATGTTGGTCAAGTTGATCTCAAACTCCTGACCTCAGGTGATCCGCCCACCTCGGCCTCCCAAAGAGCTGGGATTACAGGCATGAGCCACCGCGCCCAGCCTGAGAATTGCATTCTTAAAGACATTAATCTGTTTGTAATTTAGGATGTCTTATAGTGATTTGGTGGTGAGACATACGGGAAGGGGTGGTAAAGAGTGCAATTGTTGGACCTGTGCTTTTTACGTGAAATAGCGGAAATGAGTATTACTTTACAAACTGGTTTTGGAAATGATTCATTCATTAAAGAAAGCAAATAAAAATAGCAATAAAACTAGGACATAATAACTGGTTGTTAAATGAACTCTATGTCCTTTGAAAAGGAGATGATTAAGGAAGAAAATATGTAAATAACTTGGGTACACAAGCTGCTATTTGAAATTCTGCTGAGTAAAAATGATAGGAGGAGTTAAACTGTTCAGGAATTTAGCTCTTGCTTAAAGTATTCGTGTAGCAAGTCTCTGTTTTTTTTAAATTACAGTGTTTGAAGATCCTCTTCTTGAATTAACAGAATCAAAGTGAAATTCCATTTTTTAAATCACTCCTAAACTGTCTTTAGTGTGTGGCTTTAAAATATAATTCTATGTAATATACTAGAGAAATTCTCAAGAAAATCTAGGACTAGGATTTCAATATAATTTTAAAAGGAAGTAAGGTGGGCAATCAGATTAATTTGAAAAAGTGCTTTATATCACTAGTAAGAATGCAAAACTGTGTTATAGTGCTTTCATTAGGTTAACTGCGTTTCTAAACACCTGGAGAAAATTATTTTAGTATTTTCTGTCCAAAATAGCGGTTTGTGGAAAATGCGCCACTTGTCTGGGGAAATCAGTGTTTATGAGACATCTTTGTTAATGTTTCTAAAGTTTTAACTCTCTGGACAAACATTCAAGAAAAATTTAACCGTTATACAAAAATATTCCTACATAGTAAACTTTGAGCACACCTGTGGAATTAGACTTGGTTCATGTTCTAACCAACTCCTTCTAGCTGGTACCTTGTCATTTAGCCTGTTACTGAGTTTCCTTATTGAATTGTTTTGAGAATTAACTTGAGCACACATAAAGCACTTAATACTACACCCAGCACTAAGAAAGCACTCAAAATATAGTGGCAGCTATTATTATTTATCCTTCTTCCTCTCCGTTTTCTCCTCCAGATTTATGAGTGATAGGGACAGAAAATTTCTTATCAGAGTGCCCTTTATTTTAATCTCAAGGTTTTGAAGTAGAATTTAGGACAAAAATAGATTTTTCTGAACCAAAACACTGAAGATTCTGTTTGGGAAGTGAGAAAGCAAGCTGCTAAACACCTACTCTACTTGTGCAGTGACAAGAAAATTGAATTTCTCATTCGTTTCCTGCCCCTAGCCCTTGCCTTCAGTTTCTCTGCCTCAGTATGAAAGTATCTGTATTCCTTTGGGGACAGTTGCCTCACTGAAGCCACAAAGAGCAGTCTCCAGGAGTTGTGTGGCAAGCTAACTATAACCTTTTGGAAGAACATCTGGATACAGTTTTCATTTTTAAAATGTATCGTTTTTTAGGTCATTAGATTTATATAGTTCAAATTTATTGGTGTCAGTTCTCTTCCTAGGTTGTACCATCCATTTTGAAAAGATGTATGTCTTTTATCCAGAAGATGTAAAGTATATAGGGTCATAATCAATAAAAATCTCTATCTTCAGTTAAACTACTGGAGTTTTCCCTTCTTCAAGTTTTCAGAATATAATCATTATACCAAACACACGTGTGCGTATGCATATATATCCATCCATACAAATATAACTTTCCTTTATTATGATTACTCAGTTGCAAGCAGTGTAGAAGTTATAATATTTGTTTTATTATAATCATTTCAGCAATATGGATAGGGCTACTGGACCCTGGAATTTGAAAAGAGAGGATCTTTTTTATGTTTTTTTTTTTTAATTTTGATAAAATATGCATAACGAAATTTACCATCTTAACCATTTTTAAGTGTACAGTTCAGTGGCATTAAGTTTATTCACATTGTTTTACCACCGTCACCCCGATCCATCTGTAAAGCTCTTTTCATCTTGCAAAACCAAAACTCTACACCCATTAAACAACTTAAAAAGAGAGGATCTTAACATCAGAATCACATAATTACTACTCTATAAACATCTGATGGGTGTTTACTTCTAAAACAACTGCTTTCTTTTTTAATTGACCTTTCACTATACTTAGCCTCTTCTAGGAATTATTATATGTAATCTACTCAGTCATATTTTCTTTAATTTTTCTCTTTCTACAACTTTACTTTTCCAAAGGTGATGTAAATTACATGTTTTATGTTCTCCCATGTTTATACTCTACTTAACCTTCCCTCACTCCCATAGGCTTGATGAGTGTATATTGTCAGAGCATTATTTCCTGTACCCACTGCTATGTTTGTTTGTTTGTTTATTTATTTTGAGATGGAGTTTTGCTCTTGTTGCCCAGGCTGGAGTACAATGGTGCAGTCTTGGTTCACTGCAACCTCCACCTCCCAGGTTCAAGCGATTCTCCTGCCTCAGCCTCCTGAGTAGCTGGGATTATAGGCACCTGCCACCATGCCCGGCTAATTTTTGTGTTTTTAGTAGAGACGGGGGTTCACCATGTTGGCCAGGCTGGTCTCGAACTCCTGACCTCGTTATCTGCCTGCCTCTGCCTCCCAAAGTGCTGAGATTACAGGTGTGAGCCACCACGCCTGGCTATGTTTATATTTTTAAAAGTCCTAAAAGTCAGATGGTTTAATGTACATACATTCTTGACATTTTAAATACCTCCAATTTTGAAAGCATTCTTTCTCTGGGCTGTTAGATACATGTATGATTCATAAAATGAAATAGGGTTGCCTGTAGTTATTTCTTGAGTTGCCATTTAGAGTCTTCTGGCCTTGTCATCTGTCTAGGGAAGAAATCCAGCATACCTTACTGTCATGTATGTCATTGTAGATCTTATAGCTTCAGAAAATTCTCTTTCCTTTTCTTCAGAATTCACCAGTTTTAAAGCTTTTTCCTCTCCTTCAATTTTGTCACCAAAATGTGGCTTTGCAGTCACTTGACCTGTAACTTTACACACTTAAGTCTGCTAGACAGAAAAATGCTGTTGCATTCTTAAAAGCTTTTAAGCAGTTATTTGGACTTTTAGTAGAATTAATTAACTAATTTATTTATTTATTTATTTAGAGACAGGGTTTCTCCCTGTTGCCCAGCCTGGAGTACAGTGGTGCAATCATAGCTCACCACAGCCTTGACGCCCTAGGCTCAAGTGATCCTCCCATCTCAGCCTCTCCCATAGCTGGGACTACAGGCATGGACACTACCATGCCCAGCTAATTATTTTGCTTTTTGTAGAGGTGGGGTTTCACCATGTTGTCCAGGCTGCTCTCAAACTCCTGGGCTCAAACAGTCTTCCTGCCTTGACCTCCCGAAGTGCTGCGATTACAGGCGTGAGCCATGGCATCTGGCCAGAATTTCTGAGTTACCAGATTGCTAAACAACTTCACAGAAAAATTAATAATAGTCTCAAAATATTGTTTTCTTCTGACTCCTCTCACCATAAATTCATGCTTCTCCACTCTACTCTCCCCAGCAGATTCTGGAAGTTTCCTAGCAAAATTGCATATTGAAGCACATTCAAACTTAAGGTTGAAGAAATCTACACAAAGGACATCATTGTGTTATTTTAGACTCTAGGTGGAGTCTGTACTATTTGTTCTACCTTCACCCTTATTTAGAATTGATAAGAATGCACTGAGCCTTAGTACTCTCTGGGGTCTGACTCTGCAGGCAGATAGATATTCACTGGGATCCAGAACCTATCATACATCACTGTAGAAAAAGATTCAAATACAGTCAACGTATTTGAAAATCAAAACCGTATTTTCCAAACAGTCAAGTTAAAAGTGTATGTCTGCACAAAGCCTATCCAGTTAAGACAGTGTGTGTCACTATTTTTCCTTTTGCAAACTTCCTTAGTGTCTGAACATTAAGTGCATATTTCTTAGGCAAATTATGCATCAGTACTTTTCTCTTCACAATTAAATATTTCCAGCAGTTTGGGACTCATTTTTAACTATTCCTCTCCCTGTTTTTTGAGACAGAGTCTCACCCTGTTGCCCAGGCTGGATTGAAGTGGCGCAATCTCGGCTCACTGCGACCTCTGCCTCCCAGGTTCAGGTGATTCTCAACCTCCCAAGTAGCTGGTATTACAGGCATGCTCACCACACCTGGCTAATTCTTCTATTTTTAGTAGAGACGGAGTTTTGCCATGTGGGCCAGGCTGGTCTTGAACTCCAGGCTTCAAGTGATATGCCCACCTTGGCCTCCCAAAGTGCTGGGATTACAGGCATGAGCCACTGCACCCAGTCTTTTTTTATTATTATTATTTTAAGCATTCTTCTGAGCTGACAAATGATTATCAAAGTGATTCTGATTTATGATTAGTTTATCCCATTTTTTGAAAAGTATGTTTTACCTTCTCTAGGCCAACCTGCAATAAATAAGACCCAGTTTTAGTGGGAGATACAATTAAACAGTTGACCGGAAGTCAGTAAGAAGAGTGCTAAAATAGTAGTTAAGTGCATATTGCAGTTGAAGCATATTAGATGTGCCTCTAACTCAGGCATGGAAGGTTAGAAACGACTACATAGAGGAATGACATCTAAGCCAAGATGTAAAGAACAGATAGGATTTGGCTAGAGAAGGAAGGGCCGTAAGAATGTTCCAGGTAGAAGGAAGCCTCAGAGGTTTAAAAGAATATATTACATGTAGGGGTCCTGGAAGCTCAGTGTAACAGGAGGAGTTTGAGGGAAGGAGAGGCATCAGATGACTCTGGATGGGGAAACAGGGACTAGGTAATGAAGAGCTATAATGAAATATAATTCCACTTTTCTTTTTAAAACAGATTTATTGAGGTATAATTCACATCATACAGTTTACCCCTTTAAAGTGTACATTTCATTGTTTCTTTAGCATATTCACAGTTATACAATCATCACCACAGTTGATTTTAAAACATTTTTGTCACCTCAAAAAGAAAACCTGTACCTTTTAGCTAGCACCCCTCCAACTACCCTAGTCCTAAGTAACTACTAATCTACTTTCTGTTTCATACAGTTTACCTATTTGGATATTTCATATAAAGGAAATGATAACGTGGTCTTTTGTGACTGGCTTCTGTCACTTAGCATAATGTCAAGGTTCATACATATTGCAACATGTATCAGTACTTCATTTTTATTACCAAATGATATTTCATTGTATAGATATACCACATTTTATTTTTCCATTCATCAGTAAGTAGACATTTGGGTCCTTTCTACTTTTTGTGACTATTACAAATAACGCCTCTGTGAACCATGTACAGGTTTTTGCATGGACATACATTTTCATTTCCCTTGCATATATACTTAGCAATGAAATTGCTGAGTCATACAGTCATTGTATCTTTAACTTTTTGAGGAACTATCAGACTGTTTTCCAAAGTGGTTGTACCATTTTCCATTTCTGTTACCAGTATAGGAGGGTTCCAGTTTCTCCACATCCTCACCAGTACTTGTTATTTGTGTTTTTGATTCTAGCCATCCTGTTGGGTATGAAGTAGTTTCTCTTTTGGTTTTGATGCGCATTTCCCTGATTACTAATGATGTAGCGCATCTTTCCATATGCTTATTGGCCATTTCTGTATCTTCTTTGGATAAAAGTCTATTCTGATCCTCTACCCTTTTCTTTTTTTTTTTTTTTTTTGGTGAGAGATTCTCACTCTGTCACCCTGGCTAGAGTGCAGTGGAGCAATCTCGGCTCACTGCAATCTCTGCCTCCCAGCTTCAAGTGATTCTTGTGCTTTAAGCCTCCGGAGTAGGTGGGATTACAGGTGCATGCCACCATGTCCAAGCTAATTTTTGTGTTTTTAGTAGAGATGGCTTTTTGCCATGTTGGCCAGGCTGGTCTCGAACTCCTGGCCTCAAGTGATCCACTCGCCTTGGCCTCCCAAAGTGCTGGAATTACAGGCATGAGCCACTGCACCTGGCCCTCTACCCATTTTTAAATTGGATTACTTGTCTTTAATATTGAATTGTAACAGTTCTCTTTTCTTTTGTTTTTGAGACTAGGTATCACTCTGTTGCCCAGGCTGGAGTGCAGTGACCCCAATCATAGCTCACTGCAGCCTCGAATTCCTGGGCTCAAGGTATCCTGCTACCTCAGCCTCCCAAGTAGCTGGGACTACAGGTGCACATTACTCTGCCCATCTAACTTTTTAATTTTTTTATAGAGATGGGGTCTTGCCATCTTGCCCAGGCCAGTCTTGAACTCATGGCCTCAAGCAGTCCTCTTACCTCGACCTCCCAAAGTCTCGGCATTACAGGTGTGAGCCACCTTGCTTGGCCTGAGTTAATTTTATATATGGTGTGGGTAGGGGTCCAAACTCATTCTTTTGCATGTGAATATCCAATTGTCCCACTGCTACTTATCAAAAATACTATTCTTTCCCAATTGAATAGTCATGTCACCCTTGTTGAAAATCAACTGATCATAAATGTGAGAGTTTATTTCTGGAATCTCAAGTTTTTTTCCATTGATCTATGTCCTTATACCAGTGCTACATTATCTTGATTACTATAGCTTTGTAGTATTATAGGTTTTGAAATTGAGAAGTTTGAATCCTCCAACTTTTCTCTCTTTAAAAAATTCTATGGCTATTCTGAGTCCCTTGCATTTCCATATAAATTTTAGGATCAGCTTATCAATTTCTGCAACAACAATGACAAAAACCCAGCTGGGCTTTTGGTAAGGATTGCATTGAATCTGTAGATCAACTTGGAAGTATCGTCTAAGTCTTCTAATCTATGAGTATGAAATGTCTTTCTATTTATTAAATCTTTAGTTTCAGCAACATTTTATAGTGTTCAGTGTACAAGTCTTGTACTTTTTTTGTTTGTTTTTTTGAGAGGGAGTCTCACTCTGTCGCCCAGGCTAGAGTGCAGTGGCACGCTCTTGGCTCACTGCAACCTCGGCCTCCTGGGTTCAGGCAATTCTCCTGCCTCAGCCTCCTGAGTAGCTGAGATTACAGGCACCCGCCATGATGCCCAGCTCACGCCTGTAATCCCAGCACTTTGGGAAGCCGAGGCGGGCAGATCACGAGGTCAGGAGATCGAGACCATCCTGACTAACCTTGAAACCCCGTCTCTACTAAAAAAAAAATACAAAAAATCACCCGGGCATGGTGGCAGGTGCCTGTAGTCCCAGCCACTTGGGAGGCTGAGGCAGGAGAATGGCATGAACCCAGGAGGCGGAGCTTGCAGTGAGCCGAGATGCACCACTGCAGTACAGCCTGGGCGGCAGAGCGAGACTCCATCTCAAAAAAATAAAATAAAATAAAAAACATGCTCACAATACTTACATTAGCCTATAGTTGGGCAAAATCATCTAACACAAGGCTATTTTATAATAAAGTGTTGAATATCTCTTGTAATTTATTGAATATGGCACCAAATGTGAAAAACGAACTGGTTTTATAGGTACTCCAGTACATACTGGTTTTGCACGATGGTCAAGTTGAAAAACTGTAAGTCACGGACCACGGGGACACTCTATGTACATTTAGAACTAATCTAAGTTCACTTTCAAATGACACTATACCACTTAACAAGTAGTACAATTACTTTATAACAGAATATTCCCAATTCCTTTGTCCTCTTCCTTATTGCTGTCATTCATTTTACTTATCCATAAGCTGTAATCACTGACACATTGTTGCTATTATTTGTTTTGAACAAACTGTTGTCTGTCAGTTAGGAATAAGAAAAAGATTTTATTTTGCCTTCATTTATTCCTTCTGTAATGTGCTTTCTTTCCTTATGTAGGTCCAAATTTCTGACTGAAATCATTTTCTTTCTCTCTAAAGATTATCTGTTATCATTTCTAGCAAGACAAACTTTCTGGTGAAGAATTCTCTCAATTTTTGTTTGAGAAAGTCTTTATTTCTGTTTCATTTTTGAAAGATAATTTTACTGGATACAGAAGTCTAGGTTCATGTTATTTTTCTTTCAACACTTAAAATATTTCACTCCTCTCTCCTTGCTCGTGTGATTCCTGATGAGAAGTCTCATGTAATTCTTATCTTTGCTCTTCTGTAGGTAAGGTAGTTTTTTCTCTGGCTTTTTTCAGTATTTCCTCTTTATCTTTGATTTTCTACAATTTGAATATGATATACCTGTGTGTAGATTTTATCTCCCTTGATGTCTTTGGGGTTTAGAAACTGTTTTTTTTGTTTGTTTTTTTGGGTTTTTTTTTTTTTTTTTTTTTTTTTTTTTTAAAGACAGGGTCTCACTCTGTTGCCCAGGGCGGAGTACAGTGGTTGCCCAGTCTCAGGTGATTCTCCCACCTCAGCCTCCCAGGTAGCTGAGACTACAGGCATGCGCCACCATACCCAGCTAATTTTGTTTGTATTTTTTGTAGAGACGGGGTTTTGTCATGTTGCCCAGGCTGGTCTCAAACTCCTGGCCTCAGGTGATCCATCCTCCTTGACCTCCCAAAGTGCTGGGATTACAGGTGTGAGCCACGGCGCCTGGCCTAGACTTCTTAAATAAGGCCTGAGATCTGCAGTTCTTTGAGTTATATTCCCCTTTGATCATACAGGAGTCCTGTCAATATGAATGACGGTAAGGTACATGGGGAGGGGAAGAGTTCTATAATCCTATGAGGAGATCTCAGTCTTTGAGTGAGCCTGTGCCCTGGGCTGTGATCTTCACAAGTGCTTCTTGGTGCCTTGCCCCACTTAGGTGAGACAGGAAAGCTAGAGAGGGCTGGAGTTGGGTATTCAGTTCAGCTCCGGTGAAATAGTTTCTTTTCAGGCACGCCTTGTTGAAAACAGTGTGCTCTGGGCTTATTTCAAAATGACTTATTTCCCCTTTCCCCTGCCAGAAGCAGGAGGGGATTTTTTTTTTTTTTTTTTAATCTTCACTGTGAGGACCTCATAGGGCTCCTAGAGATAAAATGCAAAAATGTGCCCTCACTCTCCTTGCTCAAGCCTGGGCCCCTCTGGAATTTTTAACTCTCAGATTTAATCATACTGAGCCTCAGGAATTCCTCTTACAGGTTAGATTTTCCTACCTTCATTCAGGTTTCTGTGGAGGTTTTGAGGTTTCCGCACCTATAACTTGTGATTTTTTGTATCTACCTGTTTGTCTTTCCAATTTTGCAGGCAGCGGTTTGCCCTGTGTCTTCAGTTCTCTGATGGATTTAAGAAGAGTTGTTTATACTGATTTTGTTCAGCATTTTTCTTATTCCATGAATGAGGATGACAACTTGTAACCTCCTTACATGCCTGACTGGAAATCGGAAGTTACCTGCTTAGTTAAATTTATTCCTAGATTTCTTGTTTTGGGGTTTTGTTGTAGTTGTTACTTTTTTGTAGTTGTTTGCTTGCTGTTATATTATAAATGCATTGCCTTCTTAGTTTTTGGATTTCTCACTGCTAGTGTATAGGAATACAATTAATTTTTATATATTGGTCTTGTATCCTGCAATCTTTCTAAGCTTATTAGTTCTAATAATGTTTTAAAGAATTTGTTTTTGCGCTTAATTGCTCTAGATGTTACCTCCAGTACATGTCGAATAGAATTTGGAAAAGTAGAAATCCTTGTCTTTTAAATTTTATTTATTTATTTACTTATTTATTTTTTGAGACAGAGTCTCGCTCTCTCTCCCAGGCTACAGTGCAGTGGCCCAATCATGGCTCACCGCAGCCTTGACATCCTGGGCCAAGTGATCCGCTTACCTCAGCCTCTCGAGTAGCTGGGAACCATAGGTGCACACCACCATGCCTGGCTAATTTTTGTATTTTTGTGGAGACAGGGTCTCCTGATATTGCCCAGACTGGTCACAAACTCCTGGGCTCAGGAGATCCTCCCGCCTCAGCCTCCCAAAGTGCTGGGATTACAGGCATGAGCCACTGCGCCTGGCCTAAAATTTTTATTTGTTTTTTGGTTTTTAGGGTTTTTTTAGAGGCAGGGTCCTGCTCTGTCACTCAGGCTGGAGTGCAGTGGTCCAATCACAGCTAATTGTAGCCTTGAACTTCTGTGCTCAAGTGATGCTCCTATCTCCGCCCCACGAGTAGCTCGGACTACAGGTGTGCACTACCGTGCCCAGCTAAGTTTTAAATTTTTGTAGAGACAGCATCTCACTGTGTTGCCTAGGCTGATCTCCAGCTACTGGCATCAAGGTATTCCCCCACCCCCACTTGGCCTCCCAAAGCACTGGAATTACAGGTGTAATTCTATACCCAGCCACAAATTTAGTGTTTAACAAACTGCCAAATTGTTTTCTGAAGGGCCTTTTACACTGTGTTAAGAATTTGGACCCCATTGTAAGGGCAGTAGGAGGCTATTTTAATATGAATCCTGAATTTAATATTTTGAATTTGAAGAGGTTGTCAAACCAGAGAATCTGCCTAGTGGGCAGGTGAAACTCATAAGTCAGACTAGGATTGGAGATACAGAATGAAAAGTCATCAGCCTATGACTGATTTTGGAAGCTATTGTAGGAATATTTTCCAGGGAGAGTAAGAAGAGTAAGGAGAAACAAGAGAACCCAGGAAAGAACCCTGAAGGTCACCAGCATTTTAAGGATGCTGAGAAAAAGCTAGACTCAAGAGGAAAACCAGCCAGGCATGTTGGCTCGTGCCTATAGTCCTAGCTACTGGAAAGGCTGAGGTGGGAGGATCACTTGAACCCAGGTGTTCAAGGTTGCAGTGAGCTATGGACTACACCACTGCACTCCAGTCTGGGTGACAGAATGAGACTTGGTCTCTAAAAAGGAAAACGAAACAAAAATTTGATACTATAGAAGCCACGGGAAAATGTATTTGCAAGAAGAAAGAAGTGGTTGGCAGTCTTGGCCAAAAAGGAATTAAGGTATGAAATCAGTTTCTCCAACTATGCTCTCACAACACGGAAAACTTCTGTGACCAAGTGTGTGTTTTTCCTGCACTCACCAAGCAATTCTACGGCAAGTATCAGCTGGGTGTCCTGTAATTCAACTCAGTTCTGTTGCCATCTACCTGGCATATAGATCCCATAGATTGAGGGGTCAAACCTACAAGCTGCCCCCAATCCTAAGCCAGTTGCAAGCCTCGGGTTGTTTTTACCTGTGCTTCTGATCAACTGGTTAGAAATCAACTTTCCCATCACCTCCTCCTCAGTTTCAACTACTTTGCTGGGACAGCTCACAGAACTCAGGGAAATACTTACTTACCTTTACTGGTTTATTATGAAGGATACTACAAAGAATACAGATGAAGAGATGAATAGGGCAAGGCATGTGGGAAGGGGCGGGAAGCTTCCGTGCCCTCTCCTGGCATACCACCCTCCAGGAAGCTCCATGTGTTTAGCTACCCAGAAGCTCTTTGAGCCCAATCCTTTTGGGGTCTTGTGGAAGCTTCATTACATAGGCATGATTGATTAAATCCTTGGCCATTGACGAGCAATTCAACCTTTAGCCCCTCTCCCTTACCTGGATGTTGGCAAGGTGGGACTGAAAGTCCCAGTCTTCTAATCATGCCTTGATCTTTCCCATGACCAGCCCCCATCCTGAAGCTACATAGGGGCTGCCAGCCACCAGCCATCTCATTAGCTACAAAAGAAACTCTCATCACTCTGGAAATCCCAGGGATCTCAGGGGCTGTGTTGGGAAGCCTGATGAAAATCAAATATTTATTTCACAGTATAACAAGATGAAATTGAAAAGTACATTAGTCTTAAAGAGATTGTTAATAGCCTTGGAGAGAGACGTTTCAGAGAAGTGGTAAAGTAGGAGCCTCATTCACAGTGGGTTGCAAAATAACTAGTAGGGAGAGTAAGACAACAGTGAAGATGGAATTTTGCCTGTGCAAGGGATAGTGAGGTTAGTCAACATCCATCGTAATGAGAAGGAGCCAGCAGAGAGGGAGGGATTGATAATGCACCAAAGTTGATAGATCAAGGACCCTAATAGTACCAGAGTGGTAAAGCATAACAGAGGGATAGATTTTAGGAGACAAGAAACACTTTGTGACATGAGGAAAGGAAGTGAGGACCAATGAAGATGAAGTTAGGTTACAGATAATGGTGGTAGGAAATTGAGGGAGTCCACCTCTGTGACTTATAGAGATAACAAGAAGGGTCACTTGCTAGGAGTGAAATGGGAGTGATAATACTGGTAGGAAGTTTGAAAAGAGTATATATTTTAAAAATGGTTGAAAAGCTACTGTACAGAATAAGAGAGAGCCAGCTAAAAAAACAGATTTCTGGGTTGTATTGAGGGGCTAGTTGGGTCCATAAAGCATAAATTTTTTAATGATGCCAATCTTACAGTTATGTACTTTTATCCAGCAGAGTTTAGTAGTCTGGGTAGAGATGTGGGAAAGGAGACCATTGTGTTCATCCAAAACTGACATGGGAGAAAGCAATGACATGGGAGAAAGCAATGAATGAACTAAGCATAGTGCTCTGTAATAGACATTGAAGTCAGGTCTCAGGTCTAATCTTGACTGCTTAGTGAGTTAGGCAGATTACTTAACCTTCTCTCAGCTTCAGTTTCCTAATAATCATACTGAATCATATCAGTTTTCTAATCATAATCATCTATTCAGGCAGATTATTCAACCTTCTCTAAGCTTCAGTTTCCTAACAATAATCATACTGAATCATATCAGTTTTCTAATGATAATAATCTGTTCTCAGTGATGGGAATTAAATGGACAAGTGAACTCCTTAACGCATAGTTTGGGATACATGATACATGTCAATAAGTAGCAGTTTTTAACATTATTTGTGACCCAATTCTGTCACTTATAAGCTAGGTGACCTTAGGCAAGTTTCTTTCCTTTTTATCTATAAAAAGGAAATTATAATACTTGTTAGGGATTTTCAGCTGGGTATATTTTGAGGAAAAGATGTCAAGCTCTACGCCTGATACAGCCTTTAACAACTCAGTAAATGCTAGTTGAAGCAGAATCTGTAAGGAATTTTTTAGAAAATTAGGTTGGAAAGTTAGGTTTGGAATTTTGGCCTTTGTCTTATCATTAGTAGGGTATCTTTAAAAGTTCATGAGCAGGCTGGGCATGGTGGCTCATACATGTCCTAGCACTTTGGGGGGCCAAGGTGGGAGGATTGCTTGAGGCCAGGAGTTCGAGACCAGCCTGGCCAACATAATGAGTCCTTGTCTCTTACAAAAAAAGAATTCATGAGCCAGGAGATAACATAAAAGTGGTATTTTAGAAATATGCATTTATAAGTAGTGTGGTAGGATCTATGTCTCAGCTGGATATCTCCTTTTCAGACAGGCCTTCCCTAACCACCCTGAATCTAAGATAGCAGCACTCCCTCCTCCTATCTAATGCCTTACCCTGTATGATTTTTCTTATGGCATTTATGACTGCAATTACCTTGCTTATTAATATGTTCACTTTTTTACTGGCTCCCTCCACTAGAATATATGCTTCATGAGAAAAGAAATATTATCTGTCTTACTACTGCTATATCTCAGCACCCAGAATGTGCCTAGCACATGGAAGGCATTGGATCTGTTTGTTGAATGAATGAAATATAGTAGGAACTGGAAGTAGAGAAACTAGTTAAGAAATTATTGGAATGATTTCAACATTAGGACATAAAGATCTGGACAGGAATAATGATAGCAATGGAAACAGAAGGAACAAATAAGAAAAATTGAAAACCAAATACATCATGTTCTCACTTATAAGTGGGAGCTAAATGGTGAGAACACATGGACACATAAGAGGGGAACAACACACACTAGGGCCTATCCGAGGGTGGAAGAAGGGAGAGGATCAGGAAAAAATAACTAATAGGTACTAGGCTTAATACCTGGATGATGAAATGATCTGTACAACCAACCCCCATAACACAAGTTTACCTATGTAACCTGCACATGTACCCCTGAACTTAAAAGTATTTTAAAAATTACAAAGAAGGATGATTTTTGACATATTAGAGGGCATAATAAGAAGCAGGCAATAAGAATGATACCAAGATTTCCAAACTGGGTGATTGATGGAGTGACAGTATTGTCATTGAAGGTATCTGCCTTCAATAACTTTTTATGACCAGATTTAGAAGAAACAGTGCCTGGCATACACTGATGGGCAGTAAATATCTGAATGAATGAAACAAAATGGGGGAAGTCAGAAGGTTACATGTAAGATACATTATATGTTTAAAGAAGCAATAGAACATCTAAGCAGATGGAGAAGAAGGCTAAAATTCTAGAAAGAATAAAGGGCCTTGGGATTTACAACATTCAACAGAAAAGCTGCAGCCCTAGAGATAGGCAAGCAGCAGGATTATGGTTTTAAGAAAGTAAAGACACAAAGACACGCCTATAGTCCCAGCTACCCAGGAGGCTGAGGCAGGAGAATCGCTTGAACCTTGGAGGCGGAGGTTACAGTGAGCCAAGATCGCGCTACTGCACTCCAGCCTGGGCAACAGATTGAGACTCTATCTCCAAAAAACAAACAAACGAACAAACAAAAAAGGTAAGTAAAGACATTTAGTTCCAGGAAGGGAAGAGATAGCTACGAATATTACATGCTTCAGAAAACTGAAGAAAATGGGGACTAGGGAAGATCTTTGGATTTAGAGATTTAGAGGACATGATCTGGGAAAGAACAATTTAAATACAGTAATGAAGTGAAAGTCATATTACAAAAGGTGTGAAGAATGAGTGGACAGTGAGATAAATTTCACCCACAGAGGTAATGAGAAGAGAGACACTGTGGTGATCTGAGGTGGAGTCATTTAAGGGAAGCTTAGCTTGCCTTGTTTTGTTTTTTTATGAATACAGAAGCATAGTTTAGAGAGAGAGCAGAAAGATCCATAGCCTAAGACAATTGTCAATTTTTAATATGCACAAGAATAACATGGGAATTTTGTTTAAAATGCAGATTGCTAGCACCACTTACAGAGAATCCGATTCAGCAGGTCTGCAGAGCAGGACATTTTTAAACAAATAACCCTCATCACCACCAACCCCCAACCTGCACCCAGGTTACAACTGTAGTTAAGTATTTAGACCGTACTTTGACTAACACTAGTTCAGGGAGTAATTGAAGTAAAAATAAATGGATGAGAAGGGAATTTGATTTTTAAAAACCAAAGTAAAGGGTTAAGCTTCAGGAAAGAGAAGAAGTTCATCTTCTTTATTTTTTAATTTTAACTTTAATTTTTTTTTTTTATTTTGGAGACACGGCCTCACTTTGTTGCCCAGGCTGGGCAGTTGCTCAGTCATGGCTCACTGCAGCCTTGAACTGGGCTCAAGCATTCCTCCCACCTCATATTCCTTAGTAGCTGGGACTACAGGCACATACCACCATGCCTGCCTACTTTTTTTCTATTTTTATTTTTGTAGAGACAAGGTCTCACTATGTTTGTTGCCCAGCTTGGTCTTGAACTCCTGGCCTCGAGCGATCCTCCCATCTTGACTTCGCTAAGTGCTAGGATAACAGGTGTGAGCCACTATGCCTATTCATCTTCTTTAAAACAAACGGAAAAAGAAGATGGTATAAGAGAAATTTTGAGATGTTCGGAACTGAGTTTCCAGGAGATTTTTCAGGTGGAGGAGGGCAAATAAGGTTTGCTTCATTTGTATGACCTTGATTTTTTTCCTTTGAGTGGGAAGAAAGGTTATCTACTTTGGGCAGATATGAGAGAACTAAGAGTGTGAAGAGGTTTGGAACAGCTGCTCTGGGGGCTGCAACAGTCAACAAAGGATGAACATAAGCATCGCTGAGCAGCATTAAGATTCTGCTAAGTAGGTGGCATATGAGTTTTTGGTGGACCCAGTCGGCAGTTATTTGACACCTTTTCTAGGCAAGGAATAGTCCTAAAAACATGTATCTTCTAATAATTCATCCTGGCTCCATCACCTGGAGTTTACTTAAACCTTTTTGGATGCTTTCAGCCTACGCCACTTCCTACAATAATGAACTTTATATATTTACTGTATAAAGTATCTAAAAGTTACCTTTCAACTCAAAAGATACTTCCTTTGATTTGCTAGAACATATTTACATTTGTTCTCTCCATACTGTTTAAATTTTTCTGGATTTGATCACAAGACATGTAATGCTTGCCATCATTTCACCAACTGTTATTTCTAAGACCAGCCCTGTTGGAGGTATATATTTTCACACGGGCACCAGAAGTTACCACCCAGTGCTCTATTACCATAGCTGTCACCAAGCGAATTCAGTACTCTGGGTTAGGGCAAAGGAAACCAACCTGCTGAGTTTTCTCCAGGCTCGCAAAAACGGGAGTCCGTTCAGATGAAGAGGGGGCGAAGCACCTGGGCACTGTGTTGTTATTCTACTCTTAATATATGCAACAACTCTGAGATAGATAACGGAATCTCCCCATTTACAATGGAGAAACTGAGACTCACATGCCTGAAGTGCTTCAGGTCATAGAGGAAAGAAGCTGGAGAGCTGAAAGTCACACCCACCTCTGTCTTATTCCATACCCCATACTCCTTTTTATATCATGCTGCATTTGGTGGGATACTGTCCAGCCACTTTTATTTTTATGCATAAATTAACAGTGGGACTATTGACTAATTAACAGTTTATAATTGGGAGCAACTTCTTACCCTGTAAAGATCAACAATTAAAGACATGCAGCATTGGGAATTTAACATATGGAAAATTTTTCATCTGTTTCTGTGATCTTTTAACTGTCTTAGGCCATTAGGTTGCTAGCATGACACATAGAAACTGTATATTCTTCATGAGGACAGATAAGCATTATGAATAGCAAGAATTTTAAAGTTTTCTGCTTTTTTTCATTAAATTCTGATGGTACCCAGCATTTTAGTCTTTTAGTCACAGCAGTACATTTCCATTTCTGACATAACTATCATTTGACACATATAGGGATTATTTTTCCTTAAATATGTATCTTTACATTGCTCACATGGATGCTTATCATCTGACTATTCACACACTCTTGCCTCATCTTCCTATATTTTATCAGTGAATATTTATTGAGCACCTCTTTTATTCTAGCCATTTTGCTAGGTATCCCAAGGAAAGCCTACTGTGTTCTGAAAAATTGGAATTCATTAATTAAATTAAACAGGACTAACATACTATACTTTTCCATCCAGAGAAATGCAAAATTATACCTTGATTCAAGACAAAATAGTTTGTCCCTCCCAGCCATAGAGAAAGCTGAGTTGTTTGTTACTTTTAGATCTTAGGTACAGAATCTGATAAAGTCTAGGTGGTTCTGTATACCAGCAGTTGAATTTATAATCGTAGAGACTTGCCTTAAATATATGATCAGTTTAGGTAAGTTCGAGAAATTCTGAAGTGTCAATTATGTTGTATTAGTCCGTTTTCATGCTGCTGATAAAGACATACCCAAGACTGGGTAATTTATAAAGAAAAAGAGGTTTAATGGACTCACAGTTCCACGTGACTGGGGAGGCCTCACAATCATGGCAGAAGGTGAAAGGCCTGTCTTACATGGCTGCAGGCAAGAGAGAATGAGAGAGCCAAGTGTAAGGGGAAACTCCTTATAAAACCATCAGATCTCATGAGACTTATTCACTACCATGAGAACAGTATGGGAGGGAACCCCCCGCCCCCATGATTCAATTATCTCCCACCAGGTCCCTCCCACAACCCGTGGGAATTATAGGAGTTTCAATCAAGATGAGATTTGGGTGGGGATAGAGCCAAACCACACCATATATAAAAATAGTATAGATAATAGTTATATGGAGTACTACCCACTGAAGGGATACATGTTTACCTGTTCCCCCAAGTTAGGTAGCCAGAAGTGTTGTGTTTGCATTGTTGGCACAACCTGTCAACATTAATAATAACTAATTTATTAAGTACTTCTGTGTGCCAGGGATTGTTCCTAAGCTTCCTACAAGAATAAATTTATTTAATCTTCCTAAGAATCCTGTGAAGTGGGTACAGTTGAGCATCCCAAATCCCAAATGCTCCAGAATCCAAAACTTTTTGAGCACTGACATGATGCTCAAAGGAAATGCTCACTGAAGCATTTTGGATTTTTGGATTGGGGATGCTCAACCGTAAGTATAATTAATGCAGATATTCTAAAATCTGAAAAATCCTGATATCTGAAACACTTCTGGTCCCAATCATTTTGGATAAGGGATACTCAACCTGTACTACTTACTCTCTCCATTTCACAGATGAAGAAAGTGAGGTAGGGAAAAAGATAAGTAACTTGCCCAAGGTTACAGAGCTGGTAAGTGGCAGATCCCCAGGCAGCCTTGCTGTATAGCTTACTGTCTCCTAACCATTATTCTATGCTACCTTTCATGGGCCCTCATGTTAAGAGTAACTCTTCAGTTTAGCAAATTATTCTGCATTATATGATGAGCTTACATATAATAGCAATAATAGACCAGAAGCGGTGGCTCACACATGTAATCCCAACACTTTGGGAGACCAGGGTGGGCAGATTGCTTGAGTTCATGTGTTCAAGACCAGCCTGGACAACTTAGCAAAACTCCATCTCTACAAAAAATACAAAAAAAAAAAAAATTAGCCAGGTATGGTGGTACATGCCTGTAGTCCCGGCTACTCGTGAGGCTGAGGTGGGAGGATTGCTTGAGCCCAGGAGTTGGAGGTTGCAGTGAGCCAAGATCGTGACACTGCACTCCAGCCTGGGCAATAGAACCAGACATTGTCTCAAAAAAAAAAAAAAGGCAATAATGTAACTAGGTGAAAGGAGAGATTCAGTTCTTCTCTGTGGTTTCTTATACACAATCAAGATTCTAATATGTTCATAGTTAATTCATAGTGTAAAGTTTGGGTATTTTAGAAAAATGTGATGTTTTCTGATGTGACTTTACAGGAGTGGGAAAGGCATAGAAAGGCAGCGCTGGGGCTAGAGCACCATAGTCTTTATAAATAAAATGTATTGTGTTATCAGTATTGGCTCTGGGCCTTGATGGGTAGTAAAATATTTAGGAACTGAGAAAAATGATTAGGTATTAGATCCTGAAAATAAAAATTTGCTTTTTGCATTTCTTAAAAAGATTTCCTACGCTAAAAGGGTGGCAGTAAGTTTAAAAAGGTTTTAGTTACTGTTTTAAAAAAATAATTGCATAGCATATTTCATTTACTCAATAGCCACATGTGGATTTTTGGATTTGGGATGCTCAACTGTAAGTATAATTAATGCATATATTCTATGGATCATTTATGGATCCATAAAATATTCTAAAATACTTATGGATAATTTCTGGGGAAAAATTGCAAGTCTTTTTGAATGAATTTAGGTGTCAGTAGTAACTCATTTTGATTTCTTTAATTCTCTTTGGGGGCCTTGTCAAGAAAAATTTGAGTTAAGAGATATATATTTTTTTCTTTCTTCACTAGAACTCTTTTTTTTTTTTATACTTTAAGTTTTAGGGTGCATGTGCACAACGTGCAGGTTAGTTACATATGTATACATGTGCCATGGTGGTGTGCCGCACCCAGTAACTCGTCATTTAACATTAGGTATATCTCCAAATGCTATCTCTCCCCCCTCCCCCCACCCCACAACAGGCCCGGGTGTGTGCTGTTCCCCTTCCTGTGTCCATGTGTTCTCATTGTTCAATTCCTGGCCATATCATCACCATGAAAAGCAGGCAGCTGAGGAATGTGGGATTTGAGTGCACAGGAAAGCTAAAGGGACACTTCAACCCCTATTAATGGCTTTATTGCTCTATTTAAAGACTAGAGCTATTGCTCTGGCCAACATGGTTCTTTTTTGTTTTTTAAACTTTAGTAATACAGTCGATTCTCATGTGGTAGTTATGTTCTGTAAAGTCACTGCAAACATTGAATTAGTGAATACTGGATCATTGCCCCTGGGGGAAATAGGGTTAGGTTCCTGCAGGTCTCTGGTCACATTTCATCAACTGATCAATACATAACCTCATTGTATGTCTCTGTTTTAGGACATATTATTTAATATGTATTGATTCAATTACATTAATATTATATATTAATAATCCTGTACAAGAATATATGTCAACAGTATTGTGCCAGAAGCACTGTAACTCATGCCTGAACGAAGTTTCCCTAACACACATATTTTCTCTGAAAGGGAAAATCCTTCTTGCACTTAGGAACACTAGACGGCACTTGAGCACTATAATTGGGACCATTTTAAACAGTGAAATCATCAGTAAAAGGCACAAAAATGTGAAAGACGTGGCGCTGAAGAGACCACAGAAAAGACATGCACTTACTATAGGAGAACTGAGACAACAGAGCATTGCCATGCTAAGCTGCATATGGGAACATGGCTGTCATGTGACTCAAATTTTTTTGCCACTCTACACGTGGATTACGTCCTCAGATGACCACAAAAGTGCCACAACTATTGATTTGGAGCTTGCAGATAAATTTTAGTGAGTAGGCATATTTGCAAGTATGGAATCCCTGAATAATGAGGATCGACTATATATATTAATGCATTCTACATTTTAAAATGAAAAGTTAAAATATAGGACTCGCTCATCCCTACCTTTTTCACCCCCTCCTGGCATCTTTCCTTTCTGGAACTACTATCAGTTTTCTACATATTTATAAATATGTGGACTTACAGAAATATATATAATTTTTTAATAAATGGATCTCATGATATATACTATTGTGTGGTTTGCTTTTTTCTCATGTGTTAGAGATCTTTCCACGTCAATATACACAGAATTATTTCCTTTTAGTATTCTATACTGTTTATGCACCATAATTTTTTTTTTTTTTTTTTTTTTTTTAGACGGAGTCTTGCTCTGTCGCCAAGGCTGGAGTGCAGTGGCACAATCTCGGCTCACTGCAAGCTCCGCCTCCCAGGTTCATGCCATTCTCCTGTCTCAGCCTCCGGAGTAGCTGGGACTACAGGCGCCCGTCACCACGCCCGGCTAATTTTTTGTATTTTTAGTAGAGACGGGGTTTCACCATGTTAGCCAGGATGGTCTTGATCTCCTGACCTTGTGATCCGCCCGCCTCGGCCTCCCAAAGTGCTGGGATTACAGGCTTGAGCCACCGCGCCTGGCCTATGCACCATAATTTAACCATTCCTGTATTGATAGATATTTAGTAATAGTGCTATTATAAGTAATAGTGCGGTGAACATCTTTGTACCTGTTTCTTTTTCCCTATATGCAGGTTTTTCTGTGGGTTGCATATGTAAAAATGAAATTGCTAAGCTGAAAGGTGTATGCACTTGAAGTTTCCTTAGAAAGGCAGTTGTGTCAGGTCCTCTGGGAAGCTGACACTGAGACAGAGTTAGGACTGCAAATAGTTCACTGAGTACCTGTGAAAGATAGGCAGTCAGAAGCTGAAGGAAGGGAAAGAGCTCAGACTGATTTACATCTAACAGTTACAGCCTATTCAGTGGGGCACTCTGGAGTGAAGATTGCCTATTAGAAGGATAGTACTACCAGTTGGTTAGAAATAGCCAGGCCCTGGTACTCCCATGTATTCAGTTATTGACCTGTGACTGCCAGGGAAGAAAGTGGCCTGATCTTGAAAGACGAGGGAGTTAAGTCCTAAAGGCACATCAGAACTGAACTGCAAGGTATCTTCAAGGGAGATCTTGAGCAGTGTACTTCCATGGTTGCTACTGCAGTGTAGGACTGTGTAGCATAGCAAATAACACAGATTATAGAGCCAAATTCCCAAATCCAACATCTCTGTGTAAGAAAGATGTTACTCTACATCTGTGTGCCTCAGGTTCTTTATCCGTACATCTGTAAAATGGAGAAATAACAGTACCTCCCTCATAGGGTTGTGAACGATTAAATGAGCTGCTGTATACAAAGGACTTAGGATACTGGGATATGTTAACACTGTATAAGAGTTAACTGATGCTGCTGCTGCAACATCAACATCAACCCAAAAGGTGCACCAGTTTTTCTTCCAACCCTCTCAACAATGTGTAAAAGTATATTCATTTCTCCGTATCTTTTCCAGTGCTGGATAGTATAAATCTTTTTAGCTTTTGAAAATTTGATGGCCCCAAAAATGGTATTTTGTCTTAATTTGCATTTCTTTATTAAGTTGAACATCTTTTCATGTTACTGGCCACATATTTAATCTTTTGAGGTTTTAAATTTTTTCTTATTAATGTTTGGTACCTAGTCATGTATTCCAGATATTGTTATATAGTTGTGAATATTTTCTCCCAGTCTCACGTTGTTTTTCAAATTTATTTTTCATTATTATTTATGGTTTCTTTTGACAAAGATGTTTAAAATTTTGTGGATCAGTTTTTTTCTTTATGGGTTCAGGGTTTTCTTTCTTACATTGAAAAGACTTTCCTACTCCACGTTTATAGTTCTCTTTTTTATGTTTAGCTTTGTAAAGCCTCTTGAATTTATTTTTGTTCATAATTTGAAATAAGTATCTAGCTTTATGTTTTCCTCACTATAACCGGTTGCCCCCGTGTTCTTCATTAACTAGCCCTTTTTCTCCCCTGATATTTCTTGATGCTATCTCTGCTGTATTCTAAATTCCTATATATATACTGGGTGGGAGGATATTAACATTTTTAAAGGTTTTAATATGTGTTGCCAAATTGCGCTGAGGAAATACATATAGAAATTTATGTTTTTACTGGAGAGTATTTTGTTGAGCTCCCCAACCTGTGTTTCTTGCTGTTGTTTTTAGTTTTTGCCACGTTAATAGTCAAAATATAGAAGTTTTCTTGGTTTGCTTTAAAAAAACAAACAAACCAGGTTCTCATTCTGTAGCCCAGGCTGAAGTGCTGTGGCATGATCATGGCTCACTATAACCTTAATCTCCTGGGCTCAAGTGACCTTCTTGCCTCAGCCTTCTGAGTAACCTCCGTCTTACATGGTGGTATGCGCCACCATGCCTAGCTAATTAAAAATCCTTTTATAGAAATAGGGTCTTGCTATGTTGCCCAGGCTGGTGGTTTTCATTTCTTTGGTTACTGGAAAGACTGAATTTTTAAAAATGTATATACTTTTGATGTTCTGTATGCCATCTTATATGAATTGCTTATTCATATTTTTCTCCATTTTTCAATTTTGATTTTAGGTTTCTTGTTGATTTGAAAGGTATCACATATAAAGACTATTACCCCTTCATGTGTATTGCACAGAGGTTATTGTTTACCTTTAAATTTATGGTATTTTTCTTTATAGTCTGACTTTGTATGTATACCTAGAAAAGTTTTCCCTATTCCTAAGACCACAAAGTCAACTAGAATATTTTCCTTTTTATGATTTTAATTTTTATATTAATTTGCCATCTTATTTTGCTGCATGGTAATAAGTGGGAATCTTAATTCTTTTATAAATGTTAAGCCAGTTACCTAAAACAGTTTACTGAATAATCCATTCTTTCCTCTGATTTGTAATGCCATCTTATATATCCTAGCTCTCTTGGGGTGTTTGATTCCGTATTGTTGATTGATGTATCTATTCCTGCACCATTACTACACACTCTTCATTATCGTGGCTGTTGTATCCATGCCATGGTTGGAGAGCTCACCTTGGAAAGTAAGCACTCTGTGGAAGTATCATTTCAAAACTGACTTTAATTTTGGAAATTAAAAGGAAAACCCTTCTTAAGCTAGAGTAAGTGGAGTGAATTGACTTGGATCCTGCCTGGGTTCCTCTGTCAACATTCTGTTTTGTGGTCTTTAAATAACATACTTGATTAATTCCATTGGACATGAGGTAATGGCTGCTCTTAAGCTATTCTAAAGCTAGAGACAGAACTGTACAAAAGAATTGTCAGCACCAAGTACTTTAATTTAAAATATTAAACTAAAAAAAATAGTTCCAATGTTTTAGAGATACCTTTCAGGTTAAATACAATTGGTTAGGTCTGATCATTTCTATGAATAGAAGGAAGTATTGAAGGTAAACCTGTTTCTAGAGCAGAGATTCTCAACTAGGGACAGTTTTGGCCACTCCATCTCCCAGGGACATTTGACAATGTCTCAAGACATGTTGATTATCACAGCTGTTAGAGGGAGAGAGTGCTACTGACTTCTAGTGAGTAAAGGCCAGGGATACTGCTACACATCCTACAGTGCCCAAGACAACCCCAGCAACAAGTAATTATTTGGTCCAAAATGTTAGTAGTGGGCCAGGTGTGGTGGCTTATGTCTTTAATCCCAGCTACTTGGGAGGCTGAGGCAGGAGGATCACTTGAGGCCAGGGGTTTGAAATCATCATAGGGGGACCCCATCTCCTTAAAAAAATTTTTTTAAGTAGATGGATGTGGTGGTACATGCCTGTGTCAGGATTGTCTAAGTCTTAGCTACTTGGGAGGATGAGGTAGGAGGATCACTTGAGCCCAGAAGTTTGAGACTACAGTGAGCTATGATCCAGCCTGGGTGACAAAGTGAGACTCTGTCTCTTAAGAAAAAAAAAAAAAAAAAAGTGAATGCTGCTGAGGTTGAGAAACCTACTGTAGAGAAAACTCAAACTGAGAGTTCATTTTTTAGTGCAGTCCAGTCTGACAACTGCTGTGTTTAATATATGCACAAGTAATTTACTATTGAAGTAAGAGAAGACCTTTCCAAAAGTATGGTACAAAACCTAGAAGCTATAAAAGACATGATTATTAAATTTGACTCTATGGCTGGGCGCGATGGCTCATACCTGCAATCCCGGCACTTTGGGAGGCCAAGACAGGTGAGTCACTTGAGGTCAGGAATTCAAGACCAGCCTGGCAACATGTTGAAACCCCATCTCTAATTAAAAATACAAAAATTAGCCGAGCATGGTGGTGCACACTTGTAATCCCAGCTATTCAGGAGGCCAAGGCAGGAGGATCACTTGAACCTGGGAGGTAGAAGTTGCAGTGAGCCAAGATGGTGCCTGCACTCCAGCCTGGGCGACAGAGCAAGACTCCATCTCCAAAAAAAAAAGGACTCTACAGAAAAATAAAATTTCTACATACAAAAAAAATCTACCATAAACAAAAGAAAAATAACAAACTAGGCTAAAATATCAATAGGTCAAACCACAGACAAATGGCTAATTTCCTTAATATTTAAAGAGTTCTTGTACTTCATTAAGGGAAGTACCAACAACAGCTCCATGCCCCTTCCCCCATACCTCACCCTACACATCTCTTCATCTATATCCTTTGTAGTATCCTTTATATTAATAATAAATCAATAAGCATAAGTGATTCACTGAGTTGTGTGACTTGTTCCAGCAAGTTAATTAAACCCAAAAAGGGGATTGTGGGAACCCCAACTTGAAGCCAGTCAGAAGTTTTGGAGGCCCCGGCTTGTGACTGACTGGTGTCTGGGATGGGGTGGGTGGCAGTCTTGGGGACTGAGCCATCAACCCATGGGATCTGATACTATCTCCAGGTAGACAGTGTCAGAATTGAATTGGAGGACACCTGGCTGGTGTCCACTGCTTGGTGTGTGGGGGAGAAACCCCACGCATTTGGTCACAAAAGCCTTCTGTGTTGCTGTGGTGTGACAGAAAAAAACATGGTTTGAGAGTTTTTTTCCTATATATATGTGGAATAATTTGGCAATATCTGTGAACATTTTAAATGCATATACTCTTTAACCCAGAAATTTTATTTCTAGGAATTTATTCTACGGATATAGTTTCATGTGTGAAATGAATTTCGTAACGATAAATTAGGCTGTCCATTGTTATTGTTTGAAATAACAAAAGACTGGAAATAATCCATTAAAGGGAAATATTGGAGAGTTGCCTCAATAGACAACTGTACAAATACAGTATATCTATATGCTAGAATACTATGAAGCCCTTTAGACAGGATGAGGCAGCCCTGTATATGCTAATATGTAAGATTCTCTATTATATGTTATTAAGTAAAATTGCCAGGCACAGACAGTATCAGGTATTGGCAAGAATATGTAGAGCAAGTGGGACCCTTATACACTGCTGGGAGAAAAGTGAATTCGGACATAACCCCTTTGGAAAACAATTTGGTATTATCTAATAAAATTTAAAGATGTGTATGAACCTTATAACCTACCAGTTTTACTTATTAACAGATTCTAGAGGAATTCTTGCTCATTTCCCCAGGTGACAGAAATGTTCATAGTGCCATTTATAAGAAAACAAAACAGCAACAAACTTCTAGAAATCTGTGTCCAGAGTAGAATAAATAAATGTTGAGAACACTATACAGCCATGAAAAATAAATAAATTATAACAATCTGAATCTTAAACAGTCATGTTGAGCAAGAGAAACAAACTGTGGAAACATACATGTAATAAGATTGGATTCCATTTATATGAAGTTTAATATAATTCATTAAACTGTATGAAACATTAAACATGTTGTTTAGGGGGAAAAAAAATTGTAAAACTACAAGCAAGGAATTAATAAGCACAAAATCAAGGAGAGTGGTTACCTCAGGAGAGAAAACGAGATTAGAGAGGGCACATGGGGGATTCAAAAAGTAATAGTAATATTCTCTCATCTTCTTTTTTTTTTTTTTTTTTTTTGAGACGGAGTCTCACTCTGTTGCCCAGGCTGGAGTACAGTGGCTTGATCTCTGCTCACTGTAACCTCCACTTCCCAGGTTCAAGCGATTCTCTTGCCTCAGACTCCCAAGTAGCTGGTACCACAGGCACCCGCCACCACGCCCAGCTAATTTTTTTTTTTTTGTATTTTTAGTAGCGATGGGGTTTTGTCATGTTGGTCTGGCATGTCTCCAACTCCTGGCCTCAAGTGATCCACCCACCTCCACCTCCCAACGTGCTGGGATTACAGGCATGAGCCACCGCACACCCAGCCTATTCTTCCTTCTTAAACTGGCATGTGGATGCATGGGGGTTCATGATATGATAGTTTTGTTTAACCTTATGCAATTTTAGAAATATTTTATATTTACTAATTATTAAAAATAAGTTTTGGAAAGTAGGTATTGAACATTATATATGTTACTGTGACTGCATGGGTCATTTAAAAAATAATACACAGACACACACTCATGCTCTTGTATATGCGTACATTATCCCTCCTGTAAAGATACACAAGAAGTGGTGCTTGCAGCCAGGCACGGGGGCTCATGCCTGTAATACCAGCACTTTGGGATGCCAAGGCGGGCAAATCACTTGAGGTCAGGAGTTCGAGACCAGCCTGGCCAACATGGTGAAACCCTTTCTCTACTAAAAATACAAACATTAGCTGGGTATTGTGGCGGGCACCTGTAATCCCAGCTACTCAGGAGGCTGAGGCAGGAGAATCACTTGAACCCAGGAGGTGGAGGTTGCAGTGATCTGATATCATGCCACTGCACTCCAGCCTGGGCAACAGAGGGAGACTCCGTCTCAAAAAAAAAGAAGTGGTTATTGCTTCAAGGAAAAGAAACGGAGTAGTTGGAGGCCCATTGTTGAAAGGAAATGTACTTATCACTTTATGCTATACTCTTTTTGTCTTTGAATTTTTGTAGCAAATGTATATAGTACATATTCAAATTTTAGTTTTAAAAATGTGTGTATAGAGAGAAAGGAGAGTCATTTATCATTTGCGAGAGACAGCTGGGGAAATTCCAGTATCATTTCTAACCTTGATGACTTTGCAGGTTTTGCCAAACCATATAAGAAATAAAAAGAAGACACTTTTTTTTTTTTGTTTCATTTTGAGCCAAAGTGTCCCTCTGTTGCCCAGGCTAGAGTGCAGTGGTGGGATCTTAGCTCACTGCAGTCTCGATCCCCAGGGCTTAGGTCATCTTTGTGCCTTAGCCTCCCTAGTAACTGGGACTACAGGCACATGCCACCACACTTGGCTGATTTTTAAATTTTCTGCAAAGACAGGGTCTCACTCTGTTGCCCAGGCTAGTCTCGAACACCTGGGCTCAGGCGATCCTCCTTCCTTGGCCTCCCAAAGTGCTGGACATACAGGCATGAGCCACCACACCCAGCCAGGAAGACAAATTTTTGTTGAGAAGGTATTTCACCTCTCATGCCAATTTTTCCTTGAAAGTTAGATTCCATGGAATATAATTTATCAAATATCAGTGATACTCTACTCTTAGCCCTTATCCAAAGCCTTACCAACCTTACCTCTCTCTTTATATTGTTTACTAAGGAGTCTCTGGAATTTTGTTCATGTTTTTTAACATCTTTTTGAGGAAAAATAACTTTCTTAATTCTCTTCATAAGTTCTCTTCAATTCTTAGTAATCAGTACTTATATTAGAGCAATGCTGAACAATTTAAATGCACAAGTATCTCACCAAAACCTTTATTCAGGCCCTACCTGTGATAGGAAACAAAAGTCAGTGTCTGTACCCACTATCTTGACTATTTAGAAAGAGAATCTACTAATTGGACACCTTTCTTTTTCCTTAAGACTGTTCACAGATTTTTTTTTCACATTTTCATTTTAGAGTAATAATTTGGGTCTTATTACTAAATTAAAATTATTTAAACATGTCAAAGGCATTTATCTCCATAAAGTGTTTAATCCATTCTAGTTTGTAAAGATAGGGGTTTTTTTTTTTTCTTTACATTTATTATGTCTGGTATAGATGATTAAAACTTTGTAAGCGTAACCTGTATTTAGCTGAGTCAGGAATTCTCTTAATAGTGTAAGTCTCTAGCCCACTGAAAAGTCTTGCCTTCTCTCCATTTGTTTTTGAGGGTCAACAAGTCTGGTCAGCTTCTGTGCAACATCATACATCAGTGTATTACCAACGGCCACTGCAAGGATTGATGCTGTTTCCACTGGGTAGCATGGCATCCGCCTGGTCACCTTAGTCAACACACTCCTTCTGCTTCTGTGTGTGTGAAGGAGTCAACACACTCCTTCTGTGTGTGTTAGTCAACACACACCTTAGTCAACACACTGCTTCTGGGTACTGCTACATCCACACCACTGTTTCCTCTAGGTTAAGTGTTGATATACTGTTATCTCCCAATGACAGGACGCTGAAATGAACTACATTATGCTCTACTGAAATAGTTTCATTTTATGTTACACCCTGACATTTACAGTACCACAACAGGATTGCCACTTCCTCCAGTATCTTGCAAACTTTTAAAGGAACTAGCTATTTTTCCTACTACCCTTGCATCCTCCTTGTGCTTAGATACAAATCCACCGGAGGCAAATACAAGTGACACCATGCAGTACTCAGAATCACTCCTTCTTTATGATGGATGGTAAAGACTTCATTACTAGCTTAACTTTGCTTCCTAGACTTTTTCTCTCATGAAAGTAAATTCTTTCCAGAACAATCATCAGTCTTTAATGCAAATAAGTTGCTTGAAAAAGATTTATCCTTGCAGCTCAAGTCCCAAAAATTCTATCCCATATCAGGTTTTGTAATGGAAAGTGGATCAGTAGGTGTTGCTCACATAGCAAGCTGATACTTGTAGTCATATCAACCTTTAGCCATCACTTTAGGGTGGAAAAGAAATGACTTTTCATTATGCCTCTCTTATATGCCTGTGTTTTTCACTAACTTTAGAGGAAGAGTAGTTAGGCAGCCTTACTGACTTGAATAGTACAAAGCATGCCAAAACTGTGAAGCTGTTTGGTGATATGTCCTCCACACTGTGGTCCCAAAAGACCAGTAAACCTAAAGGGACTAATATGGGCCGGCAGGGGGCGAGGCAGGGTAGAACCTTGGGGTATATTCCTGCTTTCAGAGAGGTGGCAAAAGTAAGCCTGGATACCCTGTGCTAGACTTTGTAGCTTTGCCCGGAAGCCCTCTCTATTTGGGGACTAGGCTTATTTAGTTCTCTTTCTAAAACGTTTTGACAAATATAACTTATATTCTAGGACATCTGCCACTGACGCCTGAGTTCAGACATTAATTGTCAATTCTGTAGTCTTTTTTTCCTTCAAGTTTCTCTTGTCGCTTCCTTTTCTCCCTCCTTTCTTTCTTTCTTTTTTTTTTTTTTTTTTTTTTTTTGAGACAGTTTCGCTCTTGTCGCCCAGGCTGGAGTGCAATGGCGCGATCTCAGCTCAACGCAACCTCCGCCTCCCAGGTCAAGCAATTCTCCTGCCTCAGGCTCCTGAGTAGCTGGGATTACAGGCATGCACTACCACACCCGGTTAATTTTATATATATATATATTTTTTTTTGGTAGAGACGGGGTTTCTCCATGTTGGTCAGGCTGGTCTCAAGCTCCCGACCTTAGGTGATCCGCCTGCCTCGGCCTCCCAAAGTGCTGGGATTACAGGCATGAGCCACTGTGCCCGGCCTTCTCCCTCCTTTCAAATTAGACAAACAAAAATATTTTAGTGTCTCTCTGATTTCTCTATGTTTACATTTCACTGTCCCAGGAACCAGCCTAGTCCGTTAGGAACCAACATACTCCCCAAGACACATCTCAAATGACAGTTTGCTGGCCATGTTAAAAATGCATTTCTGATTCTATTTAGGGATACCTTTAGTCCATGAAATAAATGAGAACATTATCAGGATTCATAATTATTATCTGGATATGTCCCTAAAATATAGCATGTTTTGCTGACTTACTGAAATACATATTTGTTTCTAGTTTTTTCTATTTCCCTTCCTCTCAAATAGTTAATTAAATAGTATCAGTGACCTAGGAAAGTCACTGTTCAAACAATTCCTTCCTTAAAATGAAGAATTATCGACTATTCTCTAACTTAGTATTTTAGAGAGAGAGAGAGAGTATAATGTGAAAAAATGTGGTGTCTTTATTCATTTTTTGTTGCTATAACAATACCTAAGACTGGGTACTTTATAAAGAGCAGAAATTATTTCTCACAGTTCTGGAGGCTGGGAAGTCCAAGATCAAAGTGCCAGCAGCTTAGGTGTCTGGTGAAGGACCAATCTCTGCTTTCAAGATGGGTCCTTGATGCTGCATCCTCCTGAGGGAGGAACACTGTTCTAACATGGCGGAAGAGAGTGAATTCATTCTCACAAGCTCTTTTTATGGCAGCATGAATCTGCTTATAAGAGTGGAGTCCTCATGACCTGAACACCTTCCATTAGGCTCCACCTCCCAACACAGTTGCATTGCCGATTGTTTCCAACACATGAATTTTGGGTTGCACATTGAATCACAGCATGTGAGTTCTCAAATAACAGACACAAAAGTTACATAGAAGAGATTGATAGTTCATTCACTTAATATTTATTGCAGACATTATATGTCAGGAACTCTGCTAGGCATTAGATATATATTGGAAAATAAGATAGATACTGGCCATATAGAGAACTTATCTAGCAGTTAACAGACAACAAAAAAATAAAAATAAATATAATTGTCATAGTGCTATAAAGGGAGAAATGTAGTTTTAACAGGAACCTATTAACAGGAAGAATTTACGAGGGAAGTCCTCCCTAGGAAAATGACATGTAAACTGGAAATGAAAGGAAGTGCAGGAGTTAGCAAGAACATGAGCAGGGAATAGTTCTGCCAGCAAAAAGAATAATGTGCAAAAGGCCCTGAAGTGGAAAAGAGTTTGGTGCTTTTAGGAGCTGAAGAAAACCAATGAGGCTAACTTGTGTAGAGCCAAGTGGGGGGAGTGAGATTAGATCTGTCTGAAAAAAAAGGCATAGTTCAGGTAATACAGGACCTGGTAGGCCATTGTAGAGATTTTGTTCTTTATCCTAACAGTGATGGAAGCCATTAAAATGTTTAAGGTAATGTGACAAAAATCAGATTGCATGTTAGAAACAGTTGTTCTAGGCCGGGTGTGGTGGCTCACACCCATAATCCCAGCACTTTGGGAGGCCAAGGCGGGTAGATCACAAGGTCAGGCGTTTAGGACCAGCCTAGCCAACATGGTGAAACCCCATCTCTACTAAAAATACAAAAATTAGCCGGGCGTGATGGCGTGCTCCTGTAATCCCAGCTACTTGGGGGGCTGAGGCAGGAGAATCACTTGAATCCAGGAGGCGGAGGTTGCAGTGAGCCGAGATCGCGCCACTGCTCTCTAGCCTGGGTGACAGAGCGAGACTCCGTCTCAAAAAAAAAAAAAAAAAAGAAAGAAACAATTGCTTTGCAGTATGAAGAAGAAAGGATTGGAAGGGATAAGAAATGAGTGCTGAGAATTTACTTTGACTTGGGTTGGGATGTTGGACATGTAGACAGAGAGGACAGGATAGACTTTTGTTTAGGAGGTAAATTCCACTTGACTTAGTGATTTCAGAGTGGGAACCTATGGGGGAAAGAAGGGGAAGGAGTTAAGAATAACTGACCTGTGCAACTGGATGAATAGTGGTGCCATTGAGAAGGACACTGGGAGGTTTAAATGGAGGATAAGTTCGTTTTCGTATTTGTTGAGCTTGAGATGCCTATGAGGCATCCAAGTGGAAATATTAAGTAAGCAATAAGCAGGAATCTGGAGCTTAAGAGAGATGTCTTAGCTAGAGATCAATTTGTGAGTCATTGTCTTTTAGGTGATAATTGAATCAGTGAACCCAGCTGAGATTGCCTAGGAAGAATATGGAGTGAGAAGAAAAGGGCAGCTTGGGAACAAACTTGACAACTCTTTGGTGACGTTCTGTATAATTTTTATTCTGAACAGACTTTGGTTTTATAAGAATTGTACTTTGAAATAACCTTGGTTGTTTTAACTGAGACTTTCTGTTGTGATGTAGTAACCCTCTCTCTCTCGCCAGATATATTGTCATCTTTTTATTTTTTGTATATAATCTATTATTTATTCAAACAGTGAATAGACTTGGCCATTCATTGATCATCCAGAGGTAATATAAGTGATGTTTTCTAAGCATCTGGGTTAAACAGTTTTGTCTAGATACAGTAGTAAGAACCATTCTTACTATATTCTTGTCCTATAAATGGTTGAGGTGACAGAATGTTTAGCTGTCTGTTCAGATGTAATAAGGAAGGTTGAATTCTCCTTGGCAGCCTTTTTTCATGAGTTGTTGGGCATCTCTCAGAGACAGCTCTAGAGATAATAAACGTTTATTATTCTGGTGTCCTGACTGATGTCATCTCTTATTGCCTAAGCCTCAGTCTGGGATTAAGATGGTGGGTGTATTAGTCCATTCTCACACTGCTATAAAGAAATACCTGAGACTGGGTAATTTATAAAGAAAAGAGGTTTAATGATTCACAGTTCAGCATGGCTGGGAAGGTCTCAGGAAACTTATAATCATGGCAGAAGGTGAAGGGGAAGCAAGGCACCTTCTTCACAAGGTGGCAGGAAGGAGAATGAACGCAGGAGGAACTACCAAACACTTATAAAACCATCAGATCTTGTGAGAACTCACTATCACGAGAACAGCATGGGGGAAATCACCCCCATGATTCAGTTTCCTCTACCTGGTCTCTCTTTCAACATGTGGGGATTATGGGGATTATAATTCAAGATGAGATTTTGGGAGGGGACACAGCCAAACCATATCAATGGGGTTTTCCCCCTTTGCCACTAAGTAGCCACAGAAGGCAGGATAAGAAATTGACAAATTGGCCAGGTATGGTGGCTCATGCCTGTAACCCCAACACTTTGGGAGGCTGAGGCAGGTGGATCACTTGAGCTCAGGAGTTCGAGACCAGGCTGGGCAATATGGTGAAAATGTGTCTCTACCAAAAATACAAAAATCAGCAACGCGTGGTGGCACATGTCTGTGGTCCCAGCTACTCAGGAGGCTGAGACAGTAGGATCGCTTGATCCCAGGAGGCTGGGGTTGCAGTGAGCCGAGATTGCGCCACTGCACTCCAGCCTGGGTGACAGAGTGAGACTCTGTCTCAAAAAAAAATTGAAAAATTGGACTCAAAATATAAAACATTTGTCCTTCAAGAGCCATTGCTAAGAAAATTTAAAAGCAAGGCTATGGGGGAAATATTGGTAAAACACATGTCAGAAGATGGACTTGTATTCAGAATATTTGGAATATATAAAGAACTCTTTAATCATTGGACAACTTGACTTTTTTAATTGATAAAGATTTTAACAGGCCAGAGATGGCAAGTAAATACATGAACATATGTTCTATATCATTAAACATTAGGGAAATAAAACCACAGTAAGAGACCTCTACATGCCTACCTCTACATTTTTAGAATGGCTAAAACTAGAAAGATTGAAAATACAAAGTGTTGATGAGTATGGTGAACAACTAGATTTTTAGATATTGCTGCTGGGAATGTAAAATAGTACAGCTGGCCGGGCACGGTGGCTCACACCTGTAATCCCAGCACTTTGGGAGGCCGAAGCAGTCCAGTCAGTTGAACTCAGGAGTTCAAGACTAGTCTGGCCAACATGGTGATACTCCATCTCTACTAAAAATACAAAAGTTAGCTGGGCTTTATGGCGCATGCCTGTAATCCCAGCAACTCCAGAGGCTGAGGCAGGAAAATCACTTGAAACCAGCAGGCGGAGGTTGCAGTGAGCCGAGATCGCATCATTGCACTCTAGCCTGGGCAACAGGAGCAAAACTCTGTCTCAAAAAAAGAAAAAAAAAAAAGAAAAGTACAGCTACTTTAGCAAACAGTTGGGTAGTTTCTTATAAATTTAAACATACACTTACCATATGACTAAGCTTTTCACTCCTAGGTATTAACACAGGAAAAATGAAAACGGGTCTTTACAAAGACCTGTATGCAAATGTTTATAGTAGCCTTATTCATGATTGCATATGATTTCATTTATATAAAATTCTACAAGAGGCAAAACTACACTGTTAGAATGTAGATCTACCTTGGGAGCTTGGGGGAGGAGGCTAACTGCAAAGGAGTCTGGGAACTTTTTATGGTGATGCACACATTCTATATCATGGTTGAAATGGCTACATATATTTGTCAGAACTCATTGAATTGTACATTTTAAAATGTGAATTTTATTGTATCTAAACTCGACCTCAGTAAACCTAATGTCAGCATTTGTGAAGGGTTATCAGAAGCCTTTTAGGATATCACTTGTAAAATGGGACAGTAGACCAAAAGACAATGAAGCTTTTTGCTCAAAATTCCATGAGTAGTGGTGCCTGTGGATAGAATGCTTATGTTCAGATTCTTAATCCCACACGACTGCACAATTCCCTTGGCATTAACTCACACCCTCCTATGTATTGTGCTTTTTAACTTTCTGTGGATGTGTGTCTGGCTGTGTGTATGGAAGTTCTGGAAACACAGGGGTCATGTCTTCATGTGTCCTTCATACATCCTACAGTGTATTGCACAGATCTTGTGCTCAGTATTTGCGGAATGAATGAAAGCTTGGTATAGCACGCTTGTGCCCACTAGACTTGGACAGAAAAGTCAGGCATAGCTCATGGTGTGGTGCTAGGCTTCTCAAGATCATGAGAAACCTTCTCTAAAGTATGGTTTTTCTAGACCACCATCTCTTTGCTTAGGAGATCATGGCTACCACAAATGTAAGCTAATTAATGAGGGATTGATTTTATATATTTCTGCAAAAGCTTAGGTAGTGTTTTCAGAAGTTGAAAATTGGGGAGATATCACCTTACATTTTTAATCTTATGCTGAATTTAACTACAATGAGAAAACAAGCTCCTCTTAAAGATTAAATGGAAGAAGAGATGTCAGAACTAGAACTTTTGTCATTCTCCAAAGCTCTCCACTCTTAAATCTATCCACTTTATAATTGAGGCATCACACTGATGGCACAGAGAAACACTTGTCTCAGTGTTAAACTTGCTTTCCTCATATTTGTGAGGCTCTAAACTTTTACAGTTCTGACTCATTTAAAAACAAGTGGATCTACATAAATTGGACATGAATTCATGATTTTTCTTCTAAGTCTAAAAAAGCAAGAGACTCAGAGGTACTATGAGACAACAATAAATTTAAGAGAATACTAAAATAAAAAATATATAAAAAAGAGAAAGATAGAATCCCAAACTATGTTTCTCTTATTTCTTTTTTTTCTTTTCTTATATTTAATTTATTTATTTTAGAGAGAGGGTCTCTGTCACCCAGGATGGAGTACAGTAACATGTTCATAGCTCACTGCAGCCTCAAACTTCTGAGCTCAAGCAATCCTCCCACCTCAGCCTCTTGAGTAGCTTGAACCACAGGTGCACATCACGATGCCCGGCTGATTTTTTTAGTTTTTGTAGAGATAAAGTCCCAGTGTGTTGCCCAGGCTCAAACTCTTGGCCTTAAGTGATCCTCCTGCCTCTGTCTCCCAAAGGGCTGGGATTACAGATGTGAGCTGAGCCATAGCACCTGGCCTATTTCCTTTTTTAAAAGTATATCGACATAGCAACACATTATTGATAATATTTAACATCTATCAAGTTCTTACTCTGTGCCAGGCATTTGTTCTGAGTGCTCTGTATACATTCTCTCTCTTAATACACACAATACTGGGAGGTCATTCTGCATTTACTGAGGAAGCTGAGGTACACAGAGGTTAATTAACTTGCCCAAAATCTCACAGCCAGTAAGTGGTAGACCTGGATTTCGGTCTTTTTTCTTTTGAGATGAAGTCTTTCTCTGTCGCCCAGGCTGGGGTGCCATGACGCGATCTCGGCTCACTGCAACCTCTGCCTCCCAGGTTCAAGCGATTCTTCTGCCTCAGCCTTCTGAGTAGCTGGGATTACAGGCACATGCCACCATTCCCAGCTAATTTTTTTTATTTATAGTAGAGGTGGGGTTTCACCATGTTGGCCAGGCTGGTCTCGAACTCCTGACCTCAGGTGATCCACCCGCCTCAGCCTCCCAAAGTGCTGGGATTACAGGCGTGAGCCACCGCGCCTTTTTTGAGAGGCCAGATTTGAGTCTTAATCCAGAACCTGAACTCGAACTGCTGATATGCTATCTACCTGTGAAGACAACACATACATGACTAAATGGTTTAGAATTTGATTTAATGTCAGAGAATTACTGTACTCATGTAAATTGTTAAGGAAGTACAATTTAGTAGAGAAATGATTTAAAGTTGTTTAATACCGGAATATCAACTAGTTGAAAAAGAGCAGTTACTTTAACAGACCTGGAGATCATAAATGGATCCTTTGCTCTTGTGACTTTATAAATTCCTGAGAAGGTAGTAGTGCACATTTTCTGGTCGATGCAAATAGGTAAGACAAATGTGAGTGTTCATTTTGATGTCTGAGAGTAGACTATAAATAGCCAAGTTTCCTTGGAGATAGGATAAGAGCCTAAAGTTGATGTAGGGAATCCTTTTGTTCTTCAGACAAAGATATTGGGATGTTTCTTTAAGGAGAATAAACCGAGAGCAGGGTGTTCCTTGAACGTTTATGAGAAATAGTGGCTAGTGTAGGAAGAGGTTACATTTTATAAGGAACAAAACCCAGGGGAGCCTCTCCTGTGAACTGACAAGAGGAACCCAAAGATGACATCTCCCTCTATATATATGTTTTTTTACCTCCCATGAAAGTCCTTAGATGCACTATCACTGTGCTTACAAAATTGTGATTAAGTCTGTTCTGATAGAAGTCTGAATGTTCCTGGAGGTATTTTTAGGAATACTGTTCATTTTCTTTACTCAATGAATGGTGTTCAGGGAAGTTAGCATCATGTGCTAGGAAGTTTTGAAGTGGGTAATTCAAAACCTGGGTTTTAGTCTCAGCGCTGCTAATTAACTTTGTATCCTTGGATTAATCATCTAATCTCTCTGGGCTTCAGTATTTTCTAAACCCTAATTTGGGGAGATTAGAACAGATGATCTCTGAGATCCCTGCCAGCTCTAAATTCTCTAATTTTATGACTGCTTTTGGCCAGGAGCTTTACTTGAGAGCTGCTATTGTCTGCTCATTGCTTGCTTGTTTCTTGATCATTGTCCACAGGCAGTCCTTTTCTGTGAGGCTATGGGGTCATTAATGTTTAGTCTTTTTGTTAAAATACTTTTACAGATAATTCCACAGTACTTTTCTGGCCACAAGAATTAACCTACCAAATTTAACTTTCATTCTCTTTACCAGTCTCACCTTAATCCAGCTCAGTTCTGTGTACAAACCATGGAGGTTATTCATTCAGGTGAAATAAATGGGTTACTTCTGCCAGATTAATCTGGGAAGAAACAGTAAGTATCCTTGAATGGAATTCTTCCATGGGAGTTTCTCTTGATACCCTAATTGAAATGGAATAGAAAATGCAGACATTGTAATTTAAATTCCATTTTAACCTTCTACCTGACTCACTTTGGTTTATGCTAATTTCTTTGGCATACTCTTAATTTCTTTTAGATCCAGAGCATGTGCTTAAATTCATACATGATTGAAAGATTTCATAGTGTGTAATGTAAATGCAATTAGCACACTTAAATTTAATGTGTAATATCGTATAAACATTTTAGAATTTTAAAATTTAAAGCAAACATTCTTTTTTTTTCCAAAGACAGAATTGTATGGATTTATCTACACTTAGATAAGACAGAGTAAAAATACAAAGGTTCTCACCCCCTCTCCCCACGTCACCTCCAGTTCTCTTCAACCAGAGTAGGCTACTCTTGGCAGTATGACAAATATCCTTCCACATATTTTCTATACATTATATGGATAGTTTAAACATTGTGGTAAGCTTTTCTTTAATGAATTCTTCATGCACTATATGTTAAGAGCTTCAATAATTGGCAGAGTCATAGTGCCATAGTGAGGACAGATTCTGGTAGCATGTTGTACTTGTCAATAAAGCAGATTTTAAACTAGAGATTTGCTGCTAGTTAGTATTTAATGTCTTTATGGGATTAAACCTAAGGTCACTTTAGGGAGCAAGAGCTAATAAGCTGTAATGTGAGGGCAGTGTTGGGTATGATTTAGTCAACTGTAAAATAAGGCCTCCAAACTACAGTCATGCTTACAAACAGGTGGTAATAGTTGTCTTTTAAATCGGGATAGAGGGAACAGCCAACAGGATGCAAGGAAAAAGAAAATCAAACTTAAAGGCTAATGATCATTTTTTACTTGTTATATAACAAACATTTTGTTATTTCATTATAATAGCAAAGCTTTCTCAATCTCCAGGCTTCCGGCATTGGTATTACAATAAAATCCATCCCCAGAGCTTCTATTTCAGCAAGCCTGAACTTGCCTTGTGTGTGGTCATCAATCTGAATAATATACTAAAAAGTTGAACAGGGAAGTAATGTCCTGACTACTTTTTATGACCAATAGCCTTAGCACCCTTTTTATGTTGGAATGCAAGTTTCATGAGTACACTACTGTGTTAAATTGGTGTGTCTTGTACTGTCCTGTGTATGTTTTAACAAAAAAAAAATATATCTAATTTCTTTTCCTGAAAACTATTATTCAGTGCTTACAGTTCTGATTGCCTTCCAGGTGTTATCTCATTATCTTGTTTAATTCTCACACAGACCTAAATGGTGGTTGTACTATTTTTTTGCTGAAGCAGGCTTGGAAAGATTAACTGACTTGCCCAAATTAGTGACAAAACTGAAATTCAAATTGTGACCTGTTGTTGAGTTTAATTTCTGGAATGGCAAAGTAAGGACCTCCAAAAATCTGCTCCTCTATAAAAGCAACAAGTACACTGGCAAAATTATTAGGTCAACCTTTTCAGAACTCTGGAAATTAAAGCTTGCAACAATTGAAGGAGCATTCGAGAAAATTGCCTGTATTTGGGTAAGAAAAGCAAACTTTGTGGCAGTTTCAATTGTGCTAATTCCATCTACCTGTCCCCAGTACCCTTGAAAACCAGTAGCCTCACAGCTATAGTAGCTGTGAAAACTAGCAGCTTAGCAACCAATTGAGAGGGCAGGGGGTTTGGTACTTTTTAAAGCCCCATCCCCAGAGAATTGTCACTATTTGATCGGTCTGGCAGCTCACTGAAAATTTCAATTTTTAGGGCTTATCTTTGTTTGATCAGATTCAGAGTTTGCTCTGTTCTATTCCTAGGCATTTGTTAAAAACAGTCAGCAGTTGTTCAGCATCACAGGTTCCTGAGGTATTGGGGTAACAAAAGACTGACAGGCAAACATAAAGGAAAATTTGAGGAATAGAATGTCCATAGGAGTCTTTGAAAAGCTCCAACTTATTTCTGGGAACCTGAAGGGCCACACACATGTTTGGGACTGTCCACATACCCAGGCAACAACTGGGAAGGCCCTACTCTCTCACCTCTACCTGATTTAGGACTCAATGCAAGCAGGAAGTGAGGGCCAAGGCAGAGTTGTAAATTGTCTGCTGCAGCATTGATGATGTGCCACAGCACAGAGAGAGACCCCCTCAGCAAAGGCTGAGAGTCTTATTGGTTCAAAGAATGTAAAGAAACCTTATTCTAACCATTAGCTGACTACTAAACTAATCTAATAGATGAGGCCACACGCAACAAAGGATACAGACTTTACAGAATGATTCCAGGAAGGTTAGTAAACAGTAACAACAACAAATCCTGGGGAAGGAAGGAATTTGATTTCCATAGTTGTCACATTATATTATTCAAATGTCCAGTTTTCAACTAAAAATTACAAGACACACACAGAAACAGGAAAGTGTGGCCTATACACAGGAAAAATAAAAGCGTTCAATAGAAACTGCTCCTGATGAAGCCCAGACATTGGACTTACTAGACAGAGTTTAAATCAGCTGTTGTAATTATAAATATGTTCCCCAAAATAACAAAGAATTAAAGGAAAGTTTGAAAACAGTGGCTTACCACATAGAGAATATCTAATAAAGAGATAGAAATTATTTTCAGAAATAAAATAGAAATTCAGGAGTTGAAAAGTTAAATAGCTAAAACAAATCAGAAGTAGAAAGAATCATCAAACTTAAAGACACATCAATTGAGATTATTGCATATGAGGAACAGAAAGAAGAAATAATGAAAAGTGAAGAGAACATAAGAAATGTGGGACATTATCAGGTATATCAACATACACATAACGGGAATTCCTGAAGAAGAGAGAAAAAGGAGCGGAAAGAATGTCTAGAAAAACAATGGCTAAAAACTCCCCAAATTTGATGAAAAACTATACATTGAAAAATCTAAGAGATTCTAAGTAGGATAGACTCAAAGTAATATACATTCAGAAACATCATAGTTGAAAGACAAAGACATAAGAGAATCTTGAAGGGAGCAGGAAAACAGTGAATCCTCATATGCAAGGGATCTTCAATACTATTAACAGCTGACTTCTCATCAAAAACTATTAGGCCAGGGAACAGCGGGACATGTTCAAAGTGCTGTATCACTCTCGGCTGGATGTGTTATGGTGGCTCACGCCTGTAATCCCAGCACTTTGGGAGGCCAAGGCAGGCAGATCACTTGAGGTCAGGAGTTTGAGACCAGCCTGGTCAACATGGTGAAGCATGTTGTTTAGTAGAGAAACATCTCTACTAAAAATACAAAAAAATTAGCTGGACGTGGTGGCACATGCCTGTAATCCCAGCTACTCAGGAGGCTGAGGTAGGAGGATCGCTTGAAACCTGGTAGGCAGAGGTTGCAGTGAGCCAAGATCGTGCCACTGCCTTCTGCCTGGACAACAGAATGAGACTCTGTCTCTAAAAAGAAAGAAAAAAAAAAAAAATCACTGTCAATCAGTAATTCTATATCCAGCAAAGCTATCCATCAAAACTGAAGGAGAAATGTAGACATTTCAAGATAAACAGAAATGGAGACAATTCATCACAAGTAGACATGTTCTATAGGAAATACTAAAGTGTGTCCACAGGCTGAAATAAAAGGATACTAGTCAATATTTTGGATCCACATAAAGAAATAAAGAGCACTGGTAAAGGTAACTATGTAGGTAAATGTAAAAGTCAGTACAAATATATTTTTGCTTATAACTTTTTTATTTTAAATCAATAATTATAAAAGTGTGTTAGGCTTATAGTGTATACATATAATTTGCATAATAATAGTTCAAAGACAAGGGAGAGAATGGAGCTATATTGGAGTAAAGTTTCCGTATGCTACTGAATTTAAGTTGGTATTTAAATGATTGTTGGATTTCTTTTGAGGTAATATTCACCATTTTAAAGTGTACAACTTATGAAGTCCTTAAAATGGCCTAAAAAATAAAATGTACAACATAGTGGTTTTTCATACATTCACATATATGGATTTTCTTATAGTATTGTGCAACTATCACCAATGTCTAATTCCAGAATATTTGTAACATTCCAAGAAAAAGAAACCCTGTACTTCCCAATTTCTTTTTCCCCCATCCTCTGGCAACCACTAGTCTATTTTCTGCCTCTTTGGATTTGCCTATTCTGGACATTTCACATAAACGGAATCATACAATATGTGGTCTTTTGTGTCTGGCTGCTTTCACAAAGCATTGTGTTTTCAAGGTTTATCCATGTTGTAACATGTATTAGTAGTTCTTTTTTTTAATTGCTGAAAAATTCATTGTATGGCTATTTTGTTTTTTATTCATCAGTTGATGGACATTTGTATTGCTTCTACTTTTTGGCTATTATGAATAATACTGCTATGAACATTCATATATAAGTTTTTGTGTAAAGATATGTAGTCTCTTCCAACCCCAAGTTGGTGCACTGCAGGACAATTCAATTCTGACACTAATCACCTGGAGTTAGTGCAGACCTCACAAATTAAGGACTCAGTTCTCCACAAATTCAGATGCTGCCCCCAATGCAGATGCTATCCACAAGGTCAGGGGGTCCCCAGGCTACCTCTGCTTCTCACTGGCTACAACTTTAGGGGTTCCCATGATCTCTTCAGGTTCAGTAAGGAGATACAGTGCTTTGATAGGAGCCCAGAGGACAAGCACTCAACTCAGGATGGGAGTGTAAGAGCTTGTCAAGGAAGATAGCCCAGGAGCAACTTCTAAGCTGCAACTGGAATTTCTAGTCATAGGTACTAGCCAGGAAAAGAGGTTTGATAGAGTATTGTAGGCAGAGGGAACAGCATATATGAGGGCCTGGGGTGTGTATAATATAAGGAGATATATGAATTAGGAATTAATCTAAGAATTAGAGCATCAAGTATGAAAAGAAATGAAAGACTAGAAGCAGTATAATCCAGACCTTTACAGCCCATTTTAAAGAGTTTGGATTTAGGACAGAGAGTCACTATAGAAGAGCCAGATCCAAGAAAGATCCCTAAAGAACACAAAATTTTAACAAATGGGAAAGAAAAAAGTGTGTATGAAAGGAGGAGAAACTAAAGAGGCAGGAGGAAACCCAGTAGATATGGAGGGAGTTACCAAAACCAAAGGAAATGTGTTTGAAGAAGCTATATCAAATGCTGCTAAAATGTTTTTAGTCCAGGACTTTAAATGTTAAGCATCCATTAGAGTTGGTGTTATGGAGTGAGTGAGCTTCACAAGAGCTCTATCAAAATGGTAGTTGGGGCAAAAGCCAACCTTCAGTAGGTTGAAGAGTGAATGAGACTCTGGGAAGTGAAGGCAGCAGAGGAGGAGGAAATCTGGCCATGGCTGGGGGCACGGGAGGTTAGACAAAGCAAGACAGAAACAGAAAGCATGATGCCCCTGGAGGACGTGTTGGCATATGGGATAGTTTTGTTTTATGGTAGGGGAGACTTAAACACATTCAAACATTTTTGAGATCCAGAAGAGGATAGATATGAAAAGAGAAAATAATGTATTGGGCAAGATCCCAAAGAAGGGGAGGATGGGATCCAAAACACAAGGAGAAAGGATTGTGAGAATGAAAGAATGAATGTGTTCAGATACATTTGTAAGTTTGATGGTAGACAGTTGAGGATTTGCTGTCTGATGGCCTCTACTTTTTTCTGAGAAATAATAGAGACTGATACCTACTGAATATGAAGGAAGTGGTAGATTTTTTAAAGGAGAGTGCAGGAGTCTTGGAACAGCCTCAGCAAAGAACAGTGAAGCACGGAATTAGTGAGACCTAATTAGTTTCTAGACAGAGATGACGGCCCTGAGATTAAAATTTAGAAATTTACAGCAGCACCCGTCTGCTCTGATGTGATTTTCTCCATCAGCATTCCACAGCCTGAAGGTTAGTACAAGAAGGAAGAAATTTCTATTGAGTCAGGGCTATCATTTTTGCCAGGTGGGTGCATGAAAAGATAAAAGGTGGTAACATAATGGATCAAGGACTCTAGGCTGGGTAGGGAAAGACATGAAGGCAAGAGGAAAGTGAGAGACTGGGAGAAACTGTAAGGATGGGTGACTGTAAACTCCCGGGAGGGTAAGAACAGGTGAAAGTCACAGGAAGGCATACTACAGTGGAGAGTAGGGCTCAGCCCCAGCCTATTATGTTACTCAGGTTTTCAGACACTGTCCATGTGTGGCTCATTAAGTTTCTTTGATTTACCTGTTCACTCTTTTTTTTTGGCCAGTTTGCTATTTATAAGCACCTATATCCTAAAATACAATTTAGAAATCATAGCAGATAAAAATCATCACCACTAGCTATGTTTCTAGAGGAAAAAATTAGGTGTGTGACGTTTTTAAGTTACCCGTAGGCTGTTGTTTTGTTTTTGTGCTTCTACTCATTCAGAGGGCGAGCTGCCAGCGTCTGACTTACCCAGGGAGGTGCACAGGGCTGTGTACACTGGGGTCTTTCCCCTTCCTGCTCCCCATCTTCACGTGCAATCCAATTCTAAATTTCTTCAGCCAGCCCATTGCTAAAACATGAAACTCCGTAATTTCAGTTCAATTGGGATACTACCCCTCGCTCAAATACAAATGCTCTTGGGAAAGGCAGTATGTTAAGCTTTTATCAATCATTAAGACATTTGTGGTAGAGTATTTTTTGGCCTGTGTAACCAGTGAAACAGCTTGCCAAGAACAGATTTTATTTCCCCAAGGAGGAAGTAGAGCAAGAGATCCACATCTGTGGTAGGGATTGGGCACTCCAAATCATAGTACCTAGAGCTGACAGGGAGAGCCCCGTGAGAGGAGGAGAGCATTGTCCGGAGGAGGAAAACGTAACAGGGAGATGGAAGAAGATAATAGCTAATGTTAACTTCGCTATTTTTGCTCAAATCCAACCCTGTATGGGAAAACGCTCTCTCTGGCCAGGTTGGCAAGCACTCCACATGATTTGCTCTGACAGACTGGTGGCCGTGCGCCTTTCTGCCTTACAGCCCCTGTGTTACAGATTTTCTGTGACACTGCTTTTACATGTAGTGATGACATACCTTATAATCATCCTCACTGTGGCAACAGACATGCTCAGACTGGCTGTATTAAATCGTTTTAACAGTGTCTGGATTTACAGATGATGAGCGTCGAAGCTTCTTAAGATGCCCCCACTTAATGGAGTAAGACTCAGGATGACTTTCCTTTTGTGTGTTATGCTGCACAGGTGAGATGCTGAGAGGCATGTGGGATGCTGTAGTTTCTAGTTCCATTTCCTTTTTCCTATTGTGTACAAGTCTTTTATTTGGCTGGGTTAGTTACCTAGGAAACAGCTGCAGGGTACAGATGGATTGGCTGTTTGGGGAATGGAATTACAGGCCCCTTCAAGAGGCAAAAAGACCTGTTGGATAAAACAAAAATTCGTGAATGGCTGAGCTTGTATTTAATAAGTGTGCAGAAACCACATTAAGATAGCTCTACAGTAGAGAACTTATTTAATGCAGTGCGATTTTAAATTTAGCTTGTTTTTAATACATTTAAACTCACTTAATGCTTATGAATTCCACTACTGCAGGCCATTTTGGGGTTTCCAGTGGAGTGGAAGGTGCAGTTCCCTCCTCTGAAAAGCTCATGTCCTGTTTGGGGATAAAAAGAAGCTACCTTAAAGTAAGTGCATGGTTGTATGATACAGACTAAATGTGTTAAGGGAATTTAGAAGAAGTAAAAGATCTTGACTATTAATGTGGGTGATGAGTCTGAAGCTCAAGGAGGTAATTCCTTGAGGTAAAATATTAAATTTGAAGGCCTGGTGAAAGTTCGGGTACTAACAGACCTGAATTTATAAGATTTAATAGTAACAGCACAGTTAGCCTTGCAAATTCCCCCAGTCAGCTTACAGAAAATATATGACTGTGTTATAAATGTTGTCAACTTAGAGTCTCACTCAAGAAAATGAACTTTAACAATGTTGACTGACCACTGTTTGCATTAGCCCTTGCATATTTAAGGAAAGTCTATTTTTACTGAATGTGTGAGCATATTAGTTGTTGAATCTCTGACTGCTACTATGCTGAGCACGAGAGAGACTCAGCAAAATATTTGTGTATTGGCTGGGTGCGGTGGCTCACGCCTGTAATCCCAGCAGTTTGGGAGGCCGAGACGGGCGGATCACGAGGTCAGGAGATCGAGACGATCTTGGCTAACACGGTGAAACCCCGTCTCTACTAAAAATACAAAAAAATTAGCCGGGCGTAGTCGTGGGCGCCTGTCGTCCCAGCAGCTCGGGAGGCTGAGGCAGGAGAATGGCGTGAACCCGGGAGGCGGAGCTTGCCGTGATATCGCGCCACTGCACTCCAGCCTGGGTGACAGAGCGAGACTCCATCTCAAAAAAAAAAAAAAAAAGTGTATTGATTTTCTTATATACAGTATGCCTTCTGTTTGTCGATTAGCATTAGCTTTTTTTCTTCTAGAATAGAGCTGCTATTTGGTTTTGATTTATTGTGATAAGGAATTTGATAAATACAGGACTATAGCTATTCTTTTAAAGCTAAACCGTGGTCAGATTATTTGCAGTTTTATAGAAGGTGTTGAAATTTTCGTGCTTGTTCTGTTTGTAGTCACTTGGTGTGGTGTGCTAGACAGAGGAGGAGGAAAGCAATTCCACTCAGAATCTACAGGCACAGGAGGTTAAGTTAAATTTCATTTCTAACGCTGAGAGAGTAAGAAAGTCAACATAAGGATACTCAAATATTTAGAAGGAAAGTTCAGTTATGATGTACTGAACCTACAATTTTTAATGTTTACCAGCAAAAAAAATCAAATGTAAATCTAAGTTCACTAGGTATGTAGTTACCTTTGTAACTGTACAGACTTTGTATGTTAAATTGAGAAGAAAGTTGCTAATATAATAATTCATAATATTGCATTTTGTCAGAGGGTCTTTCATTGCCAGCAGTTACATCTTTTATAAATGGAACAGTGACTAGAAAAGGATAATTTGTTAACGGTCTTTTGCTGAATGATCAGGAGGAGTTTCCTGTTAAGAGTTCTCGAGCACTGCTGTGAATGCCTTCTTTATTTCCAAAATTACAAGAAAATGCCTTATCATAAGACACTCCCTCAAGTTTTTTTTTTTTTGTTTTCAAGGAGACTTTTTAGTGTTTTTGTTTAAGAACAGTCATGCAATTCCCTGGTGCCTACTCACCTCTACCAAATCCTCTCTTCTGGTTTCAAGCAATTACCGTGAAACTTAAAAGGTTAGCAATAAATAGTGTGACAATTTTTTTTTTTTACTGATTTACTTCTCTTTGGCCTATGAAGTCAATCAGCTCCAAGTAGAAGGTGGTGTGTGGCATAGTGTGTGGCATTTTTGTGAAGATTTGTGTACTTTCTGTCCGGTCTGCCTTCCTCCTGCCTGTGATAACCCCATAAGTATAATGTTGCTTGCACCTGGGCAGGGATCACCAGATGGGTATAGTTATTAGATGACTTGGGAGAAAAAGTACAGCTTGTTTATTTTCTTCTCTGCTTAACAGTTAGCATTTGGGGGAGGACTCAAACTCAACTTTGAGAGAACTGATTTCTTGTTTCATTTTATTTCAACAAGTTGCTTTATTTCTAAAAATACATCAATGGCCAAACTCAAGTTGCAGAAAAGCACCCTCCTTCCAGCAGCCCCACCTAGCCACACGTGCACGTGCACACACAAGTCCAGCCCTGCTCTGTCTTCCCACCAGGGCAGCTTCCCAAAATGCCACTAGGAATTTCACCAGTTCCCTTCACAGAAGACATTTGTTCGTGGCAAGTGCTATGATTTCGAGGTCAATGTCTTTTTTATTTTTGTGTTCATATTGAGAAAATAATGCTGGCCAGGCACAGTGGCTCACACCTGTAATCTCAGCACACTGGAAGGCCAAGGCGGGAGGATCGCTTGAGACCAGGAGTTCTAGACCAGCCTGGGAAACATAGACCCCATCTCTATAAATAAAAGAATGTAGACCAAAAAAATCCCCCCAAAATGCAAAAATCTGTTATGTTTCTAATAGCTCCAGAAATTTCCATTCCTATATTTTTGGTAACTTTTCCCATTTGCCATTGCTCTTGGAAGGGGAAACAAGTAGTTTTTATTGAGAAGTACCATTGAAAACATTCTTCTTATTGGGGAAGAAGATCAAATAATTGCTCTGTCACCTTTCTAATCTAAGTTTTTATAAATTACCCCAAATTTGATTGAGGGAGGGCCCTTGGGTTTGACATGAGAACATCCTTATGGAAAAATAATGCTTGATGTTTTACCAAAATCACTTTTATTTGAATGGGGAGAGACACTTTAAGAATTACCTTCATAATTTGCCTTTGTGATTTTCTGTGAAGCATGCCAGCCATGGTTTGGCAGTGTGAACACTTGTAAACTCTACAAAAATTGGTGAATATACCAAGTTTGGGACAGAGGGCCCTCCTAGTTTTTCCAACATTTTCTTGAGTTTAATGGAAAACTACTTATACTGTAATATTCTTAGACCTTATACCTTTCATAAACATATTGCTTCTGGCATTTAATCTATTATTTAATTTTATTTCTATATTACAATTAGGCATATTTCAGGTTTGTCTTCAATTTCCTGAAAAGTGATTTTCTTTTCAGCCAAAATGAAGTCATATACAATGAGTCTTGGATCTAGGAATCAAAAAATACCAGTTCTTTCTGCCAGCATGCAGGCTCAGTGAGGGCAGGAACCTCATCCTGTCTGCTGTTATTTCCCTGGAGCCTAGAAAAATACCTGACACAATTACTCAGAAAAGTATTTATTTAATGAATGCCTGAGTGAACTGCCTGTTATGACTTTTCTGAGGTCATTTGTTATTTTTTTAGGTTCACTTTGTATGTTAAACTAAGTATTACTACGTTATGAACTACAGCAGATGCTGAAGAGTAGGACTTAGGATGTGCTTGAATGACCCACGAAGAGATAAATGAGATTTAAGAACTAAAGGGGTGGTGGTGAGGAATATTCCCTGGACAGGCCAAACCCACTAAAGTATTCCCACCATTTGCATCTCCCCAGGAGCACTCACTGTGGGCCTCGTGCGACAGTGTCAAACAATCCATGGACGAGACCGGACGTGCATCCCTCCCCGGCTTCCCCCGGAGTGGGTCACCACACTGTTTTTTATCATCATGGGAATCATTTCATTGACTGTCACATGTGGTTTGCTGGTGGCTTCCCACTGGCGAAGAGAAGCTACAAAATATGCTCGATGGATAGCATTCACTGGAAGTAAGTAACCTGTGCTTACTAAATTTGTCTAGAAGGCACCCACCCACACTGGTATTTTTATGAAGATAATCAAGAATCAGTAATAAGGACTTCATAATCATCAAAGAGCACCACTTGTGTATGGCCGTGAGATAGACTCTACACAGTCCCATCATTTCTTCAAAACTCTTTCTGCAAGACCAGGACATCCACAACTTTAATCACTTTGTATGAAATGCTATTTTAATGAATTTTATTTTTGCTCAGATTGTGACATAAGTGTTCCAGGTTTGTGACTCAGAGTTACCAGTAGCCTGAGTCTTTTCCTCTTCTTGAAGCTATTGGTATCATCTATCAAAATAAAGATAAGTATAGAACAAATACATAAAAATATAAATTAGATGAAGGTGGAAATATTTTTTAATATTGATTTTGAGTTTCTGCTGTATGTTGTAACCATTGAAAAATCAACACATTTTGTTATTTAATAATTGTTTATCAATATTTCTTACTCCATTAAGCTCTGCCCAAGGGTATAAGCTTATATATTACACATTCTCTTGTACTTTGCAAAATTGGTTTAATTTCACAACACATCAGAGATTTATCTCAAGTTAAACAGAAGAAACAAAAATGCACAAAGAAAAGACATTTCTGCAATTCTGCTTTCGTGCTTCTTTTTCTCCAAAGCAATTTTGCACCCCAGGGGTTATTTAACAATATCTGAAAACATTTTTGGTAGTCACAACTAGGGGGATGCTGGTGGGTAGAGGCAGGGAGGCTGCTAAACGTCCTACAAATACATAGGACAGCCCCCCACAACAAAGAATTATCTGGTTCCAAGTAGCAGTAGAGCCACTGTTTAGAAATCCTGCTCTAAAGAAACAGGAGAACAATACCTATGCAAATGAGACTTTTAATTCAGTGCCTTAAAATAATCTCAGGTTTGCATACATTTTTAAAAATAAATATAACAGCTGACTTTCTCTTGATATTTTCATTTAGAACGCATATAATTGGGATAAGGGATAATCCCTTGTATCCCTATTAATGTTAAAACTCAGTTTATCCTAAAGGGCTGCAGGAGAGTGATATTCCTTCATGAGCCTCTGTTTCTTCCTGTATTCTCTGAAATTGATACTCTTTAATGTGTATGTTTCTGACTCTGTTTATCTATATTGCCCTTAATTTTTAAATTTAGATCAAGTTGCCTTTTATATAAAAAAGGTTCTCCATCCTTGTTAAGCAGAGTGAAACAAGTTGGTGACCTTTCCCCTGTCCAACAGACCTCCTGAGACAATTCTTTTCTGGAGAGAGGGTCCAGAAGCAATCGTAGAAACAGTGCGGCTAAAGTTAAGGATATTGATGAGAAATTTAAAGAGAATCTGCTTCTTTATCTTTTACTCACAGATTCACTAATCCAGATAGAAATCACTCTTCAAGGAGTGAAATAATATCAAAGAAGGATTTAGTTTCTGGATTTAGTTGAAATTTGGGAATGCATATGCCTTGAATACCAAAAACCTAAAATATGATTTAGCAAGGTAGTGTGAGTCGAAACGTTATATGCTCTCATGAGCTATAGATTCTTATGACCCAATAAAGGGAAAGAACTAGGATTATCTGTTTTCCATTCCCCTTAAGCAGAGAATATTTAAGTATGTGTAGTTGCCCCCAAATGCAATGTATTTTTTTCTTTATTTTTTAAATAATTTAACTTTTTGAAATAATATGTGCATATGATGCATAATTCAAAATCTCTGAAAGGGTAACCATGTGAAATCATATTTGGCCCTGTCACCCAGCCATCCCATTAACCCCTTTCCTGGAGGCAACCATTTTTACCAGTTTCTGGGGTTTCCTACTAGAGGTATTCAGTGCACAGAAACATATCTATTATGTGTGTGTTCCATACATACATATTTATGTAAAATTTTTTCTACTGTTCTGTATCTTGGTTTTTAAACGTAATATATCTTTGAGCTAATTTCATTTAAGCAAGCATAGAGCTCCCCCATATCCCGTGACAGCCCCACCGAGGACCTCCTGGGGCTCCCTAGTCAAACAGGTTAATGAGTCTAATGGCTCAAGGCTTCTGAGAACCTCCCTGGTGCATGAGGACCTTGAGGGTGAGGATAAGGGCTGCCTTGCTTTTAGCTTCCTTAAATACATTGTTTTTGGTACCAGAACGAGTGGCTGGGGTGACAGTTCTGAGAGGGATTGGGCGCCCCCTAGTGTTTCCACTCCACCCCTGAAAAATGTACTTTATTATGTGTATTTCTATTCCCGTTAAGCTATAGTTTTCATAATAATGTAAGGGTGATATCTTCTGATGGCCGTGCACAGTGGGGAAATATGTCTCAGAGAAGAGCCCCCACATGATGGGGGTTCCCTATGGGGGCAAGAGAAACCAAGATGAGTCGTCCTGTTCTTCAAGTTTGGCCCTTGTTCTTTCCTTTGCCACCCTGATTTCCACCCTCACCTACCAGTGCACCTGATTTCTGACTCTCGCCACCAAGAAATCTGTGCCATGGAGGATATGAAATTGTGTCTTTACAAACTTATTTAGGATCCAAAGCTCAGCCTTCAAAGTTTGATATTATCAGCATTAATAATATTTTAAGATCTAAAGTAACTTAATAGTTCACAATAGCTTAAAAGAAAAACTCATCCACCTGCATTAAATCTGCTCCCAGGAAGTATAGAGAACCTGCTTCCTTGGATTTAAAACTAAGGTTAAACAGGACTTCATTGTTCCCTTAAAATTTAAGCCTTTTCTAACAAATTTGGAAAATATTTAACTCTTGAAAATGTTAAACTCTTTGGTTGCAGAATGATTACTCCATTATAAAGGATAGATCTTTTTTAGAGTAGAAAATAGGAAATGATAGGAACAAAGTTGGCATGTCAACATAATGAACAAATTTAACATCTGCATATTCCTAAAGTACTTTTCTAAATTACTTGTTTCTTGAGATTAGTCAACATTAAGAAAAAAATTGTTTTACAACAATAATTTTGCCCCATTGTTTTTTAAATTAGATTGTGTATAGTTACCTAAATTGTGGTTTCATTTTACTCACCAGACCATATTAAGCTGTGGAACCATTAGAAATTGGTGACAGACAACACTGATAAGTGGGCATTGGCAGCACTAATAGTTATTTGTTGCTGACTATGCAACAAAAAAGCTAAAAGCTATAAAACATAATGCCTGAATTTTTCATTTGTTCTATAGTAGCTATCTAAAAAAATCCAAGTTTGCTTATGTAATATTATTTGGTGTGGTCATTTGCCCAAAATGAAATAAGCTGTAAGTTTGTATAATATAAAATAATCTACCTAAATCGTACAAGTAAGAGTGCTGTTGTTTCTTAAGCTGATGTATTACTTAAGCAAATGTTTTTTCTCATTGTATTGCTGGAGTTATTCCTTCTGGAAGGGGTTCCTAATTGACTTTTTTAAAACTCTGAAAGTTTTGTTGATTGGTTAACACACAAAAAAATGTAGAGACGAGTGTCAGCTGAAATGTTTATCCAGGACTCTGTTAGTATTGCTGGGGGATAGTTTTCACCTGGAGGTGAAAACGCATTCAGTTAATAATGGAAGGTCCAACTCTTCATGTACAGTGCCTAGTAATCTGTCCTCACATTACACTGAAGAAGTATTTCTGCCTCCAGAGAAAGTTGAAGGACAATGAACACTTGAGCAATATGCTTTCAAAAAGCAAAAATATTTTCTTGGAAAAGCTAGCCTATCTGTAAATAGTTTGTGTTCACTAAGAAGACCATTTCTTTGGTAGCACAAGGGAGCAGGCCATTTGCTGAAACACTGGACTGTGGAATCACTTTTACCCGGACATTGGGTTTTCTGATATCCTTTTAAAAACATTTTAACAAATAATATACTCCTTTGTGTTTACATGCAAAACTCAAAGAAGGTTACCTATCCTCCCTGACTTTAACCTACCTCTCTGGGTATTCAGAAACCAGACAGAGATTTTATTTTTTGGAATATTATCCATGATAAGAGATAACCACTGTGACACTTTACTAATCCCAGAGATCTGAGGTTATTTCTACTAGCTGGTTTTATTTTATTTTTATTTATTTATTTTTGTATTGAGACAGAGTCTCAGTCTGTTGCCCAGGCTGGAGTGCAGTGGCACAATCTTGGCTCACTACAACCTCCACCACCCAGGTTCAAGTGATTCTCCTGCCTCAGCCTCCTGAGTAGCTGGGATTACAGGCTTGCACCTCTACGCCTGACTAATTTTTGTATTATTAGTAGAGACAGGGTTTCACCATGTTGGCCAGGCTGGTCTCAAACTCATGACCTCAGGTTATCCGCCCGCCTCGGCCCCCCAAAGTGCTGGGATTACAGACATGAGCCACCATGCCCAGCCTCTACTAGCTGATTTTAAATCAGAGTAAGATAAGTGATGCTTATTTATATGTACCTTTTCTCCAATTCCTTCTCACTAACACTGAGAGGAACAGAGAATTGTCAGAATAGTAACTATTGTGATAATGGTATGCAGCACTCATTCAGCACTTACTGTTACCTGGCACTGTGTCAGGGACTAGACATTATTTTATTTATCCTTCTAGTATTTCCCCCATTTTCAGAAGGGAACCAGAGGCTTAAGATTACACAGCTAGTAGGCAATAGAGCTGGAATTGAGCCCCTATCTGACTCTAGCTAGTGCCCTTAATTACTATTGTAAATGGCTAGGAATCGTATTTGTGAGGATTTGGTAGGTTTGGAAAAGGACTTTCTTAATCCTGATATTCAGAATTGTCCTAAAACTTACATAAAAGCCTAACCTAGCTTTTACTGTATTGTTAGGCTTCAGGGATACTATGTGACCTGAAATATATACACATTTTTAACAAGTGGTCCATGTTTTAACAGGTTTGGCCAGCCCTTCTTACAAGCTTCCTTTGTGCCAAATTTTCATTGTTTTTTGAAATCACCAAACCATGTTACTAATGTTGTGTTTTGGTTTGTTTTACAGTGATCCTTTTCTGTATGGCTGCCCTAATATTTCCAATAGGATTTTACATCAATGAAGTCGGAGGTCAACCTTATAAATTACCCAACAACACAGTAGTTGGGTCATCATATGTACTTTTTGTCTTATCAATTTTCTTTACAATAGTAGGACTTCTATTTGCTGGCAAAGTTTGTTTACCAGGCTGATGAATGTCTAAATTGCTTGACTCTTATTATTTTTTATTTTATTTTATTTTTTTATTTTTGGAGGGTGGAGAGGACAAAGGCGAGGCATCTGAGCAGGCCTCTCATGGGAAGATGCTCAGATGAAACTGATGCTGAGAAGGAAAAAAAAATGCTTTGGTTTGTTCTCACTATGCACTTTGGATTTAAAAAAAAAAAAAAAAAGGAGAGCCTTTTCCATAACCAAATACAGACAATATTGACTAAATCTCCTGAGCATATTCAGGCAGTCAGGTCTGCACTGTGATAGCAACCTAGAGAAGGAGAATGCTTTATACCGAAAAGCATGTGGCCCTTTGTGACTCTGTTATTCCGTTTTTAATGTCTAATGATTCATTAGAGGAAAAAAAAAAGTCTAAGTATTTATGTGTCATGGTGGACCAGAGGGATGCAAGAGAAGTTCATGTGGGGCTGGCCTCACCTCCTAAGAAATTAGTGTTCACAACTTCCTTGTAATAGTATGAGCCTTTGGCACCAGAATGGATTGCCGTTGCATTACTGCACCAAGAAGCCAATAGATCAAAACTTGTTTGCTAAAATGTATGTAAAAATTCTGAAATTCCCTCTCTCTGTGTACAAAAAAAAAAAAAAATCAAACACTAAGACACATGTTTTGGGTGGGTGGGTGGGGGAAATCTTCCTTATATTTATATAAATATATATAATATATATATTTTGCTGATGCAGTATACAGTGTGTATATATGTGTGTGTGTGTGTGTGTGTATGTGTGTGTAAATTTATATACACACACATGCAAACAGTTCCTGGAAGAGAATTCTGAATGCTTTGCTAGCAAAACACTGTGGTGTGCAAACCTAGAACCCAATAGAAAAAAAAGCCATTTATCTGAAGGCTGCATAGTGGAGAGAGTCTTCAGTTTACCTCATTCTTTGTAGCAGCCCTTGATTTTAACAGGTTTTTGTAATAGGTACAGATAATCCCATACCTTTCTAGGTGCGATTTTAAGTTAAGCTAAAAATTATTTGTAGGGTTAATTTATTTGTATATGATAGTAGAAGGTAAGATCATGTCAAACCTTATAATTTGGGGAATCTGACACTATTTAAATTATTGGCAACTGTTGTCTGTTGTACAGAGATTCTTTTTCTACTGGCTCAGTCTGTTACATTAATAATGCATTTTATATGTTCAGGCACACTTTACATAAATACAAAGTTCGCTAGTAAATATCTGGCTATTTTGGCTATTTACAACACTAATTTCATTATTTTTATCTGTAAGCATTATTAATACATCTTTACCAAAACCTGAGCAATACAATATTTTCTTTATATGTTATATGCCTTTGTTTGCTAAAAGCTAATATTTTTGCATTTACTTTAAAGGGCTGTACTAAACCCACAGCTTTAAGTTCTTCCCTAAAAGAAGCATTGCAGCTAACCCTTGAACTCACAGTTTTAAAATACAGTATTTCTCTTCTCCACATCTCCATGCCTTCGCATCAATGCTTGTTTTTCCTGGTGAACACTATAGATAATCTCCTGTTTGAAATGTGGGACAGGGTGTTTCATGGCAGTGGAGCTAAGTTTCTCCTCTTTATAGTGAACTGGTGACCCAAATGTCCCTGTCATTTATAGTGAACTGATGACCCAAATGACTCCCTGTCAGTAGAGTCCCATGTGGCCCATGCTTCACACAAGCAGAAATGAACGCACTGTTTTTAAGGCTAGATTATCAGTTCTAGAATGATTACTTCAAAGATGGGAGCTACCTCCTCAGATATTCACACTATGAAATGGAGGTGCTTGATGTGTTTCACACTGGCTTGTTTGACAGTCTTCTATCTTACTGTTAATTCAGCAGTATTTTATTGTGAAAGAAAACCCCAGTGTTTGAGCTCACTCAGGAATTGGGGAGAGAGATGGACCACCACTGTGGTGCATTTCTTAAGTGTTCTGGGAGAATGTCATACTTTTCCTTCCCAGAGTAAAAGAAACCTTTGGGAGATCCTGAGGGAGACTGTTTCTCCCCAAGTATGATGATGTCTAGTCAAGTCTAAGAATACCACTGGACATGTTCTATGGACATTTGGGATTGCAGTTGCTATTCTGATTTGATTGGTCCTCAGTCAAATGGATCACTTTGAAGGAAAGCTTTGGTTGTCACCGTTATATACCACTGAGATAAAGTGTTAGCAAAGTATGGTTCAAATTAACTTATGACATGACCAAGAGCTTTTCTCTTCCAAAAGATGAATTGTATTGTAAATAGTTTCTCAAAATATTTTTAACTGGATCATGAGCATGGGGAGAGAAAGTTTCTCAGCTGCTAAGAATTTCCCCACTGTTTACTTCTTTCACTTATGGTGGTATTGCATTTAAGATTACAAAATTTAAGGTTTTATTTGTATCTATTACCCAAACCATTAAATTGTCTTTAATTTCATTGTTGTCTTGGAGGTCCAGTGCATACAGGGCTGATGGGGGAAAACTCCCTCTAGCCAGTCAGCACTCTAACCCAGGATTAAACCATCCCATCAAGTAGTATGTGAAGTCAAGTCTTCGTACTCTTGCAGACCAGACATTGAAATGGATTCATTCATATAGATTTCTATAAATCCTATAAGTGAAAAGATAGACAACTGTCCGCAGTTGCTTTTAAAAAAGGTCACTATAATAAGTACTATATAGTACAGTATTAATTTATAGCAGGAAATCGTATCTTGTAAACTGTATATAAAACACTGTTTTATGGTGCAATCATTTGTCAAACTTTTGTCTGTTTCATTGTTTTTAGAGTGTGTGCATTCTTCTCATACCTAAGAATATCACTGTAAAATCTGCTGAAAACTATTTTTAGGTTTTATTTGCACAAGACTGAATTAGTTTGACATTTTTGGAAGCTCCTATTGAACATACCCAAACATCTGTAAACATGAAAAATCTTCAATTTATTAAAAGCAAACATTTCAGTATGATTCTTTCCAAAGGTAATCCATGTTCTATGTTGTTAATGTGTGTATGTAATTTTTCTGACTCTTCCACCTCTTATAAACCTATTTTCTGTTTCATTTGTTTTGTTTTTGAAGGATGGCTCTTTTTTCTTTTTAATGTTCTAGATGACCAAAACACTATTGGTTTTTACCCTTTTGCCTAAAGCTTTGATATCCCCACTTGATGTTCTGTGAATTCACTGTTTAATCTATTAAGTGAAATAATAAATAGTCCTGGTGACAAACAATCTGTTGATTTAGAGGAAAGGCCCTGAAAAATACAGTATTGGAAACTAACTTTGCATATGCTGTTAGCTATTATTTTGCATCATGGGCTTCATGGGAAGAACATGTTGCATTTATTTTGTCTTTATTAAAAGACTACTAGCCACAAGTTACTCTGATTATAGTAACTGTTTTATCAACCCACTTCATCTTTAAAAAATTAAATTTACATTCACAATTCAAAACAGTAAGCTGTCTTTCAGAAAATTTTTGAAGGATAAAAACATGAAGGAAAAAAGTGGCCCGTGTAGGTAGGATTCCCTACACAGGACTTTTAGTTGTATCACCTCAAGAGATTTTGAAGTTTGTGATCAAGGTCTGTATATTATCCCAAACTTTATTAAGAATTGTTTTCTAATTGGTTATAACATTTTTCAATTAATAGTTTCAAAACAAATTGTTAATACAACTGTATAAAATGAACATAATTTTCCTCACTTGTATTTTTGTTATTGAGCAAGTTTATCAAAATAAATTGTCTACTAAAGAAACTAAAAAGGCTTCTATTACTTTGAAATAAGCTTCATTTAAAAAATTGATTTCTTATGGAGGTTTCACATATTCACAAGTGCCACTTCCATGCCTCTTGGGTTGGTTTTTTGTTGTTGGCATTGGGGGGTGAGGGCGGTCTTTCCCTATCTTCTTCCACTCCCACTCTTTGCTCACCGCTAGAGAAGAGATGCCATTAATATTCCAGGACGTGGATTAGGCCATGATTACCCAAGAGTCACTCAGCAATAAAAGACCACATACATGTGGCTTTCCCTTCTGCGTCATGCTTCCATGAGCTAGGAGAGAGAAACCAAGCCAAAGCCCTCAAGCCAACTATCTTTCTATTCTTTCTTCCTTGCACATAGACCCAAGTCCATCTTTGCTTCAGTCTTCTGTTTCTACTTTACTCCAGGCCAAAAGATCTTAGCTTTTAAAATCTTAAAGTATGGGCTGGAGGAGCAAATACAGAGGCCTTTAGGCCCTGTCACAGCTTAACTATAGCTCTCTCTGGGGGTGTCAAGATTAGCCCAACCGAATAATAATAATAAAATATTTACAGTTTGCTGCTGATTCTTCCTTGTGTGGCCTTTTGAGGAGCCTCCTGGGGAATTGGAGGATTAAGACATGGTAAGATTTAGATGTTCTTGGGTTCTAAGATTAAGGGGTTTCCTTGGAGGTGAGACTTGAAGTACTATGTCTGGGAAAGTTCCAGGCAAACTAGGATAAGTTGGTCACCCTACCCTATCTTCACATCATCTAAATCTTCTCCTGATTTGTAACACAGATTAGAGGTTTTTGGGGGGTTATTTTCTATAAACATTAATGAATAGGTCAATTGGAAATTGTAATGGTAGATTTATGCTGAGCTGCTATGGTGGAGGGGACACTTTTTCTATTTGGTAATACCTTAGGAAAAGGTAACACAGTGGCTTTGAAAACAACATGGGTTCAAAAATACTTTATTTTGACTTATTCTTCTATCATCTCTATTCTAGCCACTATGAGAAGATTATAGGAAAAACACCAAGACTAGAGGACTCTGGGTTCCTTTTATGCAAAGTCAACTCTTCTGGGTCACAGTTACCCAGCAACAAAAATAAAGGTAGTTATTTATAAATGGTATTAAAGATAGAAAGCACAATGTATATTTTTTAAGAGTTTTGGTTCTTTTCCCAGGAGAAGAAAACACTGTGGGTTGGTATTTTCAAGCACATTCAAGGGTTTTACAAATCAGCCCCAGTTCCAGTCACACACAATCTAAGACCACCCAAGATAACATTTCAAGAAGAGATTTTTCACAAGACTATAAAATTTCAGTGCTGGATGAAATGTCAAAGAGCATGTCCAGTGTTTTCACTTTCCAGGTGAGGAAATCGAGGCCTCAGACTTTTCCAAAGTCACTCAACTAGATATCAGCAGAGCACTCGTCTTTGACATGTGGGCCTTGGACTTAAGACCAACATTCATATTCTCTAGCCATTGAACCAGTCTTCCTTCAACTGGTCTCCATTCACTCTGATCCATCCAAATCAATTCTGCCAAGATACTCATAACACAAAAGAAAGCATATTATTTCCATGTTCACATTTCTGTCATTCCCATTGTCTACAGAATGAAATCCAAACTCCTTTAGCATAGCTTTGACAAGCTTTCGTGATCTGGCTTCAAGCTCTCTGTTCAGTCATTTCCCACCTCTCTCTCTCGTCACTTCTTACTGACAACCAGCCTGTTCTCCATTCTAGATTCACTACAACCTGCTCCCTGCCCCGGTTGTGTCTGTACCACCTCCTCTCAGTTTTAAAGTCCTCCCATATTTGAAATATATCTAATCTTTTGTGCTTTGTGTCTCTTTTTCTTATGCTTCTGTAACAGAACTTGCTAAACAGGCATAGACTGCCTGGATTAAATCTCAATTCCACCATTCCAGTTGTGTGACCCTTAGTAAATCATGTAACTTACGTGAGCCTTGGTTTTTTCATCTGTAGAATGGGACTAATAATATTACCCACTTAATGGGGCTATTGTTGGTTTAAAGGAGATAAAGTTCCAAGCACATAGTAAGCATTCAAATGTTAGTTGCTGATATTGTCATTAGTAAGTGCTTTTGTATAACTATATAAACTCTTGAATGCAAAGAGTATGGCTTCCTCATTGTGTACTCACTAGAAACCTGGCACAGTGCTTTACACACTGAATTATGAAAATTAAAGTTGGGGCTAGGTGATAAAGAAAAATTATGAAACCATATTTCCTGGAGATTTGAAAGACAGAGTCATCAATCTGCCAGGTTTGTTTCAGTGAACTTCCTCCTGAAGGCAGAGGCTTGCCTAAATCAGCCTTTATAAGGATGGTTACTTTATTAATAAGTATTTGGCTATATAATATATCAGTTCCATTGATCTCCTTAGAATTTCCCCATGGACTCCAGATCCTTTACTACTGAACTCACAGGGCTGTAACACTGTTACTGTACAGAGAGGACCAGGACGATGCCAGCACCCCGTTTATCCTGAGTGAACTCTCCGGAGGCCTCTTCAAGCTTGTGGGTTCTCTGCTGTCTTGAAGCCATCCATCCATTTGATAGGTTTTGCAAAGACTTGGTCCTGCCAAGATGGTTTTAATCATTTCTGCTAAAAGGAATGGACTCGAGGATTTGATCTCATTTTAGATGCAGTTGTCCTCACTTGGCCATTTTACAGCACTTTAGTAAATATGGCCAGTGTATTTGGTCACTATTAAATCAATCCCCATTCATTATCTGTCAGGGCAACTCAGTGAACTAAATACTATGTTCTGACCTCTGGCACTCTTTCTCATGTTGTTTAAATATTTAATATTGTCTAAGGCAATTCAAGTATTTTCTTAAATAAAAAATATGAAAACTCACTCTTTTCCATTCCTTTGTTTTCTATGACAAATGCAAAGAAGTTGAAGAACCAAAATCCTTTCCATTTTCCATAATAAATTGCTCTTTAAAAACTGACATATCTAAGAAGGCTTTTGACTACCTCATCTTCTAAATGTTTTACTAAGATAGGTAGTAAGCAGCAAAATGAACTTATTTGGTGCAGTCCCACCCTTACATGCACCACTCCAATACTTTACCTAATTTCTGCCTTCAGGGTTATCAGTAACTTTTTCCTGCCTTATGTGCTATTGTGGAGAAAGAAATTATGACCTTGAGCCGGGACACAAATTTTCTTTTTACAATAACATGTATCTGTAGATTTTTTTAAAAAACACAAAAATAATATAGGAAACAAAAAGTTCCCTCCTCCACAATCCACCTTCCAGAGATAACCATTGTTAACAGTTTATTGGGTATTTTAACAGACATTTTACTGATCAGTTTAACAAAAGCAAGATATTATCTATACCTGCCACTGCTTTTTTTTTTTGAGACAGGGTCTTGCTCTGTCACCCAGACTGGAGTAAGTGCAATGGCACAATCCTCAGCCTCAAATTCCTGGGCTCAAGCGATTCACCCACCTCAGCCTCCCAAGTAGCTGGGACTACAGGTGCATGCCACCACGGCCTGCTAATTAAAAAAAAAATTTTTTTTTATAGAGATGGGGGTCTCAGTATGTTGACCAGGGTCGTCTCCCAGTCTCCTCCTGCCTTGGCCTCCCAAAGTGCTGGGAGCCACCATGCATGCCCTGTGGCTTTCTTTTTTGACTTAATTTGTGATGTAGATTTTTCTGTGTCAGTAAATATAGAGCTTCCTCATTTTAAATGCATAGTATTCCATTTGATACATATCAAATATGTGTCTTCCCATTTTGATGTACATGAGGTTGCTTCCAGATTTTTGTTATTGCAGATAATGCTGCTGTGAACTTAGGCCTTGGATAACAAAAACTTCTCAAATGTCATAATAACCTGACATTCTAACTGAAGCGTATCAACTATTAAAGGAATTCCTATTTTCAAAAGCACTGTGGTTAAATAATAGTGGCATTCTCTACGTTTAGAGAAGGAAACTAACAGTAAATTCATGTGTTATGTGCTTTCCCATATGTCATCTTAATCCTCTACCTGTGAAGTACAGGGTGGTGTTTTATAGACTACAAAACCAAGGATCAAAAGGCTGAACACCTTACTCCAGGTTCTGTAACTAGCAACTGGTGAATCTGGGTTTCACAGCCAGGCTCCCTGACTTCAGATCTAGGACTCCTGCTGTCCTGCATTGCCAGTGTGGCTGATCTAAAGGGAATAAAAATAACTTGTCCCGCTTGCATGATTCCTTGGCTCAAACATGAGCAGCTAAATCTATGGTTTGCTTCTTCTGGATGTGGAATGCAAACAACCATAAAAGGTGGTCCCTATTTAGAAACACTTTCCACTTTGTTGAGAGAAAAAAAAAAAAAAGTAAGAAAAACCTCCCACTTATTAAGTTGTTTGTGTCAAATCTTCCATCATTCCCCTCTCATTGTTGAGCTTTCTCTTTGTAATCATTGTTCACTGGTTTTTGGGTTTGGTTTGGTTTTTGGCTGCTCACTGCAGCCTCGACCTCCTGGGCCACCATCTTCCCACCTCAGCTTCCCAAGTAGCTGGGACCACAGGCACGCACCACCATTTCTGGCTAATTTTAAAATTTTTTGTAGAGATGGGGTCTCACTTTGTTGCCCAGACTGGTCCTGAACTCCTGGCCTCAAGCAGTCCTCCAGCCTCGACCTCCAAAGTGCTGGGATTACAGGCATGAGCCACCATGCCCCAGCCTGTTGGTATTTTATAGTGCCGACTTCCTTGATGGATGAAGCTAGATGAGGGCATTGATTTTACTGGGGCCCTTTCAGGATTCCAGCACCCAGGGAAATTTTCCCAAACCAGCTGCTCCTCACCCCTACTCCCAAAGCACTTAAAACTCAACTGGATCCCTTCTACTGGACTGGTAGGAATTTACTGGTTATTGGAGTACTCTAAGTTGTGCAGAGGTTCGTGGTTCAAACATTTGGAAGTCCCTCACCCCACCCCACCCCCCGCCACCACCCACTAGTTGATCATCTGTCTACATGTTACTGCTGAGACATCAGTTGTCCCAGGCTAAATGAGGCAGTAGTTTTACTGTGTTCGTCTCACACTTGGGGAATGACAAACTTTGGTGAGCTAGGAACTCCTGTGTCTGGACTCTTCCCTGAATGCACCAAGGACCCACTTTCTCTTAGATATTGCCATCTTACCAAAGTATTGCCACCAAACATGGAACAAGTTTCTACTCCCTCTGATTTTTAGATCTCTGATTTTTTTTTTAATCTGTCTGGGAGAATATCATCTCCCCTTTGGCTTTCCTGAGAGGCATGTTTGCCTAATACCATGGTCCCTTTGGTTTCAAAAAAAAAGGCTCTTTCTTTTTGGAAAATCGTTCCTTTCCTACCTTCGGGCCATGTGGTTTCATGGGGCCAATTTCACGTTCTGGCTTCAGAGCTCGACAGAAGCCAGACTTGGACAGAGTCATGGTGACAGATTCAGAAATTAGCATGGCATGTGACTAGCCTGGGACTTTGCTGGAATAGAGTTGCTAAGTTGTAAGGAAAAGTTTGGTACTGCTGGCAGCCACACCTGAAGAGCCTCCTGATCAAGCCATCCTAGAAGAAAGGAAGCTGAGAAAGGAAGACAGTTCTGTTAACATCACTTTAGCTTTTGGATCAAGTCATCCCTGAAGCCAGAACTATCTCTGGATTCTTGTGTTATTTAAGCAAATAAATTCTTTTTTTTCCTTAAACCAGTTTGAGTTGGGTTTCTATCTCTTTTAACTGAAATAAGCTTTACACTCCCACTTTCCTCATGACATTAAACACATTCCTCACCTCCCCTGCTTTGGCATGTCACTTTAATCTTTTCGTTAGCTTAGGCTTTTACAAAAGACAGAAAAAACAGTTACTTCAGGCTACTGCTTCTCAACACAACCCAAAGCACCTGCTCCTGGTTTGAAATGGGGGAAAGAAAGAAAACAAAACAAATTAATATCTGAAATATATATCCCACCATATTCCTGGATGGGACCACGCTAGAGCTCCTAAATAAAAGACCAGAGATGAGCTGACCCTGATCCATTTCCAAGAGCCTAAGGTAGGAGAAATGTCTGTTGTGCTCTGATGCTTTCCATGGATGCCATCATGATCTGCATCCCGAAGGGAGCCAAGAAAGATGGTACCCACACAGCTTTCCTCTTGATGAGTCATACAGTCTGAAAGCCTTACTCTGCTTTATCCACCTGGCAGAGATCTATTGAGAATGTGTGTTGTGTAGGCTCAAGTACAAGAAAGCAGGAACAAAGAGTTTCCAGTGTTGGACTTTACTTCTATGCACAGTGTTGAAAACCCATGTATGCAGGAAGCAAAGAAAGGTGTGAGGGTGGTAGACGACCTGCTTGGGGCTCCCGTGCCTAAAAAAAAAAAAATGTTGTCAAAATTAGCCAGCCCCTTCCACCCAAAATTTCCATCAAGATGGGCACAAGGACCCTCATCTCTTGTTCACCGAGTAGCCATTGGTTGCTCACAGCCACTTATGACCTTCTTACCTCTTTCTGATCTTCCTCATTTTCTGCCTTATTGGTGCTGGCCACATAACAAATGCTGTGGTCTTATACATGGTGCTCTCAACCCCAGTGACCAGTGGTTGATAAGGAGTTTCTATTTTGAGCACGTTGGTTGTTTCTGACCTGGCCTATAGGCATGGCTGCTGGGGTCAACATCTGAAGGGTGTTCCCTACCATATGATGACTACCACAAGTGGCATATGTTCTTTATTTTTGAGACAGGGTCTTGCTCTGTAGCCCAGGCTGGAGTGCAGTGGTGCGATCATAGCTCGCTGTAGCCTTGAACTCTTGGGCTCAAGCGATCCTCCCACCTCAGCCTTCCAAGTAGCTGGGACTACAAGCACAAGCCACTGTACCTGACTAATTTTTATTTTATTTTATTTTTGTAGAGACAGAGTCTCACTGTGTTGCCCAAGCTGATCTCAAATTCCTGGCCTCAAGCAGTCCTCCCGCCTCAGCCTCCCAAAGTGCTGGGATTACAGACATGAGCCACCACCCAACCTCATGTTCTAACTGATAAAACTTACAAGTTTATAAAACTTATAAAATTCTCAGAAAGTGAAAACTGATTTGAGAAATGACCTGGATATGAAAAACTAAGTACAGATCCTTTAGCGACTTACAAGTTGGTTGACTTTGGTGACATCACTTTGTCTCTCTTGACCACTATAAAAGAAGGGTTTGGAGAGATTCCCAGCTATGGGCCAAGGACTAGTTACATCATAATCACCTGGGGCCATTGTTAAAAAGTCACATTCCCACACCTTTTCACAGTTCTGAATCAATCTCCTGAATGGGAATGTTTTCCTAGCAAACAATCCAGGTGATTCTCATGGGCATCCGGGCTTAGGAACCACTGTGGCAGATGATCTCTTCTGATGCGAAGAGGTCACTGAGCTTGGCTGTGTTAGCCAGGTTTAGGTGGGGCTGGACCGGGTAGGGATAGGGGACTGTCTGACCTCTCCCAGGGACTGTGTTCAGGGAACCCAAGGGAATCTGAGAAGGAAGAGAAAGTTACCACCTTTGACACATGTGGCAGAGTTCTCTGGAACCTCTCCTCTGTTCCTACCACAGGAAGGCCACAGGCACGCACCAGGGCTGTACTGGCCTAAACCATAGTTCTGTGCTGACTGAGAGGTTCTGAAATTAGAAAAGAGGTCTAAATCCTGCTTCCAGGTTTTTGTGAGGTGGAGAAAAGCAGAGTGACCTGGGAGAAGTGGTTATCAACAACACAGCTGGTGACTTCTTCCCTGGGGTGAGGAAGGTTTTCCCTTTCCCTGCCCCGAGCTGCAGTGGTGCAGTCTGTTACCTTGGAGACCAGCTAACACATTCCCGCAGGGCAAGCTTCGCTGCTGAGTTGCTTGGAGGAGCTTGGAGAAACCAGAAGTGAGATCCAGGAGAAGTAAGGCCCTGGAGTGCCAGGAGCCCTTCTCCCAAAGATGGAGAAATAAATGAAGAAATACAGGTGAGGGTGAGCATCACAAGGGTTGACAGGGGTGGTGAGAGGGTGTCGGGGAGGCCAGATACTAAGCTCTGGACTGAGTGAGAAGATCGAGGGAGCTTGGGGTGTGAAGTGTCCACTCCCTACATGCCGAGCATTGGGCTAAATGCTGGGGTGCCAGTAGACAAGGAAGTCATGGAGCCGGTCTAGGAGACAGGCCATGACAACTCCATATGACCAAGTGAAGGGGCAGCGACAGGAGGACTTCCACAGGAGGAGTGGTTTCCTCCCTGGGGACAGCAAATGGGATTCAGGAAAGACTCCTATTATTATTATTATTATTTTCACCCAATAATCAAGGTTCCCTCTCTCCCTTGGACCAAAATGCCATCTGCCATGGCCTGGTTGTTCTTTTCCTCTCCTGCAATCACCTCCCAGGGTAATTCAGCTCACCTTTGCCTAAACTCTGGACCTGCTCTGAGTGCATTTATTCAACAAATGTTTTTTGAGCAGCTACTGTGTTCTAAACTCTATTTTATGCAAAAATGTCCTAGCTGTGAACATTACTAAGTCCCGGCCCAAATGGATCTACTTCTAGTATGTTTATGTAGGAGGGGTGCGCGGGGGTTCAGACAGTAAATAACTAAATATATAGAAAATTTAAAACAAGTAGATAAGCAAATATATAGAATGTATTTACTGTTAAGTAAATAAGTGAATATATATAGTGAAACATGCTGTGGGGAAAGACAAAGCCAGGTGGAGGAGGTGCTGTTTGAGTTAAGGTACTCACAGAAGACCTCTCTAATAAGATTTCATTTGAGCAAAGGCCTGAGGGAAAGGGCTGCGTCCTGTTCATGTCTATCTCCCCAGCACCCGTTCTCTCTGGCACGCAGTGAGTGCTCTATAAATGTTCATGAAACACATGATTGTTTTTGTGTCATATGCTGAAGTGCTTGAAGATGCAGCCCATATTTTATGGTATTCTACATTTGTATAGTACTTCATATTTCACAAAGCAGTTCTACTTTCTCAATTTCATTTGATCCTCTTGATAACAGCATTGAAGTAGGCAGGTCAGTTACTGTTATCCCCATTCCATTCTAAAGATGAAGAAACCAAAGGTTCAGCACTTTTTTGTTTGTTCGTTTGTTTGAGACAGAGTCTCACTCCAACACCCAGGCTGGAGTGCAGCGATGCGATCACAGCTCACCGCAGCCTCAAACTCCTGGGCTCAAGTGACCTGCCCACCCCATCCTCCCTAGTAGCTGGGACTACAGGTGCGCACTGCCATGCCCAGCTAATTTTTGTATTTTTTTTTTTTTTATATAGAGACGGGGTCTCGTTATGTTGGCTAGGCTACTCTCAAACTCCTGGCTCAAGCAATCTCCCTGCCTCAGCCTCCCAATGTGCTGGGATTGCAGGCATGAGCCATTGCACCCGGCCCCGTGCTTTTTCTGGAGCACTATTTTGTTTTGTTTATTTTATGCAGTTCAACCCCTTCTCCATCAGCCTGCACCAGTCACCCCAGAATCTAGCCATGCAGTCCTCTGAATTCATTAAGAGCTGTTAATCACTGGCTGGAAAGAGGGAAGTGAGACACTATGGGGCGGCCAGTGTTCATGAGGCATTTCTATTTCAACAGTCTCTGCCATTAGAGTCTCCCAGGAAAGCTTGCTGAAGTAAAGCCAGTTTTTTTTTTTTTTTTAAAGCATTGCCACATTATCCTGGTGCTTCCCAGAAAACAAAGCATCCTCTGAATAAAAGATTAAAGACTTGAAAGAGAAAAGCAAGTTGCCAAACCATTATTAGGCTGTTTAATTTAATGATTTCACAAGAACACACACTCTAAGTTGCAACTTTATTCAGAGTCTCTCACTTGCTGTGTCTTAGCTGGTATTTTTTTGGTTGCAAATAACAGAAAGCTAAAGGAGCTAGCTGAAGCAAAAAAAAAAGGTAGAGAATTCTAAGAAACAGGGTATCTCATGGAACCCAAGAACAGAAAGGTCTCACACGTGCCTGGGATATATAATTAGAAATTCAAGAACCAAGGCAGGTTGGGCGTGGTGGCTCAACACCTGTAATCCCAGCACTTTGGGAGGCCAAGGCAAGTGGATCACCTGAGGTCAAGAGTTTGAGACCGGCCTGGCCAACATGGTGAAACCCCGTCTCTACAAAAAATACAAAAATTAGCTGGGCATGGTGGTGGGCGCCTCTTAATCCCAGCTATGTGGGAGGCTAAGGCAGGAGAATCACTTGAACCTGGGAGGTGGAGATTGCAGTGAGCCAAGATCATGCCACTGCACTCCAGCCTGGGTGACAAGAGCAAGACTCCGTCTCAAAAAAAAAAAAAAAAAACCAAGGGAGTCTTTCAACCTCCTGCCCCTTCACCTTCCCTTCTCAAAATATTTATCGAGTGTCTGCCAGTCCCTGCTCTTACATAACTTACAGTGTAAGGGGACAGACACACAAATTTTAAAAAATCCCTCTAATGAATGTATCGTTCCAAATTAAGATACCTGCCCTAAAAGAGCATGGTTCTATGAAAGTCTGTATAAAACAAAGGAAACTGAAATATAATGGGATGCTGGAGATTTCCTGAAGGAAGTGATATTCAAGCTGAAATGTCAAGATGATTAGGGTAGGGGAGAAGAAGAACGTTCCAGAGCAAAGACAGCAGCACATGAAAAGTCCCTGTGGTTAAAGGAACTATAGAGAATTCCAGAAACTGGAAAGGGAGGCCCTTGTGGAACACAGAGGAGAGCAGTGGTGAAGTGGGAAATCTAGAGGGGTAGGTGGGAGCAGCCAGACCTTGAGAGTCCTCAGATGCCATCTGAAGGATCTCAGTCTTCATCCTAGAAATAGAGAAGGCTTTGATCAGTTTTAAGCAGGAGGGAGAAAAGGGGGTGTAACATTGGATTTGGGTGTGGATTTTTGTTTATTTTTTAGAAACAGAATCTCCCTCTATTGCCCAGGATTGAGTGCAGTGGCATGATCATAGCTCACTGCAGCCTTGAACTCCTGGGCTCAAGCGATCCTCCTGCCTCAGCCTCCCAAGTAGATGGGACTACAGGCACATACCACCACACCTGGCTAATTTATCTTTATTATGTTTATAGAGATGGGGTCTCGCTGGTTTGCCAAGGCTGGTCTTGAACTCCTGGCCTCAAGTGACCTCCTGCCTCAGCCTGCCTCCCAAAGTGCTGGGATTATAGGTGTGAGCTACCATGCCTGGCCCCTTGATTACTTTCTATTATCCTTTTAGTTCTTTCCACACTTTCCACAATTTGTAATTATTTTATTTAGTTTTTTAATATCAGTCTCCCCCTCTAGAATATAAGCGCTGGGAGGACAAGGACAAAGTCTATCTTAGTGGTTTACAACTAGGGACAATTCTGCTGTCCATGAGACATTAAGCAATGTCTAGAGACATTTCTGGTTGTCACATTGGGAAAAAGTGAGGAGGGATGCTACTGATATCTAATAGGTAGAGGCCAGGATGCTGCTAAACATCCTGCAATGCATAGGACGGCCCCCACAGCAAAGAATGATCCGGTCCAAGAGTCAAAGTGTTGAAGTTGAGAAAGCTTTATCTTGTTCACCATTGTATCCTCAGCACCAAGCACAATGCCTGATACCTGGCAGGTGTTCAATAAGTATTTACTGAATGAATTAATTAAAGAAGAGTTGGCTGAGCACAGTGGCTCACTCTTATAATCCCATGACTTAGGGAGGCTGAGGAGGATCTCTTGAGGCCAGGAGTTCGAGGCTGCCATAAGTTATGTTAGCACCACATTACTTCAGCTTTGGTGACAGAGCAAGACCTTGTCAATAAAATTTTAAAAATGGCCGGGCGTGGTGACTCACATCTCTAATCCCAGCCTAGGTGGGAGGATCACTTGAGCCCTAGAGTTCGAGACCATCCAAAGCAACATAGTGAGACCCCGTCTCTACAGTAAACAGAAAGATTAGCTGGGCATAGTGGCTTGTGCCTGTAGTCCCAGCTACTTGGGAGATTGAGGTGGGAGGATTGCTTGAGCCTGGGAGGTCAAGGCTACAGTGAGCCATGATTGGGCCACTGTACTCCAGCCTGGGCAACTAAGTGAGACCCTATCTCAAAAAAAAATTAAACATGTAGAAAAAGAAGCATTGTGCTGAATATAGATACCCCCCAAAACTATTGTCTGTATGCCACATTTATCCTGTTTTCTGGTATTCTTTTCTTCTTTAGGAAAATAAGCATTGGGTGTTTTGCAATGGCTACACAAACTAGTCATGTCTTCCATGGTCAAGAAAATATGTTTCTGGAAAACCATTGGTAAGCATAGTTCTCTGATTTTTTTTTTTTTTTTTTTTGAGGCAGATTCTCGCACTGTCTCCCAGGCTGGAGTGCAGTGGCACAATCTAGGCTCACTGCAAGCTCTGCCCTCCGGGTTCATGCCATTCCCCTGCCTCAGCCTCCCGAGTAGCTGGGACTACAGGTGCCCACCATCATACCCAGCTGATTTTGTGTATTTTTAGTAGAGACAGGGTTTCACCGTGTTAACCAGGATGGTCTCGATCCCCTGACCTCATGATCCGCCCGTCTCGGCCTCCCAAAGTGCTGGGATTACAAGCGTGAGCCACCGTGCCTGGGCTAGTTCTCTGATTTTGCAAACGAAAACAGCAACAGCATTTTGCTCATGGGAGCTGAGGGTGAGACTGGGTAAATGGTCATTGAATCTTCTTATAGCCACCTGAGGGCTTTAGTTATCTAAATAATAAAATATCTCATGGAACTGGAGTCCACATTTTATCAGGACTCTGCAGGAATCCTTCTCAGTTACTGCACAGAAAAATGTTTCTAGAATCCTTGTAGGGACTAGGGCAAAGAGAGGAGGCACTGGGGGTATCAAACCTATGCCCAGTGCTGGGGCATTGATCAAATTACTTTATGTTTTGTAGCATTAGGAGAAACACTGGCAGAGATTCAAAGAAGCCACTAAAGCAGAAGAATATGAATGGACTTGGGCAAAATTCGGACAATGGATTATTGGTTACACATGTTAACCAGACACAGGACTTACTGGTAAAGACCATGGCACTTTAACTGGGTCGTGATACTACAAATCATTCAGAGAATGCACAGTGTGTTAAATTCTGGGGATTTCTTCCTTCTCATAGGATTCTAGGACTGAAAAAGGAGTAATTAAGCATTTATCTCTAATCCTCTGCCTTCAGAAATGACTGAAGAATCTCTATACTGTTTATATAGAAATTGTTTAGCCTATTTGGCCATGTCACTAAATATTCAGGAGCATGTGAAGACTCTGATCATGTTATCAAGGCCTGAAGTCTTAAGCATTTGATTCTAAAATTCCCCTTCCTGAGATTTGCTTTGCTTTTGAGATTCCCTGAAATCGAGATTCAGAAATCCATTTCAGGAAGTGCTGTTGGACAAATGGGGTATGATAGGAGAATAAACCTCTGACCAGACTACGATTTTAGGCTGACCTTCAATGTGCCTTCCCAAGAGGGTGAGTGGATTGTCTAGAACTCAGAATTCATTCTACCAGGGACACAGTGGCAATCAGTGGTTGCCATGTTCAAGCAAGGCTAGTGCACAACCATGTACCTAACCCACACTAGAGTTTAAATATGATACCTTTGAAATGATAGTCAAAAACAATACAGGTATAATGCTGGCAATTAAACAATCAGAAAAATACTCATGATTTACTTAGGTTCTGGCACTTACAGGAAAGCAAGCTTAATTAAAGGAGACGAGGAAAGGTTGATAGAGTTTTGAGATTCTGAAGAAGTCTTGTAATGGGTTCAGATGTTGATGACATGCATCTTTCCTCTAATTTTATATGAAAATGCATGACTTCCCAGGTGTAGACAGGATCATTCTTATATTTATCAGCCACAGCTGGGGCCTCCTTTGCCTTGCAGATGAACCTGAAGGAAAGAGGGAAAGGATTGCTCCAACACGAAGATCTTACCATTCTCTATGCAAATGAACTAGTAGAGTTACATAATTAGCATGGCCTAAAGTCAAAATCCATAATGTGTTTAATAGTGTATCTTCAAGTATGAATAATACAAAATCTGTGTCCTAAAACATGACATCATTTGAAAAGCAACACAGATGGAAGAAAGGTGAATTATTAAGTCCACCATGCTCACCAGGCACGGTCGTTCACATCTGTAATCTCAGCACTTTGGGAGGCCTAGATGAGAGGATCGCTTGAGTCCCGAAGTTTGAGGCCAGCCTGGGCAACATGGTGAAACCCTGTTTCCACAAAAAAAAAAAAAAAAAAAAAAAAAAATACACAAATTAGTGAGGTGTGGTGGCACGTGCCTATAGTCCCAGCTAATTGGGAGGTCTAGGAAGGAGGATCACTTGAGCCTGGGAAGCTGAGGCTGCAGTAAGCTGAGATTGTGGCACTGCACTCCAGCATGGGCAATAAAATGAGACCCTGTCTCAAAAGAAAAAAAAAAAAGTACCATGCTCGGTGTTTCCAACCAGGGGGAGGGTTGAGTCTGAAAGGTGAGAAGAGTGACATCTAGTGTCCATGTGATAGAGAGCTGTATTTCCCTAGATATGCGACAGGGACCTATGATTTTAGGTGCCTTTCAAGGGCAGGACATTTGTTAGCACAGAATCACATAATGAGAAAGTAATCTTGCCCGTCAGTCCTCTCACTCCTTCATGGAGGTGGTCACAGTTTGGTGCTAGTTTAGAGGGACAACATAGTGCCATGGTTAGAAGCATGACTTGAGCTTTACAGCCTGGGTTTGAATTCCACATCTGCCACTTTCTAGCTGGATGACCTTGGACTGATTACCTAAATTATCTGTACCTCAGTTCCCTGGTCAGCAAGATGGGGTTATCATAATGGAACCCACTTTGTAAAATTAAATGAGTTAACGTACGGAAAGTGCTTAACATGTAATAAGTGCTATCTAAGTATTTGCAGTAATTATGAGAGTGTTTTTCACACTTCTTCAACACTTGCTAATTTCCCTTTGAGACAGACAGCCCAGCAGGCCTCAGGCACAGAACTTAAGTCAAGGTCGCTTGAGCCCAGAACTTCGAAGCTGCAGTGAGCTATGATCACACCGCTGCACTCCAGCCTGGGTGACAGAGTGAGGCCCTGTCTCTAACACGGACAAACCAGGGGGCTGGGTACAGCAGCCCATGCCTGTAATCCCAGCACTTTGGGAGGCCAAGGCTGGTGGATCACTTGAGGTCAGGAGTTTGAGACCAGCCTGGCCAAAATGCCAAAACCCTGTCTCTACTAAAAATACAAAAATTAGCCAAGCGTGGTGGTGCATGCCTGTAATCCCAGCTACTCGGGAGGCAGAGGCAGGAGAATCACTTGAACCTGGGAGGCAGAGGTTGCAGTGAGCCAAGATCATTCCACTGCACTCTAGCCTTGGTGACAAGAGCGAAACTCCGTCTCAAAAAAAAAAAAAGATAGGGTCAGTCTGAGTTGGCGCCCGTTGGGTATCTGTGTGAAGGGAACCTCTTCCTTCCCTCTCTTTCCACTTCACGGTTTGACTCTGGCTTTTGTCTTGCAGAGGCTGCAGGGGAGTGAGACCCAGTCTTCAGATTGGGAGGACTCTGAAGACTGGCTTTCGGCTCACAGTTTAAAATGTCAGAAACTCACCTTGGCTGACCTGATAAGCCAGGGCACAGAAGTGCTGTAAGTCTGAAGCTGTTCCCCGCACCCCCCACAGCTGCAGTGACACATGCAACCCCCTGGGCCCGAGAGATCCCCTCATAAGGCTTTGCTTCTTCAGGGAGGAGGGCACCAATGTCGTGCAGAAAATATGTTTCTCCACCCAGATCATCCGCCATTTTGAGTCAAAGCTTTCTGAGTAAGTATGTTTCTCACTGTCCTCCCAACACCACAGAACTCAAGAATTATGTCATTTCAGTCCGGGCATGGTGGCTTATACCTGTAATCCCAGTACTTTGGGAGGCCGAGGCAGGTGGATCACTTGAGGTCAAGAGTTTGAAACCAGGCTGGCCAACATGGTGAAATCCTGTCTCTACTAAAAATATTTTTTTAAAAAATTAGCCAGTCCTGGTGGTGCATGCCTGTATCCCAGCTACCCTGTAGTCTGAGGCAGGAGAATCGCTTGAACTCGGGAGGTGGAGGTTCCAGTGAGCTAAGAACACACCATTGCACTCCAGCCTGGGCAACAAGAGCATAACTCTGTCTCAAAAAAAAAAAAAAGAAAGGAAAAAGAAAAAGAAAGAATTATGTCATTTCAGTAGCCTGGAAGTAACTTTGTTCAAACAGCAATCTCTGTGGGACCTTGGGCAATAGAGTGGGACCCTGTCTCAAAAAAAAAAAAAAAAAAAAGGAAAAACTACCACTCAGGGAGATGAGCATGTCTCTTCCCACTTCTAGCCCCAATTTCCCCTTTTCTCAAATAGAAAGGTTGGACCAGATCAGTGTCTCTCAGCCTTTTCAAATCCATAGTCTAGGGCCAGGCATGGTGGTCCATGCCTATAATCCTAGCGCTTTGAGAGACCAAGGTGGGAGGATCACTTGAGCCCAGAAGTTCGAGGCTGCAGTGAGCTATGATCACACCACTGCACTCTAGCCTGGGCAACAAAATAAGACCCTATCTCTAAAAAAATATAAAATGAAATCCATAGTCCCTTGGATGACACAGCTTCATCTGGTGTTTAATGGTTAAGAGTAATGACTTTCAATGTCAAATTGATTGCGTTCATAACTTTGCAAATATATGCCAAAAACATGCATGCATCCCCACTCCTAAACCAGATTTTGATAGCACATGTGTATTAGTCCATTTTCATGCTGCTGATAAAGACATACCCGAGACTGGGCAATTTACAGAAGAAAGAGGTTTAATGGACTCACAGTTCCACATGGCTGGGGAGGCCTCACATTCATGGCAGAAGATGAAGGAAGAGCAAAGGGACATCTTACAAGGCAGCCAGGAAAGAGAGAATGAGAATCAAGAGAAAGGGGTTTCCCCTTATAAAACCATCACTCTCAAGCCAGTTAACCAAAAGTCAATTGCTGAATGGCCATTCATGGAATGACCAGTTGCTCAAATTTCTCAAAACCATTTAACTGTAGAATTTATAGTAACTTTTATTAGGTTGGAAGCTTAAACAGGTTTTAAAGAATTCTGCAATGTCTTGGTTTATCAGTTTTAATTGTGAATCCAGTATTTTAAGGAATGTTCAAGTCTATTTAGCTAACTGGTCATTTGGCAAATTGATTTTCAGAGGACTGGCTTTCAGTAAATTGACTTTTAGCAAATTGACTTGGATAGAATCCTGTTGTTACCTTCATGTTGGAGATGGTGAAACTGGGGCTCAGAAAGGTTACCACACCTGTCCAAGGTCACACAGCTAGTAGATGGCAGAGCTGTATCTCAAACACAAACATATTTTATTATAAAGCTCATCTTCAGCTGGGCACAAGTGGCTCACACCTGTAATCACTTTGGGAGGTCAAGGCAGGAGGATCGCTTGAGTTCAGGAGTTCAAGACCAGCCTGGGAAAAATGATGAAACCCCAACTCTACAAAAAATATAAAAATTAGCCAGGTGTGGTGGTGTGCATCTATAGTTCCAGCTACTTAAAGGCTGAGGTGAGAGGATCACCTGAGCCAAGGGAGGTTGAAGCTGCAGTGAGCCATGATCGTACCACTGCACTCCAGCCTGGGCAACAGAGTGAGACCCTGTCTCAAATAAAAAGAAGAAGAAGATAAAAATAAAGCTCATCTTCTTAGCTCTATTCATAACTCATGTATCCCTTATGACTCTATCTACCACCCACTGCCCCATGATCTCATTTCCAAAGACCTTTTTTGTCCCTCTCTAGGCCCCCAAATCTCACCTGCCCCCAGTAAGAACAAGTCAATTAAATTAAAGTGACCTAGTCCTTACCTTGTGCATATGATATATGCTAGTCTTCAACCAGTCATTGCAAGCCAGGCATGCAATAAGGCAAGTTCAAGAAGGTCCCCCAGCTACTTTTCAGAAACTAGGTTTTTTGTTAATCAATCCAGTAGAAACGATTGCTTAACTGCCTCTGTTGTGCCTTTATGATCAGTTTCCAGGAGACTAGGAACAATTCCTTCTGAGAAGACACAGATTTGAGCAAGTGCAAGGGTGGTCTTCCAACTTTCTCGTAAGAACACCCTCCCCCACCCTCCACAGACCTGCCCTCACCGGGCAGAGTGAGCACAGAGTGAGTGAGCTATGTGGAGAAAGGAGACGAGGTTACATGAGCAGGTTGAAGTCTGGGAGGGCCTGATTCCACCCCTTGATCCACCAAACCGTTGTCATTTATCCTGTGCACTGTGTCACCAATAGAGCAGCACCTATACACTCGATCCCTTTCACAATCTCCTTATACCTAGTGCCCTGGCAAACAAGTATCTTCAGTTTTGTCTTTCCTCGATTGTGCCCAGGCTTGAGTGCAGTGGAACAATCATAACTCCATGCAGCCTTGAACTCCTGGGCTCAAGTGATCCTCCCACCTCAGCCTCCTGAGTAGCTGGGACTACAGGCATGCACCACCATACCCAGCAAATTTTTTTATTTTTTGTAGAGACAGGGTTTCACTAGGTTGCTTAAGCTGGTCTTGAACTCCTGGCCTCAAGTGATCCTCCCACGTCAGGCTCCTGAGTAGCCACGACTACAGGCGTGCACTACAGTGCACCTAAAAGGTTCACCACCTTCTTCCAAGAACCTATGCACATTAAAAAAAAAAACAATTATTCATACCTGCCTTTTGTGTATGTAAGTGGCTGTTGCTCAGTGATGACGCTGGCCTTGGGTGATGAGTCTTTCTGATGTCTTGACAGCACTATTGAAGTCTATCAAGAGAGAATTCAGTGGCTCACAGAAAACAGCAAGAAGGTAACGGGCATAGATTTCATTCTTTGCCCCCTTTCACTCATTCCATTTGTATTTGTTAGAACCCTTTCAGTTGCAAATGTAGACCTCCAATATAAATTGCTTAAGCTAAAAAAAGGCATTTACTAACCTAAGTAAATGAAAACCCCAGCCACAGCTGGATCCAGGTGCTCAGATGATGTCACCTCTATGCCTGTGGGCTCTGCTTTCCTGAGTTGGTTTTATTCTCAGGACATCTCTCTTCAGGCATAGGAAGGTGGTGATCAGCAGCTCCAGTAAAAAGGAACTTCACTTCCTGTTCCCTGCACAACTTCCAAATCCTGGGACTGACTCTCATTGACCAATTTACACCAATCATCATAGCCAAGGAGATGAAATATACTATCACTATTTGACTAGGCCTGGAACTAGTGCTGACTTCTGGGGCAAAAATAAAATAAAATAAAAGACAGGGGGGAAGGGGAAAGAGACTGGATTAGCCCCCCAGCCCTCATGGACTGAAAAAGAGAGACAGATGGTTGCATGTGGAAGGCCAGAGCACTGTTACCAGAAGGGGGAATGGGTGCTGGGCAGGTGAGAATGCAGATGTGCACTGGGCATTTGACTTTAGACCCGCAATGAGATTTAGAAGACTAAGGCTGATCATCTGGATATCACTTTTCTTAAAAGTTTGATTAAGGGCTGGGCATGGTGGCTCAGGCCTGTAATCCCAGCACATTGAGAGGCCTAGGTAGGTGGATCACCTGAGGTTGGGAGTTCAAGAGCAGCCTGGCCAACATGGTGAAACCTCATCTCTACTAAAAATACAAAAAATTACCTGGGCGTGGTCGTGCAAGCCTGCAATCCCAGCTATGCAGGAGGCTGAGGCAGGAAAATCGCTTGAACTCAGGAGGTGGAGTTTGCAGTGAGCCGAGATCACGCCATTGCACTCTAGCCTGGGAGACACAGTGAGACTCCCTCTCAAAACAAACAAACGAAAAGAAAACCCACAAAAGTTTGATTAAGGGCTAGGCATAGTGGTGCACACCTGTAGTCCCAGCTACTTGAGAGGCTGAGGCAGAAGGATTTCTTGAGCCCAGGAGCCTCAAGGCTGCAGTGAGCTATGATTTTGCCACTGCACTCCAGCCTGGGCAACAGAGCAAGACTTGTCTTTTAAAAAAAAAAAATTTTTTTTAATTAAATGTTTTTCTCAGAACCCAAGGGTAGAAGAGTGACCATGGGCAAATGAACACTTTGATTTGCTTTCTTGTTTGTTTTAGCTTAATTGCCATCAACTGGCACTTTTCTGGCTTCCCGTTTGCTTCCACCTTAGGCACAATCTTCAGCTCTTGCCTTAAACCCTGGGAAAAGCAGATGCTAAAAGTCATGCTCCCTACTCCCAGTCCCCACCTCTACCCAGATGCAGATGCTAAAAGTCATGCTCCCTACTCCCAATCCCCACCTCTACCCAAGACTAGTGGGTAACAACATAGTGCTAAGCCTGCCTGTCCCGCCAATTCCAGGCTGTGGTCTTCACCTCAGATCCAGAACCTCCTTCACTTGCTTGGACGAGTTGAGTCAACAGATGCTTGTCTGCAGCTATAGCTGGACCCCTCTGGTTGCCCATGGTAACAGGCAGAGAGACCCCACGGGAATGAAATCCTCCCATACTCCATAGGCATCCACGTAGGGCATGCTGCTCTCACCCCCCGACCTCCACTACCCCATCCTCGCACCTTTGTCAAAGTGGGCGGGGATTGATAGCCCCTTCATCCTGCCACCCCTTTCTGACGGAGCTACAGAGAAACCATGGAAGAGCCCAGGGAAACGATCACCTGTAAATCAGCTTACCAGGTCCCTGGGTGTTGAGGCAGGCAGCCTGAGGTGATGGCCAGATAATCGCTGGTCCCTGTTCCTGTTCTGCTCTGTCACTAAGGCCCTAGAAAGTGGCCTCGCTTCTCTGGATCTGTGTCTGCAGAGGATAAAAGGAGAAGTTATAAACTAGTGGCATGCAGGCCAAATCTGGCCCACAGCCATTCTGTTTAGGCTCCCTAATTTTAACTATTTTTCAAATTAGTTGCCAAGATTTTTTAAATCCTGGTATTTCACTTTTATGTCTGCTATCAGACTTCTCTTGAAAAATGAGAATATCTGGTATTACCAGGCTCCAATTGCCTCTTATGTACTTGTCCAGTTATTTCTATGGAATAAATGTCTAGAACTTCAATGGCTAGGTTTAGGGAATGAATGTTTTCAATTCCAAAAGCTGTAAAGCCCTCATGGCAGCTTGTTTTTAATTTAAAAAAATAGAACTGGCTCTAGATTTCAACTTCTTGCCTCCAGATTGGCAATACCCTAGAATATTTGGGTCATGAATTCAACAAACATGTATTGAGTGATTATTGTATATCAGGCACTGTTCTAGGATTGAGACTACCAACATGACCAGTACTTGCTGAAGGAATGGTTCGCTGTCGGGGGAAAAAACATGACCAATACTAAGGTCCTGCCTTCATGGAGCTTACGTGCTGTAAAAAGAAACAAAGCTGAGTAAGGGAACAGAGGGTGGAACAGGACTATTTAAATGGAATGGTTGAGGCCGGGCGTGGTGGTGCACACCTGTAATCCCAGCACTTTGGGAGGCCGAGGCAGATGGATCACTTGAGGTCAGTAGTTTGAGACCAGCCTGGCCAAAATGCTGAAACCCCGTCTCTACTAAAAACACAAAAATTAGCCAGGCGTGGTGATGGGCGCCTGTAATCCCAGCTACTAGAGAGGCTGAAGCAGAAGAATTGCTTGAACCCAGGAGGCAGAGGTTGCAGTGAGCCGAGATCGTGCCACTGCACTCCAGTCTGGGAGACAGAGTGAGACTCCCTCTCAAAAATAAAATAAAAAATAAATAAATGGAATGGTTGAAGATACTCACTCTGAAGAGGAGGCATTTGAACAGGCACCTAAAGAAAGTGTGGGGGTAAGCCCTACCAATATCTTGGGGAGAATGTTCCAAGCAGAGGAGACAGCAAGTCCAAAAGTCTTGAGGCAGGAACGAGCTTGGTATGTTCCAGAAGCAGCACATGGGCCAGTGCAGCAAGCACAGAGTGAGCTATGTGGAGAAAGGAGATGAGCTTAGATGAGCAGGTTGAAGTCCGGGAGGGCCTGATTCCAAAGCTGAGGGCTTTAATAAAGCAGGGGAGTGACCTGATCCAACAAGTTTCAAAAGAATCACGCTGGCTGCTGCATAACTTGACTGCACAGGGGGTAAAAGTGGAAACAGGACAACCGCTCTGGGCGAGAACGATGGAGGCTTGGACTCAAGCTCTAGGGTCGACAGAATGAGATATGGTAGATTCAATGCATGGCTGGAAGGTAGGACCAGCAGAACTTGCTGATGGATTGGATAGGTCTGGGGCCAGAGTGCCTGGGCCAGTGTTGAATGGCATTTACTAAGATGGGGAAGGCTGAGGGAGAAACAGTCTTGAAGAAAACTGAGAGGTCTTGTTTTGGACATGTGAGGCCTGAGGGACTTAGCAGACATCCAGACAGAGAAGCGGAGCAGGATGTTGGGTGCACAGGTCTGAAGTTCCAAGAGAAATCTGTTTGAAGATGGACCTCAGATAATCATTTAGCATTCAGATGGTATTCAAAGTCATGACACTCAGATCACTTAGAGAGTGATCAAAGAACAGTGGTTCTCCACCAGGGGTGATTTTGCCCCACGGGAACATTTAGCAATGTCTGGAGACATTTTAGGTTGTCATTGCTGAAGGAGAGGGGTTGTTACCTACATCTAGTTTATCAGCAGCCAGGGATGCTGCTCACCATCCTGAAATGCACAGGACAGCTCCCTACAACAGATAATTATCCAGCCCAAATGTCAATAGTGCCAAATGCCAATAGTGCCAAATGTCAATAGTGCCAAAGTTGGCAAACCCTGGGGTAGATAAAGAAGAGAGTGGCCAGGCACGATGGCTCATGGCTGCAATCTCAGCACTTTGGGAGGCTGAGGCTGAAGGATCTCTTGAGGCCAGGAGTTCAAGACCAGCCTGGGCAATGCAGTAAGACCCTATCTCTACAAAAAATTTTAAAAAAAAATAGCCAGGTGTGGTGGCACACACCTATAGTCCCAGCTACTTAGGAGATTGAGGCAGGAGGATCACTTGAGCCCAGGAGTTCCAGGCTGCAGTGAGCTATGATTGTGCCACTGTGCACATGGAAGCTCTTGTTAAAATAAAGACTCTAATTAGGTAAGCCTGGAGTGGGACCTGAGACTCTGCATTTCTAACAAGCTGGGGGATGGTGATGCTGTCAGCCCATGACCCACACCTTCAGAAGCAAGTTCCTAGGGCACGCCAGTATTGTGACTTTGGAACAAGGAGGAGGGGCTCTCTAGGAAAGGAAATTAAGAAAATATGGCCAGTGAAGAGAGGGGAAAGTGGGAGAATATAGTGTCCTGGAAGACATGTGTACTAAGTGTTTTAATTTGTTAAATTCTTGACACAGTCAAACTGTGCTATATGCTACTCAGAGTTCGGGAAAGTCAAGAATTTGGATTTAACCCTTGGGCTTGGCAAGACAAAGGTCATTGATCACCTTGACATGTGTGGTTTCAGAGGAATAGGAAGGTGAGAACCTAACTTGAATGGGTCCCCGGGAGGTAAGGATGTGTGGCTAAGATGGAGAGCAGAAAAATTAAACAGCAGGAGGAAGAGGTAGCATACTGAGAGATCTATATCTTTTTTAAGATGGGCAATATTATAACCTGTTTGTATGGTGATGGAAATTGTACAATCAATAGGAATGGATGATCCAGGAGAAGGGATGATTACAGAAGCAGAGTTCCTATTTAGCAAGAGAAGATCCAGTAATGCAAGTCAAATGTTAGCCTAGACCATTGCTGGTTGGCCTTAGATGCATTTTAACTGGAAAAAGGTGAAGTATGTAGGGCTATGGGCTGGTAGGTCAGTAGACTCTGCATGGAAAGATTTTTTTTAATTCTCTCCAATTTGTTTTTGTTTTCTCAGCAAAATTGGAGGCAAAATCACTTGCTGGGAGAGTACAGAAAGGGAGTGCTGGAGGTGTGAGAGGAGATGTAAAATACTCTCTGAGAGCAGAAGAGTGAATTCAACAGGAAAATTAGATATCCAGTAAAGTAGGATTTAAGGAAAAACACCGAATGGAACCTACTGCCCCTAGAGAACTATCAATTTCATGTGAATGAAAGTTCCAATCCACAATGCAGCTATAACAAGATGAACATTTATGTGCAGAGTCAAACAGCATTGACAAGTAATACAGACAGTCCTTGACTTAGAATGGTTCAACTTAGGATTTTTCCACTTATGATGGGTTTATCAGGACGTGGCCCCATCATAAGTCAAGGAGTAATAACTGTAGAGTAATACCGTTTAGAAACATAATTAGAAATTTGGATGTGGTGGCACATGGTTGCTTGAGCCCAGGAGTTCGAGATCAACCTGGACAATATAGCAATATGCCATCTCAAAAAGAAGAAACAAGAAACATAATTAGCAACTCAGAGATACCATTGCAGCTGGCGAACCTAACACATCTGTCTTTGATTGATAGAGTAGGCAAAAAATAAATAAGGATATAGAGAAATTAAATCAGATAAGCTAATATAAATAGCCATCAAATTTTATATCTTCAAACAAAGGGTGCTTTTCTATAGTCTCCAGATTTTCTACAATGACCATGTATTACTTCATAAGATTAGACAATAAATATAAGGGGAAAAAACTTATAAAGAAGAGGCTGCCACAAAATAAGAGCAGATCATGCCCAGAGCTGAAGTCATGACATTGGGTTTTGCTTTTCCCTTATAAAATGAGGTTTCCATCTGCTGCTGCTTGTTAGGGGTGAGGAAAGTGTTTGCATCACTGCGTGGCACAGAGCAGCTCAGTGTAGGAGACACACAGACTTGCACTGGCTGTTTCCAAATGCCCTCTTTGGTTTTAGGCATTTGGCCTCATCAAAGGGGCCAGAGTCAGCATCCTCATAGATGTGTCAGCCATCAGCAGTGGCCCTCAGAAAGAAGAGTTCCAAAAGGACCTCATGGTAAGTCTGTCTGGCACAGAGAAACACCTGGAACCACCCACTACCCCCAGCCTTTCCTTCCTGAGCTTGCTGACGAGCTTGTTTATAGCAAATGCAAGATAGGGTGTCTTATAAAGAACAGTTCACACTTAATTAGCACCTGTGGTTAGAGAACTATGTTGAATTCTACAAAACCCAACCACAGAGTCATTTTCAGTTGTAGTGTGAACTTCCAGTATTCTCACCACGACAGTACCTGCCAACTAGTCTTTGACTCAAGAGCTCCCACGTTTCCCTGGAAGGAAGATGTGAAGTCTCCTGCATAGCATAGCACAGGGCTTCTGGCCTTTTCTGGATGGAAGAGCTATTCTGGTTTCTTTGGAGTTATGGTTCCCATTGGATACTCACCAGCTCTAGTTTGAGAGAAGTGAACAGGCTGGTGTTGCTCATTGCTCCATCCCCAACTCACATCCATAGCAGAGAAGCTAAGAACTAGAGTCAGATGGCTGGAGTCAAATCCCAGCCACCTCCACCAATTCCAGGCCATGTGACTGCGTTAACTAATCTCTCTGTGCCTTACTTACCTCCTCTGTAAAATGGGGATGATAACCCTAAGTGGCTACCTAGGGTTGCCATAAGGGTAAAAGGAGCTTGTGCAAGTGAAGTGCTTAGTGAGAAGTCTGGCCTAGAGAAAAAGCCTCTGCAGCGTGATGTGATGTGGACAGGCTATTTTCTTACGGGTACCATGGCAGCAATAGCCAGTTGTATTTTGTACAGGTCCTGCAGAGCCGTTATGAGGCTCAGTGTGGGGCTGTCCTCCAGACTTGTCCCCTGTTCCTGGTCTCAGTGGATGTCAGGGGACAGGTGTCAGAGCAGGCTCCCCCTTCATGACAAGTCCTCAGGACGGAGTTTCCAAAGATCCCCCAGGTGGAGTGGTCTACTATTAGCCAGGGCAGAGCTCATGGGGGTGGCATACAGGTGGAATTTCTAGCTGGCCAGGAAGAAGAGGGAGAAGTTATGGATACTCTCCAGCTCACATGCCTTAGAGAGAAACCTCTGTCCTCCCTCTCTGGGTGCCACAGGTAAGTGCCAAGGGTCCAGCAATAGCACATTCTGAGATGGCAGCCCAGATGCTCATCCCACCCACAGGAGGCCCGGCAGGCAGGAAGCAAATGTCGGCTTGGGGCTGGCTGCTAAGCCCAGCCTCGAGCAGCCCTATTCAGTACAGCTCACACCCAGCCCAGAGGGGCCAGCAAAGGCCAGAGAGGCAAAGCCAGGCTCCCGATTCCCCTGGCTGTGGGAGCCAGTGATGTCCTTTTGTCCAACAGAGCCTCATCGATGAGCAGCTGAGCCACAAGGAGAAGCTGTTTGTCCTGTCCTTTGGCACCAATGCCGGGTCCCTCTGGCCAGACCCCATGGAAGTCAGCGCCTCCACGTGAGTGGCTTTCCTACCTGACGGTGATGTTCACTTGTTCATTTTCCTCCCTAACCAGCAGAGTCTTTATTGAATAATTCAACTGCAAACCCCAGGACCCTACTAGATAAGTGAGTACAAAGAGACAACTCACAAAAGCAGAAACAATTTTTGGAAAGATGTCTACCCTCGTGAGCGGTTCATAAACTGACAGATAAGGTGACCACAAGACACTATTTTTATCCAGCAAAGTAGCAAAGATAGTTTTATTATTGTGAAAATAACACATGCATGTTTTTTAAAAATTCCAACAGTATGAAAGGATGATAAATAATAGCAAATGAGTCTCCCTCTTTTTTTTTTCAAGACAGGATCTCATTGTGTCTCCCAGCTTAGAGTGCAGTGGCACAATCATAGCTCATTGCAGCTTTGACATCCTGGGCTTAAGCAATCCTCCCACCTCAGCCTCCTGAGTAGTTGGGGCTACAGGCATGTGCCACCACACCCTGCTAAGTTTTTATTTATTTATTTAGACAGGGTCTCTGTTGCCTAGGCTGGAGTACAGTGGTATGATCTCGGCTCAATGCAACCTCCACCCCACGGGTTCAGGTGATTCTCATGCCTCAGCCTCCTGAGTAGCTGAGATTATAGGCATGCACTACCACGCCCAGCTAATTTTTGTATTTTTTGGTAGAGACAGGGTTTCACCATGTTGGCCAAGCTGGTCTCGAACTCCTGACCTCAAGTGATCCACCCACCTCAGCCTCCCAAAGTGTTGGGATTACAGGCACGAGCCACCACACCCAGTCAGTTTGTTTATTTTTGTAAAGATGGGATCTCGCTATGTTGTCCAGGCTGGTCCTGACCTTCTGGCCTCAAGTGCTCTTCCAGTCTTGGCCTCCCAAAGTGCTGGGACTACGGGTATGAGACACTGTGCCTGGCCCAAAACAGTTCCTTATATCCACTTCCACAAATAATCTTTGCACACACATGCATCTGTGTGTTTACCTTCTAATTTTCACATAAATAGGACCTACATAACACTGCTCTGTACCTTGGCTTTCTAGCTGGTCTTGAATTTCTTTCTCTGTCAGTGCATACAAATCTACCTCATTTGTTTTAATGGCTACATAGAATTCTACTGCAGGGATGTCTTTTAGCTGGGGGTTTCTAGCCTGGGGTTTTTTTGAGGGACAGGAGGGAGGTATGTAAGAATTTCTACTTATCCAGTGAGTAGAAATTTATTTTCCGTGAAGGGAATGTCCTCGATTGCCCACCATGTATTGGTTACCATACTAGGTACTTTGCATAGATGATTGTATTTAGTATATAATAGCCACCTCATGGAATAGGATTATTATCCTCATTTTGCTGATGAGGAAATGCAGACTCAGGTTAGGGAAGATGCCCAAAGTGGTAGAGCCACGATGGGATTCCAGATCCCAGGAAAAGGCACATGCTTTGGCCAGGGCCAGTTGCTCATGCCTGTAATCCCAGGACTTCGGGAGGCCAAGGTGGGAGGATCGCTTGAGCCCAGAAGTTTGAGACCAGCCTGGGCAACCCAGTGAGACCCCATCTCTACAAAAAATTTAAAAATTAGCCCAGTGTGATGGCATGTGCCTATAGTCCCAGCTACTCGGGAGGCTAAGGTGGGAGGTTTGATTGAACCTGAGAGGGAGGTCAAGGCTGCAGTGAGCTATGGTTGTGCTACTGTACTTCAGCCTGGGTGACAGAGAGAGACCCTGTCTCCAAAAGTAAAAAGTTAAAAAAAAAAGCATGTGCTTAGATTTCTAGGACGGAGGCCCCCTCACCAGCACTAGCTGTAAAGAGGGGCCCTTCCAGATAGAGAAATGCCCACTTCTGGCAGCTCTGGCTTTGAATCCCAACCCCAACAGTCACTACTGGGTGGTCTTGACAAGTCCCTTATAACTCTCTCATTTGCAGAACAAGGCCAATCCTACCCACTCTTCACAGGACTGTTATGAAGATGAAATGAAAACAAAGTACCTGGCTAGTGCCAGGTACTCAATGAACAAGAACGTTTTTTACTCTGATTTCCACTTTAGGTGGAGCAGTGACACCTGGGTTGTTATGGATGGCAGCCAAAAGTTCTGCATCTTCAGGAACTCCTGGAATTCTCTTGTCATAACCCTATGTCATATCTTTACCATGTGTACTATTGTTTATTTTATTTTTTATTTATTTGGTTTTTTTGTCTTTTTGTTTGTTTGTTTTTGAGATGGAGTCTTACTCTGTCACCCAGGCTGGAGTGCAGTGGTGTGATCTTGGCTCACCACAACATCTGCTTCCTGGGTTCAAGCAATCCTCCTGCCTCAGCCTCCCAAATAGCTGAGATTACAGGTGTGCTCCACAATGCCTGGCTAATTTTCTTTTTTTTTTTTTTTTTTTTTTTTTTTTTTTTTGTATTTTTAGTAGAGACAAGGTTTCACCATGTTGACCAGGCTGGTCTTGGACTCCTGACCTCAAGTGATCCGCCCTCCTTGGCCTCCCAAAGTGCTGGGATTACAGGCATGAGCCACTGTGCCCAGCCTACCATGTGTACTATTGTTGATTTTTCTTTACTTCAATTCTATTTATTATTGAAAGAAACTTTTTTGTTTGTTTGTTGTTTTTTGTTTTTTTGAGACAAGGTCTTGCTCTGTCACCCAGGCCGGAGTTCAGTGGTACAATCATAGCTTACTGCCATCTTAATCTCCTGAGCTCAAATGATCCTCCAGCCTCAGCCTCCCCAGTAGCAGGGACTACAAGGGTGTGCCCAGCTGATTTTTTTAATTTTTCCTTTTTTGTGGAGATGGGGTCTGGCTATGTTGACCAGACTGGTTTTGAATTCCTGGCCTCAAGTGGTCCTCCCGCCTCAGCCTCCCAAAGTGCTGGGATTGCCGGCATGAGCCACTGCTCCTGGCCTGAAGGAAACTTTCTATCAATACCATAACTGAGAAGCTCATATCACTTGCATGATTATACTTCTATAATCATGCAATTATATTTCTATAATTAGAAAGCAACCATATATCTTTCTTTAATGGCTTTGAGAAAAAAAAAAAAGAAAGCAGCCATATAAATAAATACGATGAGAGCAAAACAGTGGTTTTAAATTCCAGCTTAAATCTATTGGCTAGAGAAGGTGCTAGACCTGGGACTTATTCTCGCTGTTCAAAAGGGAGACTTGACAGTTATGATCATGAAAGATGAACTTATTAGCACCACACTGAGATTTTCTCTTTCAGATTTTTGATTTTTTGAAGTAGAAAGAACAGACCTCTTTCACTAGTGCTATGCAAAATTTTAGCCAAGAAAGAATCAAGTTATTTTTCTTCTCACCAGTTGTGTGTACCCCAACCCATGTGGGACATAGCCACACAGCCATAAAGCTTTCTCTTAGAGCCTTCTTAGGGTCGCGGAATTAACTCCATGCCTCCTGTTGAGGGCTGGCTCCCAAGAGAGTGGGTATGGGTAAGAAGGAACTCAGCCCCAGACCCTCACATAGCACAATTTCTAAAAGCTCAGATCTTAGAGTCAGACCTGGTTTGAAATCTCAGTTTTAACAGTTGCTTACAGTATCACCCTGGGCAAGTCCTAACTCAGTTTCCTCATCTACAAAATGGGAATAAAGGTACCACCTCAACAAGTTATCATTAGGTTTAAATGAGCTAATATTTGTCCTGGGCCTGGTACCTAATACTACAGGCCAGCTGCAGGGGCTCACACCTGTAATCCCAGCTGTCTGGGAGGCTAGGGAGGGGGACCTCTTGAGGCCAAGAGTTCAAGACCAACCTGGGCAACACAGTGAGACCCCTATCTCTCTATTTTTTTTTTTTTTTTTGAGATAGAGTCTCACTCTGTTGCCCAGGCTGGAGTGCAGTGGCAGTGGCACAATCTCAGCTCACTGCAACCTTCCGCCTCTGGAGTTCAAGCAGTTCTCCTGCTCAGCCTCCCAAGTAGCTGGGATTACAGGCATGTACCACCATACCTGGCTAATTTTTTTGTATTTTTAGTAGAGATGGGGTTCACCATTTTGGCCAGGCTGGTCTTGAATTCCTGACCTCAAGTGATCCACCCACCTCGGCCCCCAAAAGTGCTGGGATTACAGGCATGAACCACCATGCCCGGCCCTCTACAGAAAATATAAAAATTAGCCGGGCAGGATGCCACATACCTGCAGTCTCAGCTACGTGGGAGGCTGAGGCAGCAGGATCGCTTGGGCCCAGGAGTTCGAGGTTACAGTGAGCTATGATTGCACCACTGCACTTCAGCCTGGGTAACACAGCAAGCCCTTATCTCTAAAAAGAAATTAAAATGAAATTCAATACAAACAGTCTTATAATTAGGTTGCTGTTGTTGTCTCCTCCCAGCCTCCAGGAACTTAAGCTCTGGGTAAAGACGCTGCAGCCTGATGGAGGCAGCAACCTGCTACAAGCTCTGAAGAAGATCTTCACTCTCAAGGGACTGGATTCCCTGGTGGCCATCATGAGAAGCTGGTAGGTCTTCTTTCCTAAGCAGGTGACATACTACATGAAAAGGACTGAAAAACCAAACCACTTTTTGAGAAAAGATTGGCTTGTCACAGTGGCTCATGCCTGTAATCCCAGCACTTTGGGAGGCCGAGACAGGAGGATTGCTCGAAGCCAGGAGTTTGTGACCAGTCTGGGCAACACAGTGAGACCCTATCTCTTAAAAAAAAAAAAGACAAAAATTAGCTGGTCATGGTTGTGTGCACCTGTAGTCCCAGCTACTTGGGAGGCTGAGGCAGGAGGATTGATTAAGCCCAGGAGTTTAAGGCTGCAGTAAGCTATGATTGTTCCACTGCCCTGTAACCTGGGCAACAGAGTGAGACCCAGGGAAGGAAGGAAGGAAGGAAGGAAGGAAGGAAGGAAGGAAGGAAGGAAGGAAGGAAGGAAGGAAGGAAGGAAGGAAGGAAGGAAGGAAGGAAAGGAAAGGAAAGGAAGGGAGGAGGGGGTGGGGAGGGAGGGAGGGAGGGAGAGAGAGAGAGAGAGAGGAGAGAGAGAGAGAGATAAGAAAGAAGAAAGAGAAAAGATCATCAACCATGGCTCTTCACACATACATGAGGGAGGGATGGCAGTCACAGGCAGAAAGAAAGAGAGAAAGAAAGAAAGAAACAAGAAAAAAAGAAAGGAAGGAAAGAAAGGAGAGAGAAATAAAAAGGAAGAAAGAAAGAAACAAAGAATGAAAGAAGGAAAGAAAAGAGAAAGGAAAGAAGGAAGAGAAGGAAGGAAAGAGAAAGGAAAGAAGGAAAGATGGAAGAGAGAGAAAGAAAAAGAAAAGAAGAAGGAAGGAAAGAAGGAAGAGAGAAAAAAGAGAAAGGAAGGAAAGATGGAAGAGAGAGAAAGAAAAAAGAAAAGGAAGGAAAGAAGGAAGAGAGAAAAAAGAGGAAGGAAAGAAGGAAGAGAGAGAAAAACAAAGGAAAAAGGAAAGAGAGAGGAAGAGAGAGAGAGGAGAAGGAAGGAAAGAAGGAAGAGAGAGAAAGAAAAGAAAGAGAAGGAAAGAGAGAAAAGATCATCAACAATGACTCTTCACACACACACGAGGGAAGGACTACAGTCACAGGCCACCCACCCATCTGCAGAGGAGGCAGAGGGCAGACAGGCCTGCAGTCCACCTAGCCCTGCATGCCACATAGGTGACCTGTGACACAGGTGGCCAGTTAAGAATGGGTAGATGTTCCTTGGGAATTACCGTTTTGCTCTGGAATGTTCTCAAAGTGGTCTGACCTGGGATTTCCACTTCTCTTCTGCCTTCTCCACAGCCCAGATCAGCCTTCTGAAATCCTGTCTGACTACATCCAGCAGTCCACCATGGGAAGAGACCTCATCATCCACTTCATCACCTACAGATGCGATGATCAGATGCCCCCTGTGAGTGCCCGAGATTCTCTGAGGTGCCCCTTGGCTTTGGTGGTAGTGAGCTGGGCTGGCCTTTGAGGCCTCATGCTTGGACAGGCCCCCGAGCTGTGGACCAGAATGCACCTGTCCCTGTGCCTGGTTCTCCCTTTGGTAAAATGGGAAGCTTTGGATAATTGGGAGGTTCAGTCAAGGAGAAGGCTTACTGGAGTATTGGTGTTGCCCTAGTGAGGCCTGACCCTGGCCTCATCCCTGCAGGCTGTCCTGAAGAACCTTGCAGAAGCTGTTAGGGGCTACTACCACTGCTACAGCCCAAAGATGGAGGTAAGCCCTTCTGTCAACACATGGCCCCTCTTCTTCTCTCCTTGTCTGCCTCCAAGGTTGTACCCAGGAGATCTGGGCCAGGACCATACTATATACTTGTTTCTCCTTTTCTCCTTGTCCCCACCTGTATTCAATGAGGTTACACAGGTAAAATCAGGTTAGAATGAATATGTGGGAAGACCAGGGACAACCTGAAGTCACAAGAGATGCTTTGATCAGCCTGTATGATGCATTGATTGAATGCGTGGGAGCCCAGAGGCCTTTTAAAGCCCTGCCTGCAGAATCCTCAGTCTCACTCCAGTTGCCGTTAATATAGGCCCCAGCCTAGCTCTGCTCCCACCAAAGCACTAAGTCTGAATTGCCTCGATTTTCTCTCCTAGATCAACTCCTGCTACTGCAGGGAACCCACTGCAGAGCGAAATGAGCAATCCATTCTGTACCGATCCATCCATTACTGTCCTTGTCCCAGTTAATAACTAGACATCAGCCACCCTGTGTTCACAAGGGAGGCAACGATTAGCAAACATGTGTGTAGATCCATTTGGAAGATTAAGAATGCAATCATCTGGTTGCTCCCAGGCTGTGTCTTGCCTACCATTAATAACCATGAGTAAATGAGTGTTTGCATCTCACAAGTGAATTCAAAGGTCACAAGGTCCCTGCTTTTCATAGCAGGGAGCCAAGCTCAGGCAGCACTCTATCTTGATACCTCATCATCTAGACTCTCTCTGCAGGTGACTCAGACTACAGAGGTTAGAAAGGTAAAGTAAATGACTGAAACTGACTGGTTTAAGAAATATTTTATCTTAAAACCTGTGGCTTGACCAGGCATGGTGGCTCATGCCTGTAATCCTAGTGCTTTGGAAGGCCGAGACAGGAAGATCATTTGAGGCCACGAGTTTGAGACTAGCCTAGGCAATATAGTGACAGCCCATCTCTACAAAAAATTTAAAAATTAGTCTGGTGTGGTAGCACATGGCTATAGTCACAGCTACTCAGGAGGCTGACACAGGAGGATCACTTGAGCTCAGGAGTTTGAGGCTGCAGTGACCAATGATTGCACCACTGCACTCTAGCCTGAGTGACAGAGCAAGACCCTTTCTCTAAAAATAATAACAAAATAAATAAATTATTATTATTATTATAGCCATCCTAGTGCGTGTAAAGTGTTTCTTTACACTTTTACAGTTAGAAAACTCTTCAATTGTTTTAAAACACAGCAGGTCAGGATGGGTGCAGTGGCTCACACCTGTAATCCCAGCACTTTGGGAGGCCGAGGCGGGCAGATCACAAGGTCAGGAGATTGAGACCATCCTGGCTAACACGGTGAAACCCCGTCTCTACTAAAAATAACAAAAAATTAGCCGGGCGTGGTGGCGGGCGCCTGTAGTCCCAGCTACTGGGGAGGCTGAGGCAGGAGAATGGCGTGAACCCAGGAGGCGGAGCTTGCCGTGAGCCGATATTGTGCCACTGCACTCCAGCCTGGGTGACAGAGCGAGACTCCATCAAAACAAACAAACAAACAAAACACAACAGGCCAATTGCACAAACGGAGCACAGCATGTCTGCAGGCTCTGTCTGGCACATGGGTCCCAGTGTATAAGGCCTGGTGGAGAGAGTCTGACCCTCTGCCTGGGCATTGGCCTGGCTGCTTGCCCCTTCCTGGGTTGACCCCTGCAGGTAGTCAAGTGATTCCGGATGTCTGATTGCTCTTGCCACCCTCAGCACTACACCAGCCGGGACATGGATGAGCTCCTGGCAGAAATTCAGAAGGCCCAGAGCCTCCTCAGCCACGTGCAAGCCCTGCAGCACAGCAGCCCCTGTGAGGCGCTCACCTGCACCATGGAGGAGGTAGGTGGTGCGAGTGTCAATTCTGGGGCCTTCTCCCAGCAGCACTCAGCTGGCCTCGTTCCCCTTTCTCACCTGTTCATAGGGGGCACAGCTGCCAGTGCCTGTCACTTCCTAAAATCGAAACAAGGCAAGGCCCACCCTCCATTGCACCCCAGAGCTCTGAGTTGGGTGGGCTGGGTGGGCCCACCATGGTACCGGAAAGATTCTGGTGGATTTACTAACTGTAAAATTTATTTCAGAGAAAGACCAGCAGGCTCCTGCCACCCTCTCTATCCTGTCACTGTCCCCTCCCTTACCCCCAGTTTGGAGAATGATGAAAACCTCAACCACCCAGAATAGGCTGCCTTTAAGAGAGTCATTCTCACCTCAGCCATGGCTTACACCTGAAATCCCAGTGCTTTGGGAGGCCAAGGCCAGAGAATCGCTTGAGTCCAGGCATTCAAGACCAGCCTGAGCAACATGGCAAAACACCGTCTCTACAAAAGATTAAAAAATTAGCCAGGCACGATGGCATGTGCCTGTAGTTCCAGCTACTCAGGAGGCTGAGGTGGGAGGATGATTGAACCTGGGAGATTGAGGCTGCAGTGAGCCATGATGGCACTGCTGTGCTCCAGCCTGGGCAACAGAGCGAGGCCCTGTCTCAAAAAAGAATTTTAAAAATATACAAATACAATAATAACAATTAGTATTAGAATTATAATAGTTCTTGGCCAGGTGTGATGGCTCATGCCTGTAATCCCAACACTTTGTGAGGCTGAGGCAGGTGGATCGCTTGAGGTGAGGAGTTCAAGACCAGCCTGGCCAACATGGTGAAACCTCGTCTCTACTAAAAATACAAAACTTAGCGAGGCATGGTGGCAGGCACCTGTAATCCCAGCTACATGGGAGGCTGATTCAGGAGAATCTCTTGAACCCAGGAGGCAGAGGTTGCAGTGAGCCTAGATAGTCCCACTGCACTCCATCTTGGGTAACAGAACAAGACTCCCAAAAAAAAAAAAAAATTATAATAGTTCTCATTTATTAAGTCCTCATTATGAGATAGGCACAATGTTCAATTATTTAAATGCTTTATCTTAACACTCTGAGGTAAGTATGTTATTACTTTTTATAGATGAGGAAACCAAAGTTAAGAGGTTACATAACTTGCCTGAGATTGCAAAGATAGAAATAGATTGAGTTTGGATTGAACCCAGGTCTAAGGCCCAAAACCTTGCCAAGAGTTTCCCAAAATGAAGTGCATGTACTACTTGTAGTTTGCAAGATGATTTTAGGTGGTGCATGGATTAAATTATTTTTTAAATGGTATCTATTTAAAACTAGCTCATTATGGTCATCATAGATCTTCTTTCTAAAATTGTGAAAGGGATTGAATTTTTAAAATTAAAGAAAATTAATAACTAAAAAGCATTAATGTTACATATTGATTCTTAAAATATTAATAATAATACAGTAGCACTCAGATATAGCAAAATTCATGAAGGCAGTGCTCAAATCTCTGAAGTTTGGGACTTGCTGTTCTATTTTTACTTACACATTCGCTATGTAATTTAATCTCTCAGCGCCTCAGTTCTTTACTTTGTCAATGTGGCCACAGGGTGGCCAGGTGGGAGCTCACTAAGTGATTTGCTGCAGGAGTTTTTAGGGGTGACCTGTCACCTTGGAGTCCATGGTGCTGATCTTCATGGTAAGGTTAGGGAAGGAGCCAGGAGCATGGGCCACTGTGAGAGCGAGTTGCTGGGTACTCCTTCCTCTTCCCCTGGAAATTCCAGAAATCTGCAGAGAAGGGGAGGGGATGATGGAAGGGAAAGGCAAAACTGCCTTTAATCTACCAGGGAGTGTTTAAGAAGCTCCACTTGCATTGACTGGGTGGAGGGTGAAGACTGAGGACTTTTCAGCTCTAAAATATGATTATGTAATGAGGGCTTTCTCATTTAACTTAGATTTCCACAGAGATTACAAATGGGCCACTCATAAGCCTCTTGCCTAAACCCCCAAAGCATGACGCTCCTCTCACCATTGAGTTTCCAAACTTGGACAAGACTTCTGCAGAGTGGCTTAAGGTCAATGGTCTGAAAGGTAAATCTCCAAAGAGGGCAGAACCCAGGAAACAGGTGACTGACTAAAAGGCTTGAATCCGGCCGGGCACAGTGGCTCACACCTGCAATCCCAGCACTTTGGGAGGCCAAGAAGGAAGGATCAGTTGAGGCCAGGGATATGAGACCAACCTAGGCAACATAGCAAGACCCCATCTCTATAAAAAATAAAATTAGCTGGGTGTGGTGGCATGCACCTGCAGTCCCAGCTACTCAGGTAGGCTGAGGCAGGAGAATACCTTGAGCCCAGGAGTTTGAGGATGCAGTGAGTTATGATTGTGCCACTGCACTCTAGCCTGGGTGACAGAGCAAAACCCTGTCTCAAAAAAATAAAAGGCTTGAACCCTTTGGAGCTTCTCAGGCAGTGCCTCCAACCTCACACTTTTTTTTCAGCCAAGAAATTAAGTCTATATCAGGTCCTGGCACCCAATGCATTCTCTCCTGTGGAGGAATTTGTACCTATTCTCCAGAAAACAGTATCATCGACCATCCATGAGGTAATTCAGATTCATAATTCTCTCCAGTCCTCCACAGGAGAGCTCCCTTGTGGCTTTTCCTACCTTCATAAATGTTCTGGCAGTAAGAATCACCAGGGATTCAGGCTTCCCACCCAGGACCCTAGAATGCACATCAAATCCACTGTAGCTGTTGGTTTTCAAAGATCTGAAAATTGAACTTGGGAGATGAGGCAAGAGGGATAAATCAGGTACCACGGTCACCTCCTCCATGAAGGTTTTCTCCTCCCAACTCAGACAGGACAGACTTGCTTTCTTTATGTCCTCGCTGTACCTAATGCAGACTTCTGCAATTGCTCCCATAAAGGATTAATGCATGAATTTTTACATATTTAAATCCCCATCAAGTATGAAGTATAAAGAGGGCAAACTCTTCTCTAACTCTCTATCCTCCATGTTTAGTATAAGTAGGAAATCAATGCATGTTTACTGGATGGCTGAGAAGGTAGTTGGAAGAAAGGATGGCAAGAAGAAGGAAAAGAATGATGGATGGATGGATGGATGGATGGATGGATGGATAGGTAAATGGATGAATGGATGGATGAGTGGATGGATAGATAGATGGATGGATAGATGGATGGGTGGGGGGGTGGGTGGGTGGATGAATGGATGGATGGATGGATGAGTGGATGGATGGATGGATGGGTGGATGGATGGATGGATGGATGGATGGATGCATGGATGGATGGATGCATGGATGGGTGAATGGATAGAAATCTGAACAGGTGGAAGGGTAAAAGGGAAAATGGAAGGATAGATGACAAAATGGAATAAAGGACAAGTGAAAGAATGAAAGTAGAAATTAAAGTAAGGATGGATGGATGGAGGAGTGAAAGGATGGAGAAATGGAAGGAAGGAATAATAGGTGAATAGAAAGATGGCAGAAAGATGGAAGACTGAAAGGAAGAGAGAAGAGTAAGGGACATGTAGGTCTAGCAGTGCATGGATGAATGACTAGATGGATGGAGTGATAGATGGATATGTTCACTTGGTGGAGGATGAAAAAACAGGATGAACAAGTTGGATTTTCAAAGCATCTGTAAAGGCCTGTCTAGGTTCCCAAACCTAAGAAGCTATGGCCAGTATATTTTAAGGTCTCCAACTGTGCTCTCTATTACTAAAACCCTCCAACCATATCTTCATGACTCTGATGTTCAGAAAAGCCTCTCGGGAAAACAGCCTGAGAGGCTTGCTGTCAGGTATCGTCCATTCAG